>NC_000012.12:17084650-17709650 GCF_000001405.40 Homo sapiens
AAGTACACCTTCTATCACTTCTGTTACTCTGGAGAACACTAAGTAAAACATACATCAATACAATTCGCCACATGAACATATTTTTTAAATTTACCTTGGTAGATGCAGAAATAATATTTGAAAAAATTCAATATTTGTTCGTAAGAAAATCTCTCAGTGCACAAGAAAAAGAGGAAACTCCCTTATTCTGATAAAAGACATCAGGAATAAACCTACCAGTAATATATTTAATAGTAAAAGACTGAATGCATTATTCTGAATATCAGAAAGAAAGTTAAGATGTTGGCTCTCACTTCTTCCAGTCAACATTGTACTGGAGATCCTAGCCAAAATATTTAACTATGTGTTTATCTTTGAAATAGATATGGAACTATTTAGGTTTTCTAGTTCTTTCTGAGTGAGTTTAATAGGGTGTGTTTTTCAAGGAATTTTTCTATCATATCCAACTTACCAAATAAGGCAAAAAAAAAAAAAACTAAAAGCATACAGATTAAAATAAAATAAATACAACTGTCTATATTTGCACACACCACAATTATCTAAATAGGCAGTTCCAAAAGATTAAAAGAAATATATGAGTACAAATAACTGTGTTTAGCAAGATCACAGGAAACAAGTCAATTTTAAAAATCAAGCCAGGCAGATGGCTCATGAGATTTTAATTAAGCTTACCTTGAATCTACAGATTAATTTGAGAATGAACAACTTAATGATATTGGATCTTTCAATCCATAAACACCATAAATCTCTGCATTTATTTATATCACCCTTTCTTTCAGTATTATTTCATAATTTTTAGTGTGCTAGTCTTACACATATATTATTAAAATTTGTCCGTAAGCACTTTGTGCTTTTTAATTCAAATTTAAATTATATAAAATTCTGGATTTCAATTTCTTTTTTTTTTTGCTACAATGTAGATATTTTATGTATGTATGTATGTATGTATGTATGTATGTATGTATGTATGTATTTATTTATTTGAGACAGGGTCTCACTCTGTTACCAGGGGAGAGCACAGTGGCACAATCACGGCTCACTGCACCCTCAACCTCCTGGGCTCATTGATTCTCCCACCTCAGCCTCTCAAGTAGATGGGACTACAGGCATATGCCACCACACTCTGCTAATTTTTTGTATTTTTTGCGGAGATGAGGTATTGCCATGTTGCCCAGGCTAGTCTTGAACTCCTGGAATCACACAATCTGCCTACCTTGGCCTCCCAAAGTGCTGGGATTACAGACATGAGCCATCCCTTTTCTGAGTTTCTTAAATTGGAAGCTTTATTGCTTTGAGACCATGCTTATTTTATTTTACTGATATAAATTCTTCTCTAAACATTAGTTTTGCTGCATATTACTTTAAATTATTAAATTTCTTTAAACATTAGTTTCACTGCATATTACAGCTTTGAATTTTAATTTAACTAATGTTATCTAATTTATTTATTATATTTTCCTTGATCATGTGTTATTTATAAGAGTATAGTTTAATTTAAAAATAGGGACTTTACATTAAAATTTTTGAAAAAGTAATTCCAAGTTTAATTTATTTAGGTTCAGGTAATACAATTATTATTATTTAATTCTTTTAAATTCTGTGTGATTTGCTTCTTAGTACAGGAATTGTCTATACTGCTGAATGTTCATGAGCACTTGGAAAGAATGTATATTTCTCTATTGCTGGTAGAATATAAATGTCAACTACAAAAAGTGGATTAAAAATATCAAATTTGTTATGCACTTTCTGATTTTATTTCTATTTTTATATAAACTATTGAGAGAAGAGTGTTGAAATCTAACTTTTTTCAGTACAAATAGTTTTGCCATTTTGTATTTTAAAGCTATGATTAGATTCATACATTCATATGTTTTTGTTGTTTTGATGAAATAGCTCTTTTATCATCATGTTATGTCTTCTTTTATCACTGGTAACATGCCTTGTCTACTTTGCCTTATAAGAATATAGCCACTAGTGTTTTCATAATATAACTATTTCATTCTTTTGTTTTATACCTATGTATGTGTTTCCACATAAGTATTTTTTTTCTGTAGGTTTTTCTTTTTTTTGTAAGCAGCAAATAGTTTGGTACTACATTTATATTCAATCTGATTATCTCTATTGTATAATTTATATGTTTCATTCATTTACGTTTAATGCAGTTGTTAATATGTTGAAATATCTTGCTTTTGTTATATATTTCATCTTTTCTTTGTTGGCTTTCATTTTTTTCTATTCTTCTCCCTATGTTTTAGAAAAATATTTTTTAGTATTCTATTGCATCTCCACTATTGGTTCATTTGTCATACCTCATTTATATTTTTATGTGGTTGCCTTAGGATTTACAGTACACATCTTTAAATTATTATATGTTTTCAATATTATTATGCCACTTCACATATAGTATAAGAACCTTACAACCATTTTATTTAATCTTTACCATATTCAGTGTTTTTGTTATTATATATTCTACTGCTTGCTATATTTGTTATAAAACCAATAATCATTGTTAGAATTTTTGCTCTGTACAATTGTCTTTCAAACAGGGAAGAAAGACTTAACTGTGCACTTTATTCATATACCTAGGTTTTTAATACTTCTGATATTCTTCACTTTTGTGTAACCATTTGTTATTATATGCCTTCTTTCTGAAAATCTTTAGTGTTTCTTGTGGTGTAGATGTTCTGGTAATTAATTATTTGAGATCTTGCTCTTGTCTTAGAAAAAAAAATTTTTGGAATGTATCTTTGCTGGGTACAGAATTCTAGGTTGTTAGTTTTTTTTTTTTTTTTTTTTTTTGCCAGTATTTCAAAGATTTTACTATTGTCTTCTGGGCTACATAGTTTCTGATGAAAAGTTTATTGTAATTCTTATATTTTCCTTTCTGTGTGTATTATTTCTTTTTAATTTGGAAGTGTTCAATGTCTTTCCTTGCCTGTAGTTTCAAGCAGTTTGACTAAAATGTCTCTTGATGTGTATATATGAAGCTCAGAGAAAATTATATAAATTTAAGAAGCTCAGAGAAAATTATATATACAGGTAATTTTATAAAGTTATGTATAAATAATTTTCTCTGAGCTACTTAAATTTATGGTTTGCTGTATTTTAGTACTTATGGAAAATTCTCAACTAATGTATCTTTACCTTTGTTTTTGCTTGTTCTTTCTCCACTGCTAAGCCTCTGGTTATATGAATGTTAGACCATTTGATATGTATTTAGCTTTTGAATTTTCTTAATTTTGTTTCTTGCTATTATCTTTTATTGTTACATTTTGGTTTGTGTAGTTTTAGTGGGTCTTCAAGTTCACCATTACTTTCTTACTGGGTTCATTCTGATGATTAGCCTAATAAGACATTTACATCTCTGATATTCTGTTTTTATATTTAAAATGTTTAGTATTTTCATTTTGCACTATATTATAGTTTTTATATTTCTGCTGAAATTCTTTATATGTTTGCATGTTGTTCACTTATTCCATTAGATAGTTTCAGTTATTTAAATTAAGTTTCTATGTGGTTGTCTCAGCTTCTGAGCGTTCTCTGAGTTTAATTCCATTGACTGCTTTATCTCTTCACAACAGATTTGGTTTCTTTCACCTGAATTTTTGTGAGTCTTGTAACTTTTTACTAATGCTAAATGTTGCATTAAAAAAAGAAGTAAATATAATTTATACCCAAATAATTTTATAATTTACAACCCAAATTTTTGTCAGCTTGATATTATGGGAAATTGAGTCAATGCAGCCATTAGTTAAATTAGATTTTTGTGTTCTTTAACTTTTAGTGCACTAGAGACAAAAAACTGCTCGTTTGGTGGGCTAATGTTATCTTGTGTTTAGTATGAGACCTGAAATACCTGAATTTTTTTCTTAGGGTTCCTCTTCCACCACCAGATTCTACCAGGTGATTCAAATTTGTACCCTAGAATAGAGCATTCTTCAACCTTATCTCCTCCCTCAGAGAGAGCCTATTCTTGCCTGCTATTTGGTTTGAGATTTATCATTGAGAAAGCTGTGGAAATTTTCTTGATTTTTGCTTCATCCTCTTAGGCAGGTCTTGTTTACCTGTTTTGTGGGCGCAGCCTTTTCAGTTTTTCTGCCCCGTCTCCATAAAAGCCTGATTTTTTCTCATACTATTAGGGTAAGGATATTTTAAAATAGTAAATCTCTTGTCTAACTCCCAAAATGGAGGTCATCTACTTTGCATCAGTGCAGGGTCCTTGGCTTGAGTGGTTTTCTGTCTTTCCCCTAATGTCAAATGGCTTTTGGTTTTATCCCTCCCTAGTGCAGTAGATTTTTGCCTACTACCAGGACTGGCATGGTTTTTTGCTCCTCTTTCAGTTGCTTAAGGCTTTTTTTTTTTTTTTTTTTTTTTTTTTTCTTGAGGGTGATCTGGGAAGTTTATAGGGTCTTATTCCTTTGTGACATAAAAAGTGTTTCTCTCAGGTCTTCTGCTCTGCCTATGTTCTCTCTTGTGACTACCAGTGGAGGCTCCAAAGAGCTGGTAAGCACATTTGGAATTTTCTTGTGATGGGGACTTCTGGAGATTCACAACTGCCACTCTAGCATCCATTAGGATTTTTTAAACTTATGAATATTTTGCAGTTCTTAAACTTGTTTTATGACAATATCTCTTCCTCCTGAGCTCTGAAAAATGTGAAACTTGTCATTCTTAGGTTCTGCCTCTTCTTAGACGAACATGTTACTCTAAGTCAGTTTAGCTGGATTCATCTCTTGCCTCAACTCTAATGGAATCAAGAAAAATTATAACTTTGTCGATGATCTAGATTTTTGTTATTATTAGGCCAGAATCAATGTTATTTTAGCTTTGTATATCTTTAAAAAAAGAAGAAAATATAATTTACTTAAGATTTATTTTCTAATTTTTTTCCTGAGCACTGCTAATTAAGGTTTTATCTCTCAATACTGCTTTATTACTAGTGTCTCTGAAATATACCATGTGTTCTTGTTATATACAAACACTTGAATGCTCTAGGGATTTGCATAGCCTTCATGATAAATAGTAAAGTCTTCCCTACTGACACATTTGTTTTCTTTCATGTCCAATTTTTTGTTTTTAAATTGCATTTTTGTATAAAGACTATGTTAGTTCCTTTTTAGTAAGTATTTCTCTTATAAGGTGAAATATTCCTTGGTCATTCATGTTCTTGGGAAGAATTAGGGCCAATTAGGGCCAATCTAGGTAGAATTCTGTCCATTCTTAACAAAGTTTCTCATGATGGAAGATCGTACTTATATGAGTTACTTTATCCTTTATTTCATCCTAATCCAGCAGAGATCAGCAACTGCTAGGCTATTCACGACTTTCCAATTTTTTTCCTTCATCTGTTATACCAAATTTAAGAAGTCAATGTGATGTATTACTTAAACTTGCTTTTCCTAATTCTCCATGGAGAAAAAAAACAGGTGCAGTGGAATTTTAAACATCAGCCTGTGTAGCCAGTTCTTACTGTACAAAACATGGGTTGTTGATTTTTTTCCAAGTGTGTATCATGTAATTCTGAGAAGAATGACTGCAAGCCTTTTCTCCTAGCCTATCTCTACGCTTTTTATTTCACTTCCACTGAATTTGAAAGTTCTTTATAATGTGTGTTCTATATAGAATATATTAGTTTTCTATTACCGTGTAACAAGGTACCACAAACTCAGCAACTTAAAAAAAAAACATACATTTATTATCTTACAGTTCTGTAGGTCAGAATCCTAGGCACACCTACAATGAGCTCTTAGCTCAGGTTATCATCAGGATGAAATCAAGGTACCAGCAGAGACTGTTATCTTGTCTAAGATTCAGGGTCCTCCCAAGCTTACTGGTTGTTGGCAGAATTGAGTTCCCTGCAATTGTAAGACAGGTCCTCATTTTGTAGGATCTATACATTATCCCTGCCATGTTTCCTTTTCCAAAACATGGTAGTTTTTTTTTTTTCATTTTGGATTCTAGGAGAAGAATGTCTCTGAAGTTTTACCTTTTTATAAAAGCTCATCAAGTTGGGTCAAGCCCATTCAGGAAAATTTCCCTTTTGTTAAAGTCGACTGATTAGTAACCTAATCATGGATGTGATGCTCTATCATATTCTCATAAGAGAATTAAACAGGGTATATATACAGGCAAGAATTTTGGTGAATGTCACAAAAGTTGGCCTGAACCATAGATATTACCATGTACTATAGAAGATAAAACTTAAGTTTTATTTTCTCATTGATCAATTTATTGGGTATAATTTCTGAGTAAAGAAGAAGATAGCCTTTATTTTAAAACCAGAAATAAGGAATACCTTTCAAACACGATGTTTATGAAGAATGTTTCTGTAAAGTTTATATATAATTGGAGAATAAAGGATAATAAACAGCCAGATTTTTGAAAAGAAATAGGTAGAAAATTTAAGGAAGATTTAGAAGAATATGCTAAAAACCTCAGATGTGAAAGAACTTGGCATATTTAAGCAGGGTCCAGAATTAAATTAGGAAGCCAGTCACTTGCCATTGTTAGGGGAGAGCTTTCCAAAGACACTAAGTAAGCCTATGATAGGAAGAAGCTTAGAAGGTTCAATGAATGCATGTAAGATGGATATTATTGGATCAGAGCTTGCTAGAAGAAAGGGGAGTGGCTGGGAAAAAATTACAGTGGACTATATTGAAATAACCTCTGTATTAGGGTTCTCTAGGGAAACAGAACCAGTAGAAGATTAGATAGATGACAGGACATTTATTAAGGGAATTGGTTCATATGATTATGGAGGCTGAGAGGTCCGATGCTATGCCATCTGCAAGCTGAAGAGTGAGGGAATCTGGTGGCATGGCTCAGTCCAAGTCTGAAGGCTTGAGAAACGAGCAGCCAATGGTGTAGCTCTCAGTCTGAGGCCAAAGGCTTGAGAACCTGGGCTGCTGATGCAAGTCCTAAAGTCCAAAGTCAGGAAAACCTGGAGTTCTGGTGTACAAGGGCAGGAGAAGATGGATGTCCCAGCTCCAGAAGAGATAGACAAAGAAAGCAAGTCAGGAAGAAAGAATTTGCCTCCTCTGTGTTTTCATTTTTACATGTGCCCTCAGCTGATTGGATGGAGCCCATCTATACTGATGGGGGCAGATATTCCTTACTCATTCTATTGATTCAAATACCAATCTCTTCCATAAACAACCTCATAGACAATTCCAGAAATAATGCTTTACAAGCTATCTAGGTATCTCTTAATCCAGTCAAGTTGACACATAAAATTAACCATCACAACTTCATGAAGGATAATGTAACTATCGATAGGAATTTTGAATTTGATCTAAAGGTAATGGTACACAATAAAAAAGTTTAAACTGGTAGAAAGATCATGATCAAATTAATGTGTTAAGATTATTTGGCTGATCCATGGAAAATGGATTGATTAGAAAAAGGCAAAGGTGAAGACTATTAGGAGACGACTACAGGAGGCTATTTCACAGTCTGAGAGAAAGAAAAATTATGATAATTAGAACTAAGGTAGAAATTGAGTGATGTAGATAAATTTGATGTATGATTAAACTCTTTAGTTTTCTCTATTTTTAAACTGAGTATTTATTTTTTAATTCTTATTTATTGATCAGCTGCTTTTGTATATTTTTATATATATATATAAAATGTTATTGTAGCTATTTTTGTCTGTTTGCTATTTGGCTTCATATTTTGTTCATGGTATTTTTTAATAATGTCAAATCAATGCTTCTTTTTTTGGTGTTAATTTTTTATTGTTTAGAAACTGTACCACCACCTGTGCAATCTGTGATGTAAATTAAGATATGTCAAAGTACTTAAAGATACTTTTATATGATTATATAATATATGACATAATTTACTCTGTATCTAAGTGAAATATAAACAAATAATTATGCTCTAGTATTCTGCTGTCATGTGGGTATTTCAGTATAAAAAAAAGAAACTTTTGTTTTTCATCCTGGGCTTTTGACTAATACAAAAATCTCACTTGACCGTTTTGGGTTTTCTTTCCTTTCCTTTTGTTCATAAGAATAAAAGTTAAAATAGGGAGGATTAATTTTACTGAACTATGTACAACATACACACAGCCTCTTTGATTTTAAAATACGTGTGTTTTGAAAACGTGAACTTTATTGATTAACACTAGATAACAAAATAAAGAAAAATCTCAGTTTATATTACATGGGTGTTTCTGGTATCTTGGGACTCACAAATTAAAGGTTACTATGATCTTCAGCATGGTGACCTTTAGAAAGAACTGAAAAGACTCATCTTTTCATTTAGGGCTTCACTTTGCAAATCCTTAAAGAATGGCCTAAGGTCAGGCTGAGAATCCTCAGCCCAGGAAGGAGGCAAATATATTTCCAATATTAACTGCAGTATTCTTTAAAAATGACAAAATAAGTCTAGGTATTATGAAAGTGACAAATGTGCCCAGATATTTTTCTCTTTTGAAAATTATTAACTTCAGATACTAACATCTGTGGCCATTATAACTAAAAAGATGCTCCTCTCTTTGAGTTCTTTCTTTGAGTTCATTGATAAGAAGACCTTAGTTCTCCTTTAATTGGAGATTATTGAAAGAAACATTTCCAATATCTCTTTCCCACCTCCACTTCAGTCGTCTTCCCAAGGAAATAACAACTAATCTATTGATAGAAAGCTTTCCATCCTTCAGAACATTGCATGTACTAGGCATAGTCATGAGCCTGTCTTATAACTATGATCTGTATCAATAACAGGATAAAAGGAATAGTTATCTCTCACATTTATGGAGACGCTGCTTGTTGAAATGACCTCGGGAAAGATTCTGCTGTAGAGTAGAGAGAGAGAAAAGTGCTCAATAGTTTTTATTTGTCCCTCCAGGTTAATTTTTGACCCTTCCCTGTCCTGCTCACTGTCCTAGATCACATCATGATTCTTATATTCTCTAATTAGCTCACTTGGGTTTGGTGATAGGATGTTAAAAGAGTGGGGAGAATGAAGTCAGAAATTTATTGTCCTAGTCCCCTCTCTACTAGGTTGTATCCCTATCCTTACACCGAAGTGTACTGTTTCTCTCAAAGTTGCTTAACTTCTGTGACTGTGTTCCTCTGGGTTTTAACAAGTTTCCCTCCTTTTGTCCCTTTGGACATGGGCTGGTAACAGAAGATGCTACTGAGCCTAGGGATACTCTCTTCCTTTATATAATACCCTTAAACCTACATCTTACACATCTCTGCTAATAAGTAGTCTTTAAAAAATAAAATCTCCTTTAGTTATGTTTTGAGAATGCCACCTCACGCAGGATGGCTGTTATTCCATACAGCTTCTTAGAAGGAAAAATAGGTGTTTGAAACAGCATTGAGATTCTCTTTAGCTTACCAACATGGGGAGTTTGGATTGTGTTTGATGACAAGAACGAGCCTATTGCTATGTTTAATTTAAGAACAATATTTGCAATGAGGCCTCACCCTCCGGAGGCTGTCATTAAGTTGTAAAGAAAGAGGGAAATGCCTTATAACTTGAGGTTCTATTTCCCACCTTTTTCCTTTGCTAATAAGCTCTGCTTATCAAAGCAGGACTAAATGGATAATTTAGGACTAAAAGCCAGAAATGTAGGATTGGATACAAGGCTATACGTGGTAAGAAAACTACTATCTCCTTAATAAAATACAATTCAGATCCTCTCTATTGGTAAAATAAGAAAACTCTCCATATTAGTGAGAAAGCCTGGACCTTAATCTCCTCACTCTGTTTCCCTAATGACTGGTTTCACCTTCTCATTGCCCTGGGTTTGGGGCAAAGGATGGCTCTTCTGGTTAGATCCAAGTTCATACTCTTTCTCCCTATTGCTAACGTGCATCTGAGACTAGGCTAGTTTAATTAAGTTCTAGGCAGTTTAAATTTCTAGGAAATTAAAAATATAGCGTGTAACTATGTAAATATGACACAAAACATTTATCTCATCTTAGTTTGGGGAAACTTACAGGCATATTTCTTGACTAATTATCAATATGTCTACACTTAGAAGATACTTTATTTTATGATGACTCTCAAGGATATCTAGAAATTTTAAAATTGATACACTGGAAATTTACTCTCGGAAATATTAAGGCATTTCTTATCCCTGGTTTAAGGTCTGTCTTCTGTCCAAATTAGAATCTCAAAAATAGGAACCTCTTTCCAGCTTAATTCTGAGGCCATTCCATTCATCACACTCCAAGCAAACTTTTCTGAAACACACCAAGCATTCTATCACCATAAGAACTTTATCCTTACTATTTCCTCAACCCAGACCTTTTTGTTAGAAAAGTTGTCTTTGTGACTAACTCTACTTCAAAATATCATTGATCAACTTTTGCATAATCTAATCAAGAAAACCTCCCCTGAGAAAACCTCTCCTTCTGTAAATGAACATTCCCTTTTACTTGTTCTTGCGTCCCTTCCTCCGCTATTCTTTGCTTCATATCACTTTCTCCATATTGTTGATTGGTTGATTAATTATTTGTCTTCTCCACTAAAATGTATTTCTCCACAAGACAGAGACTCATTTGTATTCTCAAACTAGAGTCTGGTACACAATATATCTTTAATACATATTTGTAAAAGGTAGGAGTAATCCAAAGTTGAGATACAGGCTGTCATTAGAAAAATGGTAATTTTACAATGATACTAAAGACTGAGAAGTAGCAGGTTAGGTGTATTAATCAGAGTTCTCCAGAGAAACGGAATCAATGTTATGCATGTGTGTGTGCATGTGGATGTGTATTGGCTCACATGATTGTAGAGGCTTGGAAAGTCTAAAATCTCATGGGGTTGGGTGGCAGGCTGAAGATTCAGGGAATAGTTGCAGTTCCAGTTCAAAGGCGGTCTGCTGGAAGAATTCCTTCTTACTTGGGGAAGGTCAGTCTTTGTTCTATTAAGGGCTTCAGGTGACTGGATGGGACCTCACCCACATCATGGAGGGTAATCTGTTTTACTCAAAGTCCACTGAATGAAATGTTAATCTCAGCCAAAACACACTTTAATAGGAATGTTCAGAATAATGTTTGACCAAATATCTGGGCATGGTGGCCCAGACAAGTTGTCATGTAAGATTTACCACCTCAGTAGGCTTGAGGCAATAGCCATGATTATAGCTGAGGCAGATCCAAGAATATGAAATCAAATTAGCTTTTAACACAGGCTTGGCAAAGCAAAAGTAGTAGGCAAATGTAGTCTTCATAAGCTAAGCTGTAATAACAAAGGTACTCTTAAAATATAGTGACTGAAATAAAATGAGAGTGTGTCACTCTTTCCCATAACATTTCAGAAAGGGTAAGCAGATTCTGCTCTAAAAGTTCATTCAGGAACCTAAGCTGGCAGGTTGAGTTTGGCACTACTCAAGCTCTGTTGCAATATGCAGTTTCTATTTCTGTACTTAAGGTTGCTTCTCTGATTCTACTCATCACAATGTGATATGGTTTGGCTCTGTGACCCCACCTAAATCTCATCTTGAATTATAATCCTCATGGAGGGAGGTGATTGGATCACGGGGGTGGTTTTCCTCATGCTGTTTTCATGATGTGAGTGAGTTCTCGTGAGATCTGATGGCTTTATAACTGTTTGACAGTTCCTCCTTCACATGCTGTCTCTCCTTCCACCTTGCGATGAAGGTATTTGCCTCTCCACCTTCTGCCATGATTGTAAGTTTCCTGAGGCCTCCCCAGCCACTAGGAACTGTGAGTTAATTAAACCTCCTTTGTTTATGAATTACCCAGTCTCAAGTAGTATCTTTATAGCAGTGTGATGGCAGATTAATACACAATAATAAAAGGAAGTTCACTAATGTCATGTTAATTTTTCCAGCCCACAGGAAGGGAGTAGAAGAAAATCTAGGACAGTAAGCTTTATCTTTAAAATAAATGACCTGGAAATTGAATGCATCACTTCCTTTCATATCCTTTTTTCCTGAACTTAGTCACTTGACACCTAGCTTGATGGGAGTCTGGGAAATATAGTCTCTAGATGAGTAGATATATGCTCACCTAACACTAAGTGGGGACAAATAATTACTAAGAGGATGAGTGGGAGGAAAATGCATCCTGAAGGATGGTTGGCAGTTTCCACTTTCTGTTCCTTTTGGTCATAAAGCTGTCTTGCTCACTCTTTTCCCATGAAATCACGCTCACCAAGGGAGAGAAGTACATGATAAATGCAAAAACAACTTTCCATTTGAGAAACGGAAAAATGGAAGACATGACAGTTACAAGGTGTTATCAATGATGAAATCCTTCAGAACAAGAATTACAAAAATCCACTTTTACAGTGAAATAAATTTCTTTATCAGGCACTAGTTTTGGTTTTCGGAAAGAGATGATTTTGACCATTGTTTTCTGTGACTTCTGATTCAGTCCTTTAGGAAGTTCTTCCTCATTCTGTGGCCATATTGGGCATTACAGAACTCTCCAGCTTTTGCAGCCCACTTCTTGCTGGTAGAGGCCTAAAAGTTCAAGAATAAATTTAAAGCTCAATCACATGGTTTGGAAATATTGAATGGATGTTTCTTTTATATACATACATATATATATATATATTTCTTGCTTGCTTGCTTGCTTGCTTGCTTGCTTGCTTTTTTTTGACAGAGTCTTGCTCTGTTGCCCAGGCTGGAGTGCAATGGTACAATTTCAGCTCACTGCAACCTCTGCCTCCTGGGTTCAAACAATTTTCCTGCCTCAGCCTCCTGAGTAGCTGGGACTACAGGCACGCACCACCATGCCCAGCTAATTTCTGTATTTTTACTAGAGACCGAGTTTCACCATGTTGACCAGGCTGGTCTCGAACTCCTGACCTGAGGTGATCCTCCCACCTCAGCCTCCCAAAGTGCTGGGATAACAGATGTGAGCCACCGTGCTCAACTGACAATAAACTTTTTTAAAAAACATACTTGCCTTCATATGAATTTAGTTCCGATAATTTTCATGTGCCACTAACCTTACTGCAGTTAATATTTGGACATAATTATCTAAGCCTGTATTAAATACTGAATTCTGTTCTAGGATCCTTTTCTTTCTTCCTTGCTTTAATGGTTAAAGATCTGTGGGCTCCCACGCGTCTTCAGCAGGGAGAAACCAGCCTGGAAGGGTGGAGGGGAGTGTGGAACTGAACCTCCGTGGGAGTCTTGAGTTTTCTAGGCCCTCTCTCCGTGAAGGAGGCAATGCCTGTGGGGTCGCCATTGCCGTGACAGTCTCACACACGCAGGCATGTGGCTCTCGTTCATTTCCACGTGGAAGACCAGAGCAAGACCCCAGATAAAAGATACATCCCCGGCCTGATCTTTACCAGTAGGCTAGCTCCCATTTCTCTGCTTGAGAAGTCATCAAGAGAGATGCTGACAAATGTCTGGAGCATTATTTTCTACTGTGTGAGTTACGTAAGCAGATGACTTTCCTAAACCTGCCTACTATTACTGGACTGTCCAACTGAGGCTAAAGACAGATAAAAGTCTTCCTTATAGAATTCTAGTCTGTTCAATTTCTGGTATGCAAATTTGTCAGTTTTTGGCTGGGCGCTTTCTTACAACACCTTGCCAAATGCATTAAGGAAAATTCAAAACACTGCAACTTTCTGTTTTTATCTTTAAGCCTCAGAGTTACACGTGATCTACTTTCTTAGTTATTGCAGGTGACAGTTGAAAATATTTGGACATGACATCACAAGGCTCATAGCTTTCAAGTCTGCAATATCTGTTTTCTTACTGTCCCCTGAGCCAATGCCTTATATTTTAGGTTGTTTATAATGGAAGTGTATTTTCATTTCCTACTTTGGTATTAGTTATTGGGTAGGCTAAATATTGTAGCAACATGACTCCAAAATACTATGGCTTAAATAAATCAGATATTTTATCTCTCTAAAAATAGTCCACAATGGGTGGATGGGATCTGGTTTAGAAGGTCATCTAGGAACCTGGTTTTTCAGGATGACTCTCTATCCTCAACATTTGATTTTCATCTCTCATTTTAAGCTCTAGTGTTTCTTGTTTGCTTGGATAAGGTAATTCCCTAGAAGCTCTTCTGAATTCAACCATCCTTTAATCATTCAACAGTCCTTTAATATGCGCTGAGACTACACAAATTGATCAGAGTATAAACAGCACCTTTCTTTCAAGAGTTGACATTTCACTGAAGAAACACATCAGATTAAAAACCCATATCTTGAAAACTTAAAAACAGTTTTTCCCCAAAATAATCTTTTTCTTTCCCTTCAACATGACCAAGCACCTATTTCCTTTCTTTGTGCAATTGCCTCTCTATGTATCCTACAACCTACAAAAAATTATCAACTGAGTTAATGTGAACCTGCAAGTTACAGTTCTTTCGCTACTTTTACTTACTAATTTCCTTGTTTCATATGAGCTATTCTGATGCCCTTTTCCAAAGAAAATGCTCCAAGTTGTTGTGGGATTCAGTGTGAAGACAGGAGCTCTGTCAGCGATGACACATGACAAAGGAAGCAAGCAATTTCTACTGAAAACCAAATCATGATTGAGTTTGTTTTCTGTGGCTCCCTCTTTCCCCATGGGACCAATATATCACTTAGAAAATAGTGTAAAAATTACATTCAAATTACTTTAGAGCCACAAACACACCAGAGCAGCATTTATCCTATCACATAGACTATTTTCAGTTCCTTCTAATTTTCCGTTGACCAGAATTTTCATTCTCCATCACCTTGCAAAGGAACAAATTGCTTCCTGGTATACATTTTATAGAATCTGTGATTACTGTTTATTACATGTTCTATATAATGTGAAAACTAAAGACGTGTGTGTGTGTGTGTGTGTGTGTGTGTATGCCTGAGAAGGTTCACAAATGCATAGAAAGTTTGTGACGCAGGTAAAACAGTGTTTAGAGGGAAATTTATAGCACTAAATGCCCACCAGAGAAAGCAGGAAACATCTAAATTCGACACCCTAACATCACAATTAAAAGAAATGGAGAAGCAAGAGCAAACAAATTCAAAAGCTAGCAGAAGGCAAGAAATAACTAAGATCAGAGCAGAACTGAAGGAGACAGAGACACAAAAACACCTTCAAAAAACCAGGAGCTGGTTTTTTTGAAAAGATTAACAAAATAGACCACTAGCCAGACTAACAAACAAGAAAAGATAGAAGAATCAAATAGACACAATAAAAAATAATAAAGGAGATATCACCGCTGATCCCACAGAAATACAAACTTCCATCAGAGAATACTATAAACACCTCTATGCAAATAAACTAGAAAATCTGGAAGAAATGGATAAATTCCTGGACACATACACCCTCCCAAGACTAAACCAGGAAGAAGTTGAATCCCTGAATAGACCAAAAACAAGTTCTGAAATTAAGGCAGTAATTAATAGCCTATCAACCAAAAAAAGTCCAGGACCAGATGGATTCACACCCGAATTCTACCAGAGGTACAAAGAGGAGCTGGTACCATTCCTTCTGAAACTATTCCAAACAATAGAAAAAGAGGGAATCCTCCCTAACTCATTTTATGAGGTCAACATCATCCTGAAACCAAAACCTGGCAGAGACACAATGAAAAAGAAAATTTCAGGCCAGTATTCCTGATGAACATCTATGTTAAAATCCTCAATAAAATACTGGCAAACTGAACCCAGCAGCACTGCCACAATCAAGTCGGCTTCATCCCTGGGGTGCAAGGCTGGTTCAGCATATACAAATCAATAAACATAATCCATCACATAAACAGAACCAATGACAAAAACCACATGGTTATCTCAATAGATGCAGAAAAGGCTTCAATAAAATTCAACACCCCTTCATGCTAAAAACTCTCAATAAACTAGGTATTGATGGGACGTATCTCAAAATAAAATGAGCTGTTTATGACAAACCCACAGCCAATATCATACTGAATGGGCAAAAACTGGAAGCATTCCCTTTGAAAACTGGGACACGACAAGGATGGCCTCGCTCACCCCTCCTATTCAACATAGTATTGGAATTTCTGGCCAGGGCAATCAGGCAAGAGAAAGAAATAACAGATATTCAAATAGGAAGAGAGGAAGTCAAATTGTTCCTTTTTGCAGATGACATGATTGTCTATTTAGAAAACCCCATCATATCAGCCCAGAGTCTCCTTAAGCTGATAAGCAACTTCAGTTAAGTCTCGGGATACAAAATCAATGTGCAAAAATCACAAGCATTCATATACACCAGTAATAGACAAACAGAGAACCAAATCATAAGTGAACTCCCATTCACAATTGCTACAAACAGAATAAAATACCTAGGAATACAGCTTACAAGGGATGTGAAGGACCTCTTCAAGAAGCAATACAAACCACTGCTGAAGGAAATAAGAGAGTACACAAATAAATGGAAAAACATTCCATGCTCATGGATAGGAAGAATCAATATCGTGAAAATGGCCATACCGCTCAAAGTAATTTACAGATTCAATGCTGTCCCCATCAAGCTACCATTGACTTTCTTCACAGAATTAGAAAAATACTACTTTAAAATTCATATGGAACCAAAAAGAGCCCATATAACCAAAACAATCTTAAACAAAAAGAACAAAGCTGGAGGCATCACACTACTTGACTTCAAACTCTACTACAAGGCTACAGTAACCAAACAGCATGGTACTGGTACCAAAACAGATATATAGAGCAATGGAACAGAAAAGAGGCCTCAGAAATAATGCCACACATCTACAATCATCTGATCTTTGACAAACCTTACAAAAACAAGCAATGGAGAAGGAAGTCCCTATTTAATAAATGGTGTTAGGAAAACTGGCTAGCCATATGCAGAAAACTGAAACTGGACCCCTTCCTTACACCTTATACAAAAATTAATTCAAGATGGATTAAAGACTTACATGTAAGACCTAAAACCATATAAACCCTAGAAGAAAACATAGGTAATGCCATTCAGGACATAGGCATGGGCAAAATTTCATGACTAAAACATCACAAGTAATGGCAAAAAAAAAAAAAGGAGCCAAAATAGACAAACAGGATCTAATTTAACTAAAGAGCTTCTGCATCCCAAAAGAAACTATCATCAGAGTGAACAGGCAACCAACAGAATGGAAGAAAATTTTTGCAATCTATCCATCTGACAAAGGGCTAATATCCAGAATCTACAAAGAACTTAAACAAATTTACAAGAAAGAAAACAGACAACCCGATCAAAAAATGGGTAAAGGATATGAACAGACACGTCTCAAAAGAAGACATTTATGCAGCCAAGAAACATATGAAAAAAGCTCATCATCACTGGTCATTAGAGAAATGCAAATCAAAACCACAATGAGATATCATCTCATGCTAGTTAGAATGGCAATCATTAAAAAGTCAAGAAACAACAGATGATGGAGAGGATGTGGAGAAATAGGAATATTTGCACTGTTGGTGGGAGTGTAAATTAGTTCAACCATTGTGGCAGATAGTGTGGCGATTCCTCAAGGATCTAGAATTTAAAATATCATTTGACCCTGCAATCCCATTACTGGATTTATACCCAAAGGATTATAAATAATTCTACTATAAGGACACATGCACACGTAAGTTTATTGCAGCACTGTTCACAATAGCAAAGACTTGGAAACAACCCAAATCAATGATAGACTAAATAAAGAAAATGTGGCACATATACACCATAGAATACTACGCAGCCCTAAAAAAGGATGAGTTCACATCCTTTGCAGGGACATGGATAAAGCTGGAAACCATCATTCTAAGCAAACTAACACAGGAACAGAAAACCAAACACTGCAAGTTCTCACAATGAGAACACATGGACACAGAGAGGGGAACATCACACACTGGGGCCTGTCAGGGGGTGGGGGGATAGGGGAGGGATAGCATTAGGAGAAATACCTAATGTAGATGATGGGTGGATGGGTGCAGCAAACGACCATGGCACATGTATACCTATGTAATAAACCTGCACATTCTGCACATGTATCCCAGAACTTAAAGTATAATAAAAAAAAAGAAAAGAAAAACACTATAAATATTAGCATTTGAATACCCTTTTGTTCTATTTAAAATTTTAATTATGTACCTGCTTTATAATTGTCTAAAATAAATTTAAAATAAATAAAAATAAGGTTACAATAAAATTTGTAAACAAAAACATGTGTATTTTGTTTAACAAATGAGTCTCTGTATAGAAATGTATAATAAGTAAACAACTACAATATGATAAACTACTTTAGTTCACACTATAGCATCAGATTTCCATGTTGATGCTACAACACAGCAATTTACAAGACTTACAAATTTTGATAAAATAGAGCTCTTCCATGTTATTTTTATGAGAAATAGCAAATAACTAGGTGTTTGGCTTATCTATCTGTCATTGTACAGAAAATAAATAGTATAGGGTTTCAAGATTTGAGAAGTATGTCAGCTTTTATGAAGTAATTGTAAGTCCATAAATTGATGTGGAATAACCAATATGTTCTAAGCATGGTAGTAGCTGCAGGGTATATACAAATAAGTTGGCATTGGAAGCATATTTGAAAAGGAAGACATTTAGGTGTGTGTTCCTAACAGACCTCCTTTGGGGAGGTGTTCAGCAGACAGTTAGGAATTTAGCATATGGACCTCTGGAGACTGGAGTTATGCTTGTATGTAGAGGAAATAAAGTCATGGAATTAGGTGAGTTCTCCTATGGCTAGAATGTAGAACTGTAATTATTCAACATGTTTTTAACACTCTATTATGTGACAGTAAGTGAAATAAGTGGTAAGGATACAGAGGTAACAAAAGCAGATATGTTCTTGCCCAAGGGGAACTTATACTAGGCTAACAGCAGTAGTCAAAGAATTATACCAATATTTAGATATATCAACTGTGATAAGTTTCATCTAATACATTTGGAGGCTGTGCAGCAGTGTTAAACACTGTTGGAGGTTGATGGGAAGTTAAAGGGGGCTTCCTTGAGGAAGCAGCCTTTACACAAAGACTTGTAGGATGGGAGGGATTAACCAGGCAAAGTGTAGTTCCTCATTAACCATATGAAAATATTACGAAGTTTTTTCTCTATTTATACATTTGTTAAATATTTATTTAGTTTTTTAAATTTTATTTTTATCAGAGTTTTACAGTAGAAAAAGTAAAATACCACTGAAAGACATGCATTGATTCAATTTTTAACATTGTGGGTGCTTGAGTAAAAGTTTGGGCAGACAAGAGGCAAATCAAAAAGCTTAGTAGGAAAATCTAGGGAAATGAGATGTCTATAGGGGCTTTGAAAACCTCAGACATGTCCCTAGGATTCTAGAGGGTGGTGCATATGTGAACAGCTGTGTGCATGTTGAGGGTTATGTGTATGGTCAGCAAAGAACTGGGGCCCTGTTATTTAATTTCTGGGTAATCTTGCAGTTGCACCTTAAGAAGGAAATGAAGGCTAAGGCAGAGTTATAAACCGAAGGGCTTTAGGGTCAAAAATGTGCCTCAAGATGCACCCAGATTCCTTTGGCAAGGACTGGGAAACTTATTGTTTCCAGGCATTTAAGGAAAACTCTGACCAATTATTATCTGACCACTAAGCTATATAAGCAGAGACTTCAGTAACTGCATATGACAAAGGATACAAACTTACAAGAAATCATTAAACCAAGAAAGAAGTTATTTTGTTGTTGCTTTGCTTTTTTTCCTATGTAGTGCATTTTGTCAAATTTATCTAATTTCCTCTGTGTTTTCTGTGCTATTTCACATTGAAGTCTTTCTTCAAATGTCCTATGACCTTAGCTATCCATTTATATTTAAGATTAAGACACTGAAAAGCTGATTGTAAGCTGCGTGTGTGGGTGAGCAAGGCTTGCTGACTGGTTGGAAGGAGAATGCCCAACATTCAGAGAGGATAGAAAACTAGACAGCTGCGAGACTTTTTGCTAAGACCAGAAGAGAAGGGATCCTGGGAGAAAATGATCCGGAATGGAAAATGCAGCAGGGAGTAAAATGAGAGAATCGAGAAAAGGTCATTGGATTTGACAAAGAATAGCCTATAGATGGCTGTTGAGAAAGAAATTTCAATAGAATGATAAGGATGTGAACAGAATGCCAGAGAATCAGTGAGGGAAACTGTGGGTAAAGGCAGTTTTTCAGCAGATATGATTTTAAAAGGAGAGAATGGGGATGGATCTTAGTTTGAAGGAGAGCCAGTTTTGGTGTGTTTGTTTTAGGCTGTCTCTGTTAAAATTAAGCAAACAAACCCAAATGAAATGAGGCAGTAGTCATTTTTAATTTTTCACTAACCAAAGCTCCTGCCCAGAGATATGCACAAAATGAATTTAAAGATTTTAATTTCATCTCTAACATTTTTTTCTAGTTTTTTGATTGATGTACTGATCTGTGAAGTTATCCAGAGACAGACGGCAGGAAAAAAGAGGAACATTCAAAGGCCTAAGTAATTCAGTTTGGAACATTAGTCCCTGAAAAATGGTATCCATGGTTTAAGAACTTTAAAAAGGAACATGGCTGTCTTTTCTTAGGAATGAAGTTACCTAAAATAAAGTTATACAATGTTGGGTCTACACATTTGAACGTGGTAAAGATATCTTTACTCCCTCCCTCCCTCTTCTCTCCTTTCTTCCTTTCTTTTTTTCTGTTCTTCCTTTCTTATTCTTTCTCTTTCTATATCTATCTAAATATGCACCTAAATGGTGTGTGTCAGTAAATAAATGCATATATACATACATCCACATACCTATACCTATTATATATATACACACATATATGTATATGTGTGTGCATGTATCTATATATGCCCATATATAGATATACAGATACGTGAAAGGAGGGGACAGACTTTTGTGACAATCATATTTTTAAATTTGTATCCAACTGAAGACTGACAGAATAATAGTAGAAAAGTAAAAGAAGACATATAGAAAAGTATTCTACTGAATATGTCTGCTGAAGATACCATAAAAGTGTCAATCATCCTAATGTTGCAGTTTTGCTTTTTTTTATCATTACTTTATATTGGAATGCCTATTTGAAATCTAGGATCAGAATAAAAATGGAAAATTATGAACATTTATCTGAGAGAATGCAAACTTGGTGTCACCCCTTTTTGGTGAATAGAGAAATGATTAGGCTATTTCAGGCTAATTTGTGGTTTCATAAGAGCACTTAGGGCAGTGTGGAACACAATAAATTTGACATTTATTTTACTCTCTCTAGATGGTATTTCTAGACTTATATTAAGATATAGTAGTGACCTAGTATAATACATCAGCAATAATTTATTTGCTGTCAAATCAACATCTTTGTGGAGTGTTTCATTATTTATTTTGTCAAAGAAGACCTGAAAGTTGTAAAATCTTAGAAAGTAGGTCTTTTAAGGTCTTTTGTCTTATATGCCTGTTTCCTCCCAAATTGTCTAGCACAGGGCAAACTGTTTTGCCCATAAATTTGGGTAACAGAAACCTTTTTAGTGGTGAATGAATGAATGAATGAATAAATGAGTAAATGGAAACATTTTCTAATAAAGTCCCCAAGATAATATATATATATATACAATACACTTTAAAATCTTAAAAAATAAAGCTAATAATCAAACTTCCATAACTTCTTACATCGACTTTATTTTTGTCTCTTTAATTCACTGATTGATAGATGATGTTATAAATTTACTAAATATTATTATACTGAGGGGCTAACTCATGAAACAACAAGTTATTAAAAACATTCATTTTCATTTCTGCCCACCTATTTTCTTTGAAATAGTCATACAAGAGACAAAGCTTTACCTGTCACCTTATCACCTGGGCGATTCTCAGAGTTCTCAAGAAAAACCTGCAATAGGTTTGGTCTCTGTATTCTAAAGGTACTTACTCCATTCAAATTTTTGAAATAGTTACTAGTTTTTCCTCAATTTACTACAAAGCTACATAAGAACAAGAAAACACCTGGTTAATTTGACATCCTTTACAGCACTTTGCATTGTTCAAAATATTTACCCACTCATGTAGTCCATTCACTTGATCTTGCAAAGCTATAGATGATTTACAATATCCTACTTTTTTTTGTTCTTTTGTTTGTTTTTTGAGATGTAGTCTTGCTCTGTCGCCCGGGCTGGAGTGCAGTGGCGCAGTCTCGCCTCACTGCAAGCTCAGCCTCCCGGGTTCACGCCATTCTCCTGCCTCAGCCTCCCAAGTAGCTGGGACTACAGGCGCCTGCCACCACGCCCGGCTGATTTATTTTTTGTATTTTTAGTAGAGTCAGGGTTTCACCTGACCTTGTGATCCACCTGCCTTGGCCTCCCAAAGTGCTGGGATTACAGGCGTGAGCCACTGCGCGCGGCCCCTACAATATCCTACTTTTTTCAGGAAGGCTGTAAAGTAATAGGCTCCATAATACAGGCTCTTGAACTGGAAGTTTTGATACCTTACCCAGCTTGATCTCAAGACCTTCTCACCATAAAATGCAGCACAGAAGCTTCATTTTAAATAGGTCCTAAACCTTCACTTTGAGGAGTTTTTGCAAAATGTCATTCCTCCGCTTGAGATAACTGGGGATACCCTGGGGTGCCCACAAAACTAGGGTTGACATTGGCTCATGTAGGACATTTCTTTTCTAGGTTTTAGGGTTATTTTATTTTATTTTTATGGAGAAAGAGCTAGATTTGGGCAGTTATTTTCCATAGGGGTGCCACTGGAAGTTTTGTTGGAACAATTCATCATTTTGCTAGACAGCTTAAAATGCCCCTACTCACTTTCAAATGCTCCTAATGGATTGAGTTTCCTAAGGGTGGAAACTACTCAGCTAGTTTGTCTGATTATGGGGTAATTTTGACAATGAAATGGGGATTGATGGTTTGGATATGTTTGACTGAACTACATTTTAAACAGTTGGTGAGGATTCTGGTGTTGCTTCAAATTCTCTGTTCAACTTTTGAGGTTTAAAAACGCCTTAAGGGTAAAGAGCTATAAAAGTCATAACAAAATTTTAACATATTAAAGTTATTGCTATTACAACTTTATTTCTTTCTCACAATATCAGTGTACGGTAGGGGGTTGCAAACCTGAGTCTAGGTACTGGTTTCATAGGAGATATACTCATTTAATTGATAGAAATAAATACTTTAATAATATTCAAATCCAGAGAGTATATCAGGAGAAATTCACATAACATTTTAGAGCACTTGAATGATTCTTAGAAAATGTTGAGGAACATTCAAGGTGGCCCCAAGATGTCTGATATTAAGTAAAATAGATATACATACATCTTTAAAATTATGATTTTTTTTCTTTATAAGCCTATTTTGGATTACAATTTTTTTTTATTAATCCAATGTACCTGTCTGAGTACTTGCATATTATGGGCTTTCTTTTCATCTGAAGTTTTCCATTTTATTTTTCCCTCAGTGAAAATGAGTCACTGTTTTCCTCGTCTTTTACCTCCTTTATCTGTGCCTGTAGACTGTGAGAGCCTGAGTTGCCTTTTCTTTCTCTCCTATGAGGACATCACAGTCAATAAATTTAATGTGAACATTTGATGCATTAATAATTCAAATATGGAATCTAAGGAATGAGATGGTGGAAAGAAATAAATAGTGTAACTGAAGCATATGGGACGTTAATGGAGCTGCAGGAGCTACTGTCTAGTTAAAGAAGAGAGCAACCCATGCTGAAAGTGTTGTTTTCCTGATAGGAATGGAAGTTTTGCAAGGACAGAGACTGTGTCCTGTAGAATATAAAGAGGAAAGTGAAGCTAATGTTTGATAAATACTCTTTTTTTTTAAATTTTTTTTTTTTTTTGAGATGGAGTCTTGCTCTGTCGCCCAGGCTGGAGTGCAGTGGGGCGATCTCGGCTCACTGCAACCTCTGCCTGCTGGGTTCAAGCAATTCTGCTGCCTCAGCCTCCTGAGTAGCTGGGACTACAGGCGCATGCCACCATGCCAGCTAATTTTTTGTATTTTTAGTAGAGACAGGGTTTCACCATATTGGCCAGGCCGGTCTTGAACTCCTGACCTCGTGATCCTCCTGCTTTGGCCTCCCAAAGTGCTGGGATTACACGTGTGAGCCACCATGCCTGGCCGATAAATACTCTTTGATTTGATAATTAGCATATTTGCTATGAAGATAAAAGTAGCTTGAAAAAGTAATTAAAAAGTAAAGAGCCATCAAAAATTTAAAAATAATTATAAAATAGAAACTAGCATAAGTGTTTTACATTTATCTTGACTGGCATTTTAAACAATATGTAGACCAAAAAAGAAAGTAGAGCTTCCAACTGTGTTGGAACAAATTTGATTCACATTTCTCCTTTAGTGAAGTACAAAATATATAAACTAATATGGGTAGGCTTTCTTGGATGTAAGCCCTCTTTTACTACATTATGTGTAATGTTTTTGCACCTGTTTTTAACTGCAATTTTAGCAACAAGGGGTCTAGGGAAGCACTGCTTCATACTTGGCCAACAGCCAAGCCAATAAACAAAAATGTCATTAATCACTGTCACTTGTCAATTCTCCATTTAAGAAATTGTCTTTTCTTTTTTTCATTGTTGCTACTAAAAACACAAAGGAGATTGATAAATTTTGTTTTGGAGAACTGAGGCTAAGTTTTCAAAAGAAAAATTTTTTTTTCAGAGGGCAAATGTGGTATTTAAAGGTAGATTACAGCTGCAACTGAGAGTATATCTATGAGTGCAAAACCATGCAGTAATGCATGGCCAGTCATCCAAGTGATTGTGCTGAATGGAATTCACATTTAAACAGGGTGTTACTCCGCAGGCCATTTTTTTCTAGATGGTGGTTGAAAGGTCAGATGTGGTGTAGGACAGTCCTGTATGTGTCCTCCCTTCCCGTTCCACACACACTCAATGCAAATGGAACACGGGCCAAGAGCAGAATGTTCATAAGATCTTCACAGTCCCTACCAGAGGTTAGAGCAAAGGCCCTGCCTTTCCCTAAACAGACTAGACAAATTAGCATATGGAAATCTCTTAATTTTATTTAGAAAACAAAGCAAAGATCAAGCAAGGAACATTTTCTCCACATTGTCATCTTGTTAATCTGAGAGAAACTGGGTGACTTCAGAAGATAATTAAAAATATTTGTCTATCCCACATATCTTTGTGTAGGATTCAAATAACCTCAAAATTGTTCTGAGCTGTGGTCCAATAATGATGAAAGTTAATGAAAACTGGAATGGAAATAAGCATACAACGTGCAGGCAGTATAATGAAGTGGCTGAGACCGTGGACACTAAAATCAAACCTGTTTGAGTTTGAATCTTGCTCTACCACATGAGAGCTTTGTCACCTTGGACAAGTTATTAAATCTCTGTGTCTTATCTGTTCCATAATCTCTACCTTGCAACACACACACACACACACACACACACACACGCACATCTCATATAGTACAATGTCTGGTCAATAGCTAATATTCTAATAATGGTACATACATAAATACTATACACACACATACACACACACAAACACATACACATTCACACACAGAATCTCTTTAAGTATAGGGACCACAAGATTGGGATTCAAAATTTTATTCTTCCCTTTATTAGGCTCTATTAGTATCAGTTTTTGCAACTGTAAAATGATGATGCTGACACAACACAATTTAGGAACTTTTGTAATAATTAAGTTAAATAATTTACACGACAGAACTCAGCATAGTACCTGGCCCACAGATTTTGCTTGGTCAGTGTTAGTTGAATTTGAATTTGACTGAGAACATAGAAGCATCTTCACCCCATGCACAAAAAGCTGCTGAGCACTGTGGGGCACAAAGCTAACATGTTGAAAATAACTTGACCAGGGATAACTTTGTCCTAGTAATTCCTAATAGAATTTCAGTGGTTGAATACTGTCAAACACTCAGTTCATCACACTTGACATTCTTACTTGTCAGTCTGGAATCTGAAAATACTGGTGAGGGCATGACAATGTAGGAGCCAAAGGCTGAAAAGTCTCTAAAAGGTCAAGTTCAACTATTTCATTTAGTATGAGCAAAATATAGTACAGTCCTAACATAACTTTTCCAAGATGATACAGTTTTTGTACTTCTCAGGGTACTGGGAATCATATTCATCATGGATCTGGGACTATTTTCATGGCATGCAATGAGTGACAATCGTGTAGACAGCATTTTGATAGCCAGATGAGCTAATTAAGCACAGATGGGAGAGAAGGCCCATGAGGTTTTGGCAGGGATTGGTTCAGTGAAACTAGATTTTTTATTTTTTAGTAACTACTGATTAATGGAACTATAAATTCTATATTTTAAACTGAGATCATAGTATAAATTCATAGTGAAGACAATTGTACAAAATGCAATTGTAACATTCAGAAGCATTTTGAATATTAAATTTTACAAATTAATTTTTGTATTTTACACCCATGTTTCCTAAGACAATGCCATGTGTTCATAGTTGTGTAAAGCACCTTTATAAAATGAGGAATTTGGAATCTAGTTCAAGATAAGAAGTCAGAATTGCTAGTGGGATTTGGATTTGGATTTCTTTCTAGGAAAATTATGTACTTTAATTGTGATCATTAAGCCACCCCTAATAGCTCTTGGCTCTACTATTGCAAAATATTTTTTTCTTCTGTTTTAGCATTTAACTTATCAGCTAAGCTGTGCTGTTACCAGAGGTGGGGAGAATGAACACGTTACTGGAGTAACAAGAATAGTTTCTTTAAATATTAAACTCCTTTTTAATGAGTTGTGTACACATGACAATTTCTGCCCAAGAAACTGCAATCCACTATATTTTCATGGTATTTATCTTAGAGTGAAATGTTTTCTTTGAGTTCATTTTAATCTCTTTCCAGTATTTCTATTTTTGTGTCAGGATATTGATGTCCATTAACTAGTGAGGTGCATCAGCCGTACAAATATGATAGAGATATTCCCAAAGGCAGAACCCTGATTTTTTTTTTTTCGGATGTAAAGATGACAATCAGTTCTTGGGAAAAACCAGCTATTAACTACCTGCTGAGTTTATTTGCACATGTCCTTCTCTGTTACATTCAGGCATCTAAAAATTAATTTGTTGCTAGATTACTTTTGTATGTATGATTATATTGAATAATGTGAAATTTTGACAAAAAAGAGGGCTCTTTTAAAGCATTATTTTAGATCACTCAGTCTCTAATCTTTTCTGGGGTTCTTTTGCATGTAAAGTGTCTTTTTATTAAGTTATGGAAATTGGAACCCATCTCCTGGTTTCTAAAAACAATTATTATTTTTGTCTGTGCACCAGAGGTGTTTATGCTTTCTCCTTTTTCTATTATAATGCCTTTTCTTATTATATTATTGAATGTTCTACTGTCTGCCTGAAAATATCTGTTTTTCAGATCTTGCTTTTGTTTTTGTATTCTTTCATTTTCTCAGGTGCTTATGCTTTAATGAGGCTCCTCTTAATTTGTGCTGCCTCAGTTAAAAGCCTTTTGCTGCTTACCTCTTTGAGAATGGCTCCTTCACTAAAGGTAATATATGGTAGATTAACATATGTATTTTGACCTCATCATGAATATCTTGATCTTTCAACTTTTCAAATATGTACATCATTTACAATTTCATATTATAAAACATCTTTTAGAAAGTGCTGAAGGTTGGCATATGTATTGAATGGCAATTGAGAATTTTTTTCATCTGCCCAATCTTGTATTTGGCCAGACTAAGAGGCAAGCTCTTTTGCGTTTGACATTTCAGACTATGAAAGCCATTTTTTCTTTTTAGTGTGAATAATAATAGTGCCTCTGGCAGAATTAAAGGAGGAATATGACTGAAATGTCTGCCTTTTGATTTTGTTATTTCTTGCCATTACCTTTAAATAGGCACTCACCCCTTCATTACTTAACTATTGAAACAAATTTCTCAATAATTATTCTGCTTTTTGTCTATTCAGACGCAGATGATTCCATATACTGCTATTAAGTTAATTATCTTAAAACACTCTTTTGTACAAGCTATTCCTCTGGTCGAGTTTTCATTGATTCCATATTGCTTGGGGAAAAATTATTCAAAATACTTAGCTTGGCATTCAGAAGCCTGCAAAGTTAAGCTTTAATTTACTTTTCCAACATTACTGTTTTCCCCTCCCCAAATGATATATGCGTCCACCTTCTGGATTTAGCATTGTGAAAAGCACTGGATCTAGAGAATACCTTGCTTCAAAACCTGCATAAACTTGGGCAAGTTGTTGCTCTTTCTATGTCTCAATCTCCTCAGAGCAAAACTGGAGATAAGAAGAGTATCTATCTCATAGGATTGTTGAGTATTAAATGTATTAATACATGCAAAGTTTCTAGAAGAGAAAAGGCACAAGATAGATGGCCAATATAAGTTAGCTTAACAAAAATTTTACTATTTGTTTGGCTCAAGATTTCTTCCCTGAATTATATGGCTCTCAAATCCAAATTATTGTATTTCTACCCACATCCTACCCAAATGAATACAATGCAGTTGCATAAGATAGTAATGTTTTTCTCCTATAACTTAAAGCAGTTATATATTTGTGTTAGTTTTTTTATTTTTAATACCATACTCTCTTTAATTTCTAGTGCAATATTCAGATATGTATGTTTTGCTTCTGCAATCCTCCCTTATTATCCCACATCTACTAGGGTGCTTTGAACAAAATAGATGCTCAACAAATGCCTGCTACGGATGATAACCATTACAAAACTAGCCAAGAGCACCTACGGTAGAGTTATTATGTAGCAAAATGTAATTTGGTCCTATTACTTTCATTCTTTCCACTATCTTTCTGTATGGAGTTAAGTATCTTGAGGTTACAGAGCAATTGATAAAACATGGTTCAACTTTTGCTTTAAAAGTATATGTGTGCATCTGTATACTTTTAGGTAAAGTCAGGAAAGACATATAATAATCAAAAAATAATAATTAGCCCTGAGTGGAGTGAAGTGGAAAAGCCAAGGAGTTCAGTAGGTAAAAACGCTCACTTCTTGTTTTGTAAAATTTGGGTAAAAGAGAGGTAGAATTATGTTTGAATTAAACTTTAATATTCTACATATTTTTAAAAAGTAAAAGAGCATGTATATAAATGTGTATATAGGTGTTCATAGAAATAATAGCTCTCTGTTATAAAACCACAGTATTAAAAGCAACACTTAGGAATTCTTATTTCAGTTCCAATATCTAAAGAGCATGAAGCTTGGAAGTCATCATTCTTACATCCACAATAAAAAAGAAAGTAGAATAAGCTGATAACCACTGACTTTTCTTAGATTCATCAGAGAACTGAGGTCACAGGAGAAGCCACCATCCAAAAAACTAGAGATATAGACAAATATTTAGAATCACAGCCAAAATTAGCTTACTAGGAGCAGAAGTCATTGGATTCACTAACTGGTGGGAAAATACCTAAATGTTCCTATTACCAGATGCATCAGTCATCAACAGCTTTCAATAAAAAGTTATAAGGCACACTAAGAGTCCAAAAAGACAAAGCAGATTTGGATATGATAGAGGTTTTGGAATCATTTGACAGAAAATCTAAAATAACTATGATGAAGATGTTTAGGCTCTAACATACAAAGTAGATAACATGTAAGAAAAATGGATAATGTATGCAGAAAGATAAAATATCTAAAAACAAATCAAAAGGAAATGCTAGAAAAAATGTAACACAATAGAGAGTATCTTCAATGTGCTCTTTAGTAGACTGGACATGGCCAAGGAAAGAATCACTGAACTTGAAGATATGTCAACGGAAACTTTCCGAACTGAATGTGAAGAGAAAAAACAATGAATAAAATGGAATCAAATATTCAAGAATGGTGACACAATTACAAAAGATGTAATATGTGTAGTGGGAATACTAGAAAGAAAAAACAGAAAGGAGTAGAAGAAATATTTAAAGTCAGCATTGGTGAGAATTTTCCAAAATTAATGAGAGACACCAAATCATAGATCCCAGAAGCAAACATTAAACAGGATACATACAAAAAAAATCTGTACCTAGGGACATTGTGTTTAAACTGCAGAAAACTAAAGAAAACAAATAACTTGAATAAAAATCAACCAGAAAAAAAAACTTACCAATAGAGGAACAAGTATAAGACCGTCATGAATCTTCTCTTTAGGAACCATATAGGAAAAAAGACAATGCATTAAATATTTAAGTATTGAAAGAAAAAAAATGCCAAGCTAGAATTTTGTAACCAGTGAAATGATCTTTCAAAAGTATCTATTAGGATAGCTGCTATCAAAAACAAAACAAACAAAAACCGCAAGATAACAAGTGTTGGTAAAAATATGGAGAAACTAAAACCCTTGCCCACTGTTAGTGGAGTTGTAGAGTTTTACCACTCCTATAGAAAACAGTATGGAGCGTCCTCAAAAAATTAAAAATAGAACTACTATATGATCTAATAATCTCAATTCTAGGTATATATCCAAAAGAATTAAAAGAAGGAGCTTGGAGAGATACTTGCACATCCATGTTTATAAAAGCATTATTCACAATAAAGATGGAAGCAACTTCAATGTCATCAAGGGCTAAATGAACAAAATATTTACATTGATTTTGTGTCTAGAAACTTTACTGAAGTTGTTTATCAGCATTGGGAGCTTCTGGGTAGACTATGGGGTATTTTAAGTATAGAATCATATGGTCTGTAAAGAGAGACAGTTTGACTTCCTCTTTTCCTGTTTGGATGCCTGTTATTTCCTTCTCTTGCCTGATTGATCTGACTAGGACTTCCAGTACTATGTTGAATAGGAGTTGTGAGACTGGGCATCCTTGTCTTGGTCTGGTTCTCAAGGTGAATGCTTCTAGTTTTTGCCCATTCAGTATGATGTTGGCTGTGGGTTTGTTATAAATGGCTCTTATTATTTTGAGGTATGTTCCTTCAATGCCTAGTTTGTTGAGGGTTTTTAATATGAAGAATGTTGGATTTTATTGGAAGTCTTTTCTGAATTCATTGAGATGATCATGTAGTTTTTGTCTTTAGTTCTGTTGAGATGAATCATATTTATTGATATGCATATCTTGAACAAATTTTGCATCCCAAGGGTAAAGTCTACCTGATTATGGTGTATTAGCTCTTTGATGTGCTTTTGAGTTTGGCTTGCTAGTATTTTGTTGAGTATTTTTGCATCTAGGTTCATCAAGGATATGAAGTTTTCTTTTTAGGTATTGTGTTTGCTAGATTTTGTTATCAGAAAGATACTGACCTCATAAAATTAGTTAGGGAGGAGTCCTTCCTCCTTGATTTTTTGGAATAATTTCAATAGGATTGTTACCAGCTTTTTTTGTATGAAATCACATCCTTTGCAGCAACATGGAAGCAGCTGGAGGCCATTTTCCTAAGTGAATTAAAGCAGGATCAGAGAACCAAACACTGAATGTTCTGACTTATAAGTGAGAGCTAGACATTGAGTACGCATGGACACAAATATAGGAGCAATAGACACTGGGGCGTACTTGAAGCAAGAGGTTGGGAGGAGGGTAAGTGTTGAAAAACAGTCTATCAGATGTTATGCTTACTACCTCACTGAAGAAATCATTTGTACACCAACACCAACAACATACAACTTAACATATAACAAACCTGCAAACATACCCCCACAAACCTAAAATAAAAGTTGAGATTAGAAAAATAAAGTATGTGTCCACACTTTATTTTTTAAATTTTATATATAACACGGACACACACAATGGAATGTTATTCAGCCTTAGAAGTAAAGGTGGGGGTTCCAAGATGGCCAAATAGGAACATCTCCAGTCTCCAGCTCCCAGCGTGAGTGACACAGAAGACTGGTGATTCCTGCATTTCCAACTGAGGTACTGGGTTCATCTCACTGGGGCTTGTCGGACAGTGAGTGCAGTCCACAGAGCCTGAGCTGAAGCAGGGCAGGGCATCGCCTCACCCGAGAAGCTCAAGGGGTTGGGGAATTCCCTTTCCTAGCCAAGGGAAGCTGTGAAAGATGGTACCTGGAAAATTGAGAAACTCCCACCCTAATACTGTGCTTTTCCAATGGTCTTAGCAAAGAGCACACCAGGAGATTATATCCCATGCTTGGCTTGGAGGGTCCCACACCCACAGAGCCTCACTCACTGCTAGCACAGGGGTCTGAGATCTAACTGCAAGGCGGCAGCAAGGCTGGGGGAGGGGCGTCCGCCATTGCTGAGGCTTGAGTAGATAAACAAAGCATCTGGGAAGCTCAAACTGGGTGGAGCCCACTGCAGCTCAAGGAGGCCTGCCTGCCTCTGTAGATTCCACCTCTGGGGTGAATCTGAAGAAAATGTTCAGGGCATAGCTGAACAAAAGGCATAGCTTATGTTCAGGGCATAGCTGAACAAAAGGCAGCAGAAACTGCTGCAGACTTAAACGTCCCTGTCTGACAGCTTTGAGGAGAGTAGTAATTCTTCCAGCCCAGAGTTTGAGATCTGAGAATGGACAGACTCCCTCGTCAAGTGGGTCCCTGACCCCCAAGTAGCCTAACTGGGAGGCACCTCCCAGTAGGGGCTGACTGACATCTTACATGGCTGGGTGCCCCTCTGAGACGAAGCTTCCAGAGGAAGGATCAGGCAGCAACATTTACCGTTCTGCAATATTTGCTGTTCTGCAGCCTCCGCTGGTGATACCCAGGCAAACAGGGTCTGGAGTGGACCTCCAGCAAACTCCAACAGACCTGCAGCCAAGGGTCCTGACTGTTAGAAGGAAAACTAACAAATGGAAAGGACATCCACACCAAAACCCCATCTCTACGTCACCATCATCAAAGACCAAATGAAGATAAAACCACGAACATGGGGAGAAACCACAGCAGAAAAGCTGAAAATTCTATAAATCACAGCACCTCTTCTCCTCCAAGGGAACCCAGCTCCTCACCAGCAATGGAACAAAGCTGGACAGAGAATGACTTTGACGAGTTGAGAGAAGAAGGCTTCAGATGATCGGTAATAACAAACTTCTCCAAGCTAAAGGAGGATGTTCGAACCCATCGCAAAGAAGCTAAAAACCTTGAAAAAAGATTAGACAAATGGCTAAATAGAATAAACAGCATACAGAGGACCTTAAATGACCTGATGGAGCTGAAAACCATGGCACAAGAACTACGTGATGCATGCACAAGCTTCAGTAGCTGATTTGATCTAGTGAAGAAAGGGTATCAGTGATTGAAGAGCAAATGAATGAAATGAAGTGAGAAGAGAAGTTTAGAGAGAAATGAGTAAAAAGAAACAAACAAAGCCTCCAAGAAATATGGGACTATGTGAAAAGAGCAAATCTACGTTTGATTGGTGTACCTGAAGGTGATGGGGAGAATGTAAACAAGTTGGAAAACACTCTTCAAGATATTATCCAGGAGAACTTCTCCAACCTAGCAAGGCAGGCCAACACTCAAATTCAGGAAATACCGAGAATGCCACAAATATACTCCTCGAGAAGAGCAACTGCAAGACACATAATTGTCAGATTCACCAAAGTTGAAATGAAGGAAAAAATGTTAAGGCAGCCAGAGAGAAAGGTTGGGTTACCCACAAAGGGAAGCCCATTAGACTAACAGCAGATCTCTCAGCAGAAACTCTACAAGCCAGAAGAGAGTGGGGGCCAATATTCAACATTCTTAAAGAAAAGAATTTTCAACCCAGAATTTCATATCTAGCTAAACTAAGCTTCATAAGTGAAGGAGAAATAAAATCCTTTATAGACAAGCAAATGCTGAGAGATTTTGTGAGGCGCCAGGCCTGCCTTACAAGAGCTCCTGAAGGAAGCACTAAACATGGAAAGGAACAACCGGTACCAGCCACTGCAAAAACATGCCAAATTGTAAAGACCATTGATGCTAGGAAGAAACTGCATCAACTAATGAGTGAAATAACCAGCTAACATCATAATGACAGGATCAAATTCACACATAACAATATTAACCTTAAATGTAAATGAGCTAAATGCTCCAATTAAAAGACACAGACTGGCAAATTGGATAAAGAGTCAAGACCCATCAGTGTGCTGTATTCAGGAGACCCATCTCACCTGCAGAGACACACATAGGCTCAAAATAAAAGGATGGAGGAAGATCTACCAAGCAAATGGAAAACAAAAAAAAGCAGGGGTTGCAATCCTACTCTCTGATAAAACAGACTTTAAACCAATAAAGATCAAAAGAAACAAAGAAGGCCATTACATAATGGTAAAGGGATCAATTCAACAAGAAGAGCTAACTATCCTAAATGTATATGCACCCAACACAGGAGCATCCAGATTCATAAAGCAAGTCCTTAGAGATCTACAAAGAGACTTAGACTCCCACACAATAATCACAGGAGACTTTAACATCCCACTGTCAACATTAGACAGATCAACGAGACAGAAAGTTAACAAGGATATCCAGGAATTGAACTCAGCTCTGCACCAAGCGGACCTAATAGACATCTACAGAACTCTTCACCCCAAATCCACAGAATACACATTTTTCTCAGCACCACATCGCACTTATTCCAAAATTGACCACATAGTTGGAAGTAAAGCACTCCTCAGCAAATGTAAAAGAATAGAAATTATAACAAACTGTCTTTCAGACTACAGTGCAATCAAACTAGAACTCAGGATTAAGAAACTCACTGAAAACTGCTCAACTACATGGAAACTGAACAACCTGTTCCTGAATGACTACTGGGTACATAACAAAATGAAGGCAGAAATAAAGATGTTCTTTAAAACCAATGAGAACAAAGACACAGCATACCAGAATCTCTGGGACACGTTTAAAGCAGTGTGTAGAGGGAAATTTATAGCACTAAATGCCCACAGGAGAAAGCGGGAAAGATCTAAAATTGACACCTTAACATCACAATTAAAAGAACTAGAGAAGCAAGAGTGAACACATCGAAAAGCTAGCAGAAGGCAAGAAATAACTAAGATCAGACCAGACCTGAAGGAGACAGAGACATAAAAAACCCTTCAAAAAAATCAATGAATTCAGGAGCTGGTTTTTTGAAAAGATCAATAAAATTGATAGACCGCTAGCAAGACTGAAAAAGAAGAAAAGAGAGAAGAATCAAATAGACGCAATAAAAAATGATAAAGAAGATATCACCACCGATCCCACAGAAATACAAACTACCATCAGAGAATACTATAAACACCTCTATGCAAATAAACTAGAAAATCTAGAAGAAATGGATAAACTCCTGGACATATACACCCTCCCAAGACTAAACCAGGAAGAAGTTGAATCCCTGAATAGACCAATAACAGGCTCTGAAATTGAGGCCATAATTAATAGCCTACCAACAAAAACAGTCCAGGACCAGACAGATTCACAGCCGAATTCTACCAGAGGTACAAAGAGGAGCTGATACAATTCCTTCTGAAACTATTCCAATCAATAGCAAAAGAGGGAATCCTCCCTAACTCATTTTATGAGGCCAGCATCATCCTGGTACCAAAGGCTGGCAGAGACACACACACACAAAAGAGAATTTTAGACCAATATCTCTGACGAACATTGATGCAAAAATCCTCAGTAAAATACTGGCAAACCGAATCCAGCAGCACATCAAAAAGCTTATCCACCACGATCAAGTTGGCTTCATCCCAGGGATGAAAGGCTGGTTCAACACATATAAATCAATAAACATAATCCATCATATAAACAGAGCCAAAGACAAAAACCATACGATTATCTCAATAGATGCAGAAAAGACAACAAAATTCAACAGGGCTTCATGCTAAAAACTCTCAATAAACTAGGTATTGATGGGACGTATCTCAAAATAATAAGAGCTATTTATGACAAACCAACAGCCAGTATCATACTGAATGGGCAAAAACTGGAAGCATTCCCTTTGAAAACTGGCACAAGACAGGGATGCCCTCTCTCACCACTCCTATTCAACATAGTGTTGGAAGTTCTGGCCAGAGCAATCAGGCAGGAGAAAGAAATAAAGGGTATTCAATTAGGAAAAGAGGAAGTCAAGTTGTCCTTTTTGCAGATGACATGATGATATATTTAGAAAACCCCATTGTCTCAGCCCAAAATCTCCTTAGGCTGATAAGCAACTTCAGCAAAGTCTCAGGATACAAAATCAATGTGCAAAAATCACAAGCATTCCTATATACCATTAACAGACAAACAGAGAGCCAAATCATGAGTGAACTCCCACTCACAATTGCTTCAAAGAGAATGAAATACCTAGGAATCCAACTTACAAGGGACGTGAAGGACCTCTTCAAGGAGAACTACAAACCACTGCTCAATGAAATAAAAGAGGATACAGACAAATGGAAGAACATTCCATGCTCATGGATAGGAAGAATCAATATTGTGAAAATGGCCATACCTCCCAAGGTAAATTATGGATTCAATGCCATCCCCATCAAGCTACCAATGACTTTCTTCACAGAATTGGAAAAAACTACTTTAAAGTTCATTCTCAGCAAACTATGGCAAGGACAGAAAAGCAAACACCGCATGTTTTCACTCATAGGTGGGAATTGAACAATGAGAACACTTGGACATAGGGTGGGGAACATCACACACCAGGGCCTATCGTGGGGTGGGGGAAGGGGGGCAGGATTATACCTAATGTAAATGACGAGTTAATGGGTGCAGCACACCAGCGTGGCACATGTATACATATGTAACAAACCTGCACATTGTGCACATGTACCCTAGAACTTAAAGTATAATAATAATAAAAAAAAAAAGCAGATCATGTAATAAACCTAATTTTAAAAAATTAAAAAAAGAAATAGCTAGTTAATTTTCACTATTTTATAGTATTCCATTAAATAAATACACAAAATTTTTTTTAAAAAAGTAAAGGCATACTGGCATATGCTATTGTGTGAATGAATGTGGCAGATATTGTGTTAACTGAAATAAGCCAGTCACAAAAAGACAAATGCTGTATTATTTCACTTTTATAAGGAATCTAAAGTAGTTAAACTCATAGAAACAGAAAGTAGAGTAGTGAATACCAAGGGCTAGGGTGGAGGGCGGTGTTTCATGAATATAGGCTTTGGTTTGCAAAATGAAAAAGCTGTGGAAATCTGCCTCACAGCAATGTGAATATACTTCATATCACCAAACTGTACACTTAAAAATAGTTAAAATGGATCTTTTCCAGCTGGAACCCCATGGAGGATACTGAAGAGAAGATAAAGCAGGTCTCTGTTGTGGCAGAAACCCTTAAGAAAAAGTGAGGGAATTTTGCAGAGCGGAAGATCGAGTACCTGAGGAAGAAGTTTACCCATAAATGCTTTGAAAGCAAAGAAGAAAACTCATCTATGAAGAAACTAAACACTACCTTGAGGAATATGAGCAGATGTACAAAACTGAGATTTGAATGGGTAGGCTGGCAAGAAAAGCTGGCAACTTTTACATACCTGCAGAACCCAAATTGCTATTTGTCATCAGGACCAGAAGTATCAATAGTGTGAGCCCAAAGGTCCAAAAGATGTTGCAGCTTCTTTCCCTTTGTCATATCATCAACGCAACCTTTGTTAAGCTCAACAATGCTTCAAATAACATGCTGAGGATTGTAGAACCGTATATTGCATTGGGGTACCTGAACCTGAAGTTAGTAAAAGAACTAATCAACAAATGTGGTGATGTCAAAATCAGTAAGAGGCAAGTTGCCTTGACAGATAACACTTAGGTTGCTTGAAGTCTTGGTAAATATTGGCATCATCTGCATGGGATATCTGATTCGTGAGACCTATACTTTTGGAAAATGTGTCAAACAAGCAAATAACTTCATGTGGCCCTTCAAATCATCTTCTCCATGAAGTGGAATGAAAAAAAGAACACCCATTTTGTTGAAGGGGAGATTCTGGCCGCAGGGAAGACCAGATCAACAGGTTTATTAGAGGGACAAATTAAGGGGTCTACTATGATTATTCTTATAATCTCTCTCTCTTTCCCTCTCTGTCTCTCTCTATATATTTTCTTCTCTTTCTTTGTTTTTTTTTCTTTATGTTTGTATGCATTTTTCTTGCTTTGTTTTCTGAGAACTGAAGTATGTGGGTAGATATCTTTCAGCAGTTTTGGGAAATTCCCTACCACGTTTTTTTCAAAACTACTACTATCTCATCTTTCTATCTTCTCTTTATTGTACTTCAATTACATAAAGGCTAAATTTTGGCTTTGTTCGGATATTCCTTGAGTTATCTTCTGTTTTACCCATTATTTTTATTTTTACTGTATTTTATTTTATTATAGTAATGGAAACTATTGTTTTAATAAGAGAATTAAAATGCCACATTAGATAACATGTACACAAAAGAAGACAATAATGGAGGAACAGAAGAAAAAGAAGGATATTTGGCATATAGAAATCAATTACCTGGTAATATGGCAGATGTAAATTGTACCTTATCAGTTGACAATAATTTATTTTTGTTACTGTTTTTTAAATTTCAACTTTAGTTTTAGATACAGAGGGTATATGTACAGGTTTTTTAAGTGAGAATATTGTGTGACACTGAGGTTTTGGGTACATATCCCATCACTCAGGTAGTGAGCATAGTATCTGATAGGTAGTTTTTCCACCCATACCCCTGCCTCCCTCTCCACTTTAGTAGCATGCAGTGTCTATTGTTGCCATGTTTATATCCATGTGAGCTCATGTTTAGTTTCCACTTATAAGTGAGAACACATGGCATTTGTTTTTCTGTTCCCGCATTCATTTGCTTAGGATTATGGTCTCCAACTGTACCTATGTTGCTGCAAAGGACATGATTTTATTTTTTTATTGCTGCATAATATTTCATGGTGTCTATGTACCACATTTAAAATCCAATCTAACATTGATGGGCTCCTTGGTTGATTCCATGTCTTTGCTATTGTGAACAGTGCAGTGATGAACACACGGGTGCATGCGTCTTTTTGGTAGAATGATTTATTTTCCTTTGAATAGATACCAGTAATGGTACTGCTAGGTCAAATTGTAGCTCTGCTTTAAGTTCTTTGAGAAATCTCCGAACTGGTTTTCACAGTGGCTGAACTAAGTTACCTTCCCATCAACAATGTCTAAGCATTCCCTTTTCTCCTGAGCCTTAATATCATCTGTTGTTTTTTGACTTTTTGATAATAGTCATTCTGACTGGTGTGAGATGGTATCTCATTGTGATTTTGATTTGCATTTCTCTAATAATTACAAATGATAAACATTTTTTCATATGTGTTTTGGCTGCGTATATCTTTTCTTTTGAGAAGTGGCTGCTCATGCCCCTTGCCCATTTTTTTAATGGAGTTGTTTTTGTATGTAGATTTATTTAAGTTATCTATGAATTCTGGATATTAGGCCTTAGATGCATAGTTTGTGAATCTCTTATCCCATTCCATAGGTTTCTATTTACTGCTTCAATAGTTTCTTTGGCTGTGTGGAAGCTCTTTAGTTTAATCTTAGGCTCCACTTGTCAATTTCTGTTGTTGCAATTGCTTTTGGGAACTTAGCCAAAAAGTCTTTACAAAGGTCAGTGATAAGAAAAGTATTTCCTAGTTTGTCTTCTATGATTTTTATAGTTTGAAGTCATACATTTAAATATTTGATCCATTTTGAGTTAATTTCTGTATGTGGTGAAAGGTAGGGGTCCAGCTTCACTCGTCTGCATATTGGCTAGCCAGTTATCCCGGCATCATTTATCAAATAAGGAGTCTTTTTCCACATTGCTTGTTTTTGTTGACCTTGTTGAGGATCAGATGAGAATCAGGCTGTATTTCTGAGTTTTGTATCTTGTTCCATTGGTCTCTCTCTCTCTCTCTCTCTCTCTCTCTCTCTCTCTCTCTCTATATATATATATATATATGTGTGTGTGTGTGTGTGTGTGTATATATATGTGTATGTATATATATTTATGTATATATGTGTATATATATATTTATGTGTGTGTATATATATATATTTATGTGTGTGTGTGTGTATATATATATATATATATATTTATTTATTTATTTATTTATTTATTTATTTTTTACCAGTACTATGCTGTTAGGGTTACTGTAACTTTGGTGTTTAGTTTGAAATTGGGTAGTGTGATGCCTCTGGCTTTGTTGTTTTAGCTTAGGAATGTTTTGGCTATTGTGACATCAATAGCATAGAATGTGGTGGCAGGGAAAAGTAAAAATGTAGAGTTTTGTATGCAATTGATGTTGTTATCACCTTAAAATGAAATCTATAACAATAAGATATTTAATGTAAGCCCTATGGTAACCAGAAAGAAAAATAAACATTAGTAGAAACCCAAAGGATAAAGACAAAGGAATCAAAATATGCCACTGCAAAAAAAAAATCAACAAATCACAAAGAAAAACAAAAAGAGAGGAAAAAAAATGAAGGAACTATAAAACATTCAAAAAACAGTGGGCAAAATGTCAATAGTAAATTTTAGCTAATCAGTAATTATATTAAATGTATGTTTGAGTTTAATAACACTGTTCTATATTATCCAAAGTATAATTTAACCAAACTTTGAATTCTTTGACATCAGTTTGCATTTTTAAATTCTAGAATGTTCATTTGATTCTGTTTTACACATTCCAGTTCTTTGGTGACATTAATCTTTTCAAATATTTGATCCATCTATTCTTTTCTGTTTTCTGTGACATATTAATGATAATTATTTTCTGTTAAGTCAAAAATATTAAAAAACTGTGGATATCCATCTATTTTCTGTTTTTTTACATTAATTATAAGCCATATTTTCTTGCCATGTCGACTATCTAGTAATTGTTGGCTGTGTGATGGACAGTGTTGAGATAATGTTAGTTTTCACCAAAAATATTTTTATTTCTATTCTTTTTGAAAACTAGTAAGAGATTAATCATTCGAATCCAAACAAATGGTAGGAGCTTAGGTGTATTAAGATTCACACTTCTTTTTTTAGTCCCTGTCTAGTACATGATTCTTCACATTGTCAGTTTGAACGTATGTTAGCTCTCCATTTTCTCAGCCCCGAAACATTAGGATATCTCAACTTGGATATTCAGAAGTTTCAGCCCATTTTCTCAACTATATGAACTTAAAAATACATTAATGTTTGAAAAAAGTAATGAATTTTCAACAATTTTTTTATTGCTATAATTTATAAAACTATAGGAAATTTTACTTTGCCACTTAGAAGCTATTACTTTGACACCCTAGCCTCTGGTGGAGAACAGCGTTTAGAAAATATCTAACAGAAGAACAAGTCATTTGTTTGAATCCTCATAAGTTTCCAATGTGTCTCATCAACAACTCATGATGGGTAAAGTTCTGTTGATTACTCTTTCATCCCACAGATTTTTTCTACCTGAGCAAGTTTGATTTTTAGTTCATGACAAGAATTTGCAAATAAGCAAATAAACTGCCTCAGATTGTCAACTTACTTCAGAAAGTCCTTTTCTTCTGTAAAATTCCTGTTAATCTATTTTTTGTTGCTTTGACAGCACATGGGTATCTTAAAAATATGATTAATATTTTTAATCCAAGTTTTCCTAGTTGTTGAACTCTAAGCTTTGGCCTATCATGACTTATTTAACACCTTCTCAAAAGCAAGATCATTTTCTTAAGTTTGATGTTAGGCAAAATTCTGGATATATTTTTACAGTGAAAGTAGTGGAAAGTCTAATGATTTGTTAGTAGTGTCATTTTGCATCTCATGTTTTGTAAAATGCAATTTTCAAAATGGCTCTTGTCAAAGAGACAGGTTATATAGATGGACAGATAAATAAATAAATAATATTTTGAAAAATATCTAGATATTTTATATGTTTGTGCTACTTCATCATCGATTAAAATTTCCAGAGCCAGTGTTTGAATTTCAGTTTGGTGTGAAAATTTCCTTTAATGTCATGTTAAAATTGCTCCTATAGCCAGTGATAGTATCTTTTTTTGGAGAAATCAATAAATAATTAATTAATACATTTTATAAATATATTTTAGTAGGTAGAATCAGTTTATTGGCTCATTTAACTTATTTATAACAAATATAAATATTTCTATTACTATGCTGTGTTTTATACTAAAATGATGGATTGAGGATAAAAACTCTCAACCTTCTGTAATTTTTGTAATAATTAAAATGTATATTTTGAAACAAGTTTTTATTTGTATGTCTTGGTTTGTTGGGGCTGCTACAACAAACTAACACAGACAGGGTAGCTTATAAATAACAGAAATTTGTTTCTTACAGTTCTGTAGGCTGGAAGCCCTATTCCAGGATGTCAGCACTATTGGGTTCTGGTGAAGTCCTATTTTCTGGTCAAAGATGGTTAACTACTTCCTGTACCCTCAAGTGACAGAAGGAGTGAGGGAACTCTCCAGGGTCCATTCATGGGGGCTCCATCATCAAGATCTTATCACCGCCAAAGACCTCACCTCCTGATACTATCATACTAAAGATTAGGATTTCAGCATATGAATTTTGGGGATACACACGGCATTCAATATATATATAACAATATACAAATGAAATTGTAAAATAATAATTTAGGGAGTAGGTTAGAATACACAGAGGACTTCCTGGAGTATGAATTCTGTCATTATGATGTTAAATAAGTATAATGGTAAATAAAAATAGATAACTTGTGTATAGCCCTTAAAATATGCCAGAAATGATACAGTGTTTTCTATGTAAATGATGACATTTAATTCTTACAACACTCAAATATGGTAGAGATAATCATTGTGATGTTTTAAATATGAAGAAAATTTCACCTAACAAGTTTAAATAATTATTCAAAGACTAACAGCAAATGCAGGTGAGATAGTTGAAGTCTCTTGTAACTCTTATAAAATTGTTTTTGAAATATATATTTAATTTTTTTTCCTTTTTACTTTGGCATGGTTCAGTAATCTGAAGTCTCTGACTATAAGACTATGTTATTTTGATAACCGAGGCTGCATATCTCAGAATACTTTTCAACAGCATGAATTGGTCTGATTTCCCTTTTCTTTGTATATGCAGATGGAATAAAGAATTTAATGAATTTTAAAAATAGTATGAAAGATTAATAGATTAGATGTCTGGAAATATTGGGCTGGGTCAGCAACCAGAGACCATATACCATGCAGTGTGATTTGTTTTAGAAAAATGATCATGTTATATGATCATGAGCATGTTAAAAATGATCATGAGCATATTATAAATCTAGTTTGGTAGTTGAAACACAATTCTATCTTTGGTAAACTATATAAATAATATTATATGCCATTTTACATATTTGTTATATAAATATTAGCATATATGAACATATTAGCATATCTGAATATATTAGCATATTAATACATTTAAATTCTAGCCATACATATACATTATTTATTTATACTCTTTCAAAACCAAAAGGAAGATAAGTGTTATTATCTCTATTTTACAGAGTCACAATTAACACTTGAAAAAAGCTATAAATTAACTACTTTGAGAGAAATTCTTAGGAACGTTTCTCCATATAAGTCCAAACCTTACCTCAAATTGGTTTCAAGAAAAAAATCATCAAAGGGATCAAAGAAATCTTGATTAAATGGAACAGAAAAATAAGTATGTTGGCCACATCTACTTGTTAGAACTTCAGATCCTAGTCCTTTTATCAATCTAGCAGAAGAGAGAGTTTATCCTGTGAATCTTATGTTTTAATGGCAGGCCTGAAACCTCATTCAATGTGACTAGTATTTCTTCTAATTTTGAAGGAAAAGCTAAGGAGGCAGAGAAAAAAGCAGAGATATCTTCCTACCCAGCTTTCAGTGAATCACAAAATTAGTCTGAGTTTCCCAAACCTCTTTGGAAATCAGGATCACCTCCTGAACTTAATACATGCATATATAATGCATCTGTATATAAATAAATAGCCAAGATACTTTAAAAGTAAATAAATATATGCATAAAAAATGACCAGCTGCCATCCTGAACCATAAAGTGGGGTGGAGGTTCAGAGACAGAGGAATAGATCTGGGGAATAATGTTTTAAAAGTTTTCTAGCCGATCCTTCTAACCATATAAGTTTAAGAACATTAGCTGATATTTCACAGTGCAGAAAATAAATGGCAATAATGTGTTGAGTACATAAATCATTTATATCAGAATATTATGTCCTCTTAGCTTTCATTTCAGAACTGGCTGCCTCTTTAACCCTTCTCTCTATATACCTCTGTTTCTCTTTCAATCTCTCTCTTCAAGTACTTCCCTTCCTAATGTCTGTCTATTACTTTTAGGTCTGCTACCGTCAGACTAGTCACTTATGTTATGCTCACTCTTTCTATGTAAGATAGTAGTTTTCCAGTGGACTTAAGATGTTCAGAAATCATTAAAAACATTCTCTAGTCAGACACACAGATGCAATAACCAGGCAAAGCCTATACGTACAAAACAAGTGAGAGTCTAATGTTAATTAGTTCATAGTTTTTGTAGCATTGTATACGTTTTCCTTTTCTCTTACCTCAGATTTATCTTGCTCAGATGTTGTCCCTCCTGACTTTCGTTATATCAGTATAACTTATTTGCAGGCTTATAAACTCAGTAAAATTCCAAGATAGTTATTTCTTTTGAGCGAAGAGAGAGACAGTGAGAGGAAAAAAAGAGACAGAGTAAGTATATGGCTAGAAAGGCATCTCTCTTATATTTTAAAGTTTTAGTGAATGATATTATTGCAGGGGCAGTAGGAATACTTTCTCTTGGTGCTGCATATATATTATTTGATCTGGTAGTAAATGTAAAATAGAGTCTTATGTAAACATACATGCAAGCTAACAGTTGAAGGTGGCAAATGAATTATAGAATACAAAACTAGTCCCTGGTAGCTTGACTGTCCTGTGTGTATAAAATTGCACACTATGTGAACAGAGCTTCTTTAAAAGACTTTTCCTGAATAATATTTCTAACAGTGTAAAGAAGCAGGACCTTGAAATGAACCTTTTCATTTTTGAAAGTGCATTTACTACTTTAAGATTCTGTCTGGAATCCTCTGTGCATTTATACGCTGCCTCCTACTTATTGCCCTGTGTACCTGAGTTCTGACACAGTGGAACATGAGAAACCAGCTTATCCTCCAAAGCTCATTTCTGGCTGCTGATAGGGTACAGGTCAGTGCTAGTGCAGACTGCTGAATATTATAACTTTGTTACCTGTGTGCTGTGTACTGAAAATTTCACTCAAGTGAAATGCAGTATTTTGGATCAATCAACTGACAAATGTTGATTAAACACTCATGATGAGTTAGCCATAGTAGGATACTAAAGTAGCAGGCAAGGGACAATGTCCTCAGGGAATTTAAAATTTAGTTAGCTGGTAAAATGTGTGAAAAATTGTACACTAATAATACTATAAATCATAGTAAAAAGTAAGCTAAAGATTAGAAGATGACAGATGCAAAATATGCAGCAGACAAATGAGTACTATTTAGGATATATGACTATTGCCTACATATCAATAAGTAAAAGATAAAAAATCCACGTCAAAATGCACAAAAGATATGAACAAGTAAGTTAGCCCTCAGGCAATAATTTGTAGACCTCTGAATTAGAACACTATTGCAATAATCCTGGTAACACCAGTTATGGTGATCATAACAAAAGTTATGAGATAAGATTGGATATTTTATACATTTTGAAATCCAAGTCAAAGGAATTTGCTGACAAGTTTGATGTGGAATGAAGAGAAAGAGGTGTCAAAATGACTTAAAAAATTTAACCTAAGCACCTGAAGGTAAAGATTGCCACTCACTGAGCTGCAGAACACAAGGGAGGATCGCATTTGAAGAAGTAAATTAGAAATTCACATTTGAAGAAGTAAATTAAAAATTCAGATTGGGATATGTTAAGCTGTCTAAAATCCAAGTGAGGGAATAGTTGGGTAAGCAAATCTGGAGCTCATGCTCTTGGTCTGGGATGGAGATATACTTTTGAGAGTCATCAGTATACAGACAGTATCAAAGCCATGAGACCTGATGAGATTGCAACAGAAAGAGCATGAAAAATAAAAGAGAAGAGGTTCAAGGACACATCCCTAAGGGACTCCAAGAAGATGAGGATGCAGCAGATGGGGCAGATGAAGAACAGCCTGTAAGTAGGAGTAGAACCGTGAACGAGTATATTCCAGAAGCCAAGTGAACAAATTGTTTCATGAGGTAGATGATGAACAATTGTATTAAATCCTTTAGGTGAAGCAAGGTGAGGGCTCCTAATAAACCACTGCCTGAATAATTCATGATTTATGACATTGAAACAGCAGTTTTCTAAGAAGGGATGGAAGAAGGAATGATTGGTGTTGGCTGAAGAGCAAAAAGAGGAACTTAAATAATACAGGTGTGCATTTCTGGGAGTTTAATTTTTAAGAGGGATTTTAAAAAGGAGAATAGATGAGACAATGTGATTGGGATTAAATTACCTTTTCATTATGGAAGATGCTATCACATGTTTATATGCTGTTGAAATGATCTAGTAGAAAGGAAATAATTAATATTAAAGAGGGCAAAATTTTTGAAGAAATAATTTTTAGCAAATAGGAGGAATGAGTTAAAAAATACACACATATGTAAAAGTTGATATTAAATAGTAGTGTGATGGTTCACATGTGGTTACAGGAAATAAGCTGGAGTATAGATGCAGGTAGGTTGATAGGGGTATAGATGAAATTATAGATGATATCTCTTCTGATTGTGCTTATACTAGTAGTGAAATAGGAATTAAGCTTATTTTCCAAGAGTGGATTTGTTGGGACAGTTATTGGAGAAAGTATAAAATAGTTTTTAATGAGAGAGATTGAATAATGATAATAGGGACAACAAAATGTAACAGAAATGTCAAGTAACACCTATATTTAATGGCCTGAGACCAATTAATATGTTTGTGCCTTTTGGGTTATGTGCTTCTAAATCACATTTATTTGCTTAGGTGCAAAGAACAGAAAAAGAGTTGTAGTAATCCAGGGTTGGGCTTTATCCGGGAGGTATGACCAATGGAGAAAGTGCAAGAAATGTGGCGCTATGTGGATATGTTTTAGCAGTAGTTTTAATAATAGACCATAAACTACAGAGCACAACTAATGAGACATAAAGGAGGAAGGCTAGAGTAGAAAAATTATTAGATAAAACGTTCATAGTTTTTAGATATAAAGAAAGTTGTTGAATTAAGGTTCTAGAGAGGATGCGCTGGATAAATCAGAAATTGTCAGAGAGAAGTTACTACCATTGATGTTATGTGAAGGGGTTTTAGTTGCTGGTAATAGAAGCGGTTAGCGTCTAATTATGGGAGTGTATGTTTAAAGTAGAGGTAGATCAGATCAGATGATCAAAGCAGAGAATGTTAAAAAACTAAAAGGCCGCATTTGAAGGATTGTTTATGAAATTATTAAAGTTACCAAGAATACTGACAGGAGAAATATGAGAGAGAATATGGAGATAAAACAAACGACGAATAAAAAAAGGATATATTTTATAGATAATTGCACAGAAGAAGAGTAGAGTTTGACAAAGCTACTGACATGGTTTTAAAATTGTTTTCTCCCATTTCTATTTGTAAATAGAGCAGAGATGAGAAATGGTCTGGAAGTAACAATGATAAATACTTGCTGTACTTCCAAGCTTGGTAACTTGAAAGGTATGGACAGAGAAGTAGCATGTGAGAGAATTTCCAGGAAACCAGTGTGCTTAGAAAATGGTCAAGTTTCCATTAAAACTGGAAGGTGAAGAGAATGTTCAGAAAAGATAAGAATAAAGCGATTGGTAACCCTGTTTTAGGCGGAATAGTGGAAGAGTTTTAGGAATTGGTGAAGCACAAAAGAAAAGATGACACTAGGGATGCATGAAACCTTATAAGGATGGGATTCTAGATGATGAGAGATAACAAGAGGTCTTCGCCTTCCTTTGGGGACTGAAGTAAACAGAAATAAAAGGTATAATAGAGTTAATTTAGACAGATTCCAAGGCATCTCATGGTGATGAGGCTGTGGGCCATGACGGAGGAGGGAGGAATGCGAGTCTTGCCTGATGCACAGCTTTGGCATTGCCTATATCTCCTGTGCACTGGAAGTCCTGACTGGTGCAATCAGGCAAGATTAAGAAATGAAGGACATTAAAATAGGAAGAGGACAAGTCAACCTATCCCTGTCTGCAGATGACATGATCCTATATCTAGAAAACCCCATCGTCTCAGCCCAAAAACTTCTTAAGCTAATAAACAACTTCAGCAAAGTCTCAGGATACAAAATCAGTGTGGAAAATATCACTAGCATTCCTCTACACCAACAACAGTCAAGCCAAGAGCCAAATCAGGAATGAACTTTCATTCAAAATTGCCATAAAGAGAATAAAATACCTATGAATACAACTAACTAGGGAGGTGAAAGATCTCTACAAGCAGAACTAATAAACACTGCTGAAATAAATCAGAGATGACACAAACAAATGGAAAAACATTCCATGCTTGTGGATAGGAAGAATCAACATCATTAAAATGGCCAAACTGCCCAAAGCAATTTATAAATTCAATGCTCTTTCTATTAAACTGTAGTTTTCTAAAATTTAAAATAAAAAAATACCTGATAAACAACAAATATATCAACAGATTTTATAGGGCAAGAGATTATTTTTCAAACAGATGGTAGACAATACCTTCTACTTTTCTTCATAGAAGATAGAGATCTGTCTATAGGTGTGGTGTTCTGAGACAATTCCAATATGACAATGTGTTGTGGCTGGAATAATTGACAGTCATTGAAAAGAAGCCATCCCAGGCACAATCTTAAGAGAAAATGCTAGGTTATATTCTGGGTGCAATAAATGGACTAATGAGAAAAACAAATGACCATAATTGTATCAAGTGGAAGGATGGATCAAGCCAGCAGATCAAAATAAGAAGATATTATAGGTGCCCAGAAAAGTGCACACTCTGCTTTGAGGAGCAAAGAACAGATGGTCAGTGGAGTAAGAGATGGTAGGAGAGCATTCTCAGAGAAATTAGTGTTCTTCATAGGGAATCAAGGTAAGGACTCAAATGCAAGATAAAAACAACAAACCAAAAATAAAACCTGATTGTGGAAAGAGAACACCAATTTAATTCAAAGAGAATGAGAGGAGTGGCTGCTTAATATTAATTTTTGAATTCAGGCACTACCCTTAACTGGCTAACACACACTCTTGTTGGCCTACACAACATCCAAGTCTAAATACTTTCTTCTTTGCCTCTCTCCAGCAGTTGAGAGTGTCCGTGTGACACTTCTACATAAGAACTAAGGAGAATTTGTTGGGAGCGTCAGTAGAAAATTTTACTTCATTTTCCTAATAATAGGGACCTTTTTTTGTTTTTTTGACTGATGTTGCCCCTTTCCCCTTCCTGCCTCAAATGCAAATACAATTCATGTCACTGTAGCAGCTCTCTTGCAACTTAAGAAGGCTGAACGTATCATAGAGAACCTAGTGCTGATGTTGTTGTACAGCCTAGGCCAGGGCTATTTATTTCTTGCTATGAGAGAAAAATAAGCCCCGATTTGTTTAGCACATTATGATCAAGTTTTTGATACTTGCAACTGAAAGCATGTTTAACTGACATGCTTTTTTTTCTAGCCTTGGGAAAGTTGTGTAAATGTCCAGAATCTCAATTTCTTCCAATTTTCTTGTTGTAACATTGAATGAGATAATAATTTTTTTCTTATTAAGTCCAGTGCTTAATGTAAAAGGTTCTTACTAAGTGGTATTCCTTATTATAGTCATTGTTAAAAACAAAGCTGTTAAAAAAGAAACCACTGAGAAGGCACATTTGAGGCTGGCTGAAGAAGATACTCCCTACACTGCTTCTACTTAGGAACAGAGGCTTTCCAAAAATCAGCAGCTGGACTAAGCCTAGAGGTAGGGGTTAAGTGGCTTAGCAATCAAGATTAGATGGATATAGAAACACATAGGCTAGTTAATAATTACTCATATTTTTGGCATGTAGTCAATACTACCCTATCAGTGGTGCACATGTGTCATAATATATACTGCATAGCATGTGTTACTCTCACCTGCTCTGGATTGACCCCATACTTATACCCAGAAGTACTGACCCTTGGCCAGTACTAGGAAACCTATTAATTATGAAAATGGTGCTCTATGACCACAGGTTTCTTAGTTCCTCAATTTGCATTAGTCCATCAGCATTACTTAGTAATTTTAATTGAATTTATGGATTGCAACTTGTGTGGTAGAGCCTCTCCTGGGAAGTGGGTTGCAGAGTAGAGGGGTGTGTAGGTATGTGCTTGAGCCACCATAAGCAGGTAGATGTTGTTTTAATGGTTAAGAAATGTCACACAGTTAGAAAGTTAGAATGTGCCTACACCTGTGTGAACAGACCAGCTCACTCTAAGAGAACCCCCTGGAAGAAGAAGACATTGAACTTTCTGGTAGTGACGTAGCTACAAGGTAGCAGTTTGAGAGCTTGACACAATCAATATGTTCTGTGCAACTTGACCAGTGGAGGTAGGAAAAAGAAGACTACACTGTAGTCATGTTGACTGCATTAAAAGTGAGGACCCATGGAATGCAGACTTTTCCTGCTCTTGCTATATCGTACCTGAGCCTATGATAAAGCTATTTCATGAGCATAAACTATTTGAGATCTGTGAACCCTTTCAACAATTGAATACTTAGGATGATTAATAGGTAAATCACATATATACTCATTCTTAAAATCTGTTATTTGAAGAATTCGGTCGTACTTGTAGTTTAAGTTACTAAAATACAAATAAAATAATCACTCATTTAATCATACCACCAATACATTTTAAAGGTTCACCACATTCTTGCCTTTTTCAGGAGTAAAAGCTACCATGAATTTTGTAGTTTTTAAAAGCTTACTTTTCTCTACATTTGCTACATTTATATGCAACCCAAAAATATCATTTAGATTTGTCTCTTTTTGAACTATGGTGAATGAAATCATAAAGCATGATTTTATTTTCTGACTTGCTGCTTTTTTTCTACTTAATACTATGTATTTGAGATCCATCCATTTTGTGTGCAGCTATCATTTATTTTTTCTAATGTTTTATAATGCATTGTAAAAATATACCACAACTTATCCATTCTCGTGTTGATTGACATTGGTTTATTTCTAATATTTTGTCATTATAAGCAGTGCCATAATTAATATTCTTGTATGCTCCTCATGGTTAGAAAGATGCAATTGTTCCTCTAAGTACATGCATAGAAGGGGGATTTCTGAGTTATAGAGTTTGCACATGTTCAACTTGAGTTTGTGCCATTAACCAAAGTTGTTGTACCAATTTGAAATCTTAGCATACAATATGATTTTTCCATGAGGCATTTGTTGACCATTAAAATTAATATTTTAAGTTCTCAAAGAAATAAGTAACATATTTGTAGTGTAGTGCATCTTGAATGAGATATTGAGACTTCTAGGAAATCATATATTTGAGTACTTCTGGATTTTTATTTAAAATCACAAATTTATATTCTATAGGAATCAGTAAAATTTTAATTTGGGATATTTTATAATAAATATGAAATTTTTACATTATAATATTCCTCTGCTTCTTGAAAATTAGAAAATCATACATTTTTGTTTTATAATGCATGATAGGAGATTGGAAACTGATGGAATGTTGTCAAAATGTCTACTTTATGCAAAGTTTGATGTTATAATAGCCATAGTAAGTGTGCTATTTGAGGGTGGCTGGTTGCTCTACATAAATGACATTGTCTTGTATGCAACATCTTATGACTTAAATATGCATTGTTGATCTTTATTAAAATGGATACCCAAGAACCCACATAAATGTTATGTCTGAACAGTTATGATTTAATAATAAATACCAAATATACTTTCAGGAAAATAAAAGAATTAATCCTGGTAGTTCCCAAACGTAATACTGGGAACCTCATGAGACCTCTCTGACCACCAGTCTCTTCAGTAAATTGTTAATCTTTTCATTGTATTACTGCAATGATTAAGAGAAGTAATATAAAAGAAAATTCTTCAAAAACTTCAAAGCCAATACATAAAACTGTCAGATACCCAATTCACTACTTTTATTGTAAGTCGAAGGTTCATTGGTGCAAGCAACAAGGGATGATTGGGATGATTTAGCCAGAAGCAAATGGTTATTTGAAAAAGAATTGGAAAACCCAGAGTAGATCTGTAAGGGGCCAAGAAGAACCAGAAGGAAAACTCAAAAGCATGGGGGAGAATCGGTTTAGTGACAGTCCCACTTCCCTTCCTGTACACTAGACACCCACATGGCATCTGGTGTGCCGAATGGAAAGATGGGTACCAAACAGTGGACATTGTTGCCGACACCGCCTACCTCTGCCCCTGGAAAAAGAGATATAGCTGCTGCCACTTCTGTGGGGGTCCCCTAATTCTTGCATCACTAGATCCTAAATCAATATCTAGGGTAACTTTGGTGATTGACAAATTATAGTTCGAGTGTCTGCCTCATAACCAGAAGGGAGGATTAAAAAAGTAAGTATAATATCGGGAACAGCAGCTTAGGATTAGTGGGAGTTACATTAGTGGCTAGGTGGCCAAAGATAATAAATGATACCCACATGTTTTCCTCAACCCCTAAGAAATGCTATTAAAGGTACAGAAAAGTTAAATGACCTACCTAAAAGTCACAGAATTACCAGAAGGTCAGACAAAAGAATTGAAAGCTGTGTGTGCCTTGACTTCAAAGAATACAACTATCAAACTATGCTAAATTGTTTCAATACAAACTAAGCCTGATACATCTAAGATTTTTTTTTTTTCTTGAATACCTGGGGACCAAGGAATAAATTGGATCTTTTACAAGTTTACTGATGCCCAGGAATAGTTAATGATAAAGCTGTTAACTTAAAACAAATATGGTATTTTTTGGTTTAGTATGAGTGAATGTCCGTACATATTAAACTGTGCACTGTGTTATAAATACCACATTCTGTCATAAATCAAAAGGGATAAAAACTGTACTATGAAGCGACTGTGCTGTTGGGATGCCAGCACAGATTTGTCCATTTAGGCAGCACTCAAATCTGTCTAGATTTCATTGACCTCTTTCCAAATGTAAAGTGCTGCATAAATTCTTAACAGTAACAAGTGACCTCAGTTGCTGTTGTCTAATGGCTTTCAGCTTTAAATGTTGACGATGTAAGTTCAGTTCATGAGAGACTAGTGCCTACACCATGGAAACCTCTAACACAATCAGTGCTAATTTGCAGTCTAAACAGAAAGGCCAAGGCTTAACTAAAGAGGCTAAATTTCCTTCTTCTTTCTATGACTATTCCTGCTAGCTTGGTATTACAAGCAAATTTTTAATATAGTCACTTCATACAAATTCATATTTAAGCATGAGACAAAGCAGGACAGATCCAATTTGCATGGAGAAGGCAGTGTTACATGTGAGAATGAGTTAATGGTTAAAAGTCAGAAGACCTAGGTTTGATCAGGACTGTTGCTTTTTCAGTTTTGCAACCTTAGACAAGTCACTTAACCTTTGGGATCTTCAGTTACTTTTATCTGTAAAACATGAATAATAATACCTATTGCACAGATGTGTAATATCTCAAGAAAATGAAGGAGAAACGTGATGGCAAAGTACTATTCAGATACAGGTTATTCTCTCTTTTTTTTAAGTGTTATTGTTAACTGTTTCACCATACAATTTGGTAGTCATTACCTACAAGGATTATGAAAATTTTAGGGAGTTAGCAAAACCTGTGTTGACTCAATCAACACAGAATATTGCTTTTTATTGGAGAAACTGCTGTGAGTCTTTTTCTCTATTATTTAGTGGGAACTTATTGTTAACAAACAGTAAATAATATCAGGGCTGCTACCACTGGAGGGAGGGTGCTGTCTTTATTATTAGGTAGAGTTTTCAAACTGGTTTATGGTTTCAGCATTGCCTAAAACATAGTTTTTCAATTTAGTAGCATATGTTATCATTTTCACCTTACATTATATCTCAAATCCATTAATTTTCCCCTTGCTTCTACTCTTTCTCACTTTCAATACATTTTCTACTCATCTGCTTTTGAAGTTTTTTATAAAATAATAATATCATGTTTCTTTCCTATGTAAAATGGTGTAATGGTTTCTTTTTCTTTCTTTCTTTTTTTTTTTTTTTTTGAGACGGAATTTTGCTCTTGTCACCCAGGCTGGAGTACACGGTGCTATCTAGCTATCTCAGCTCACTACAACCTCTGCCTCCTGGGTTCAAGAGATTCTCCTGCCTCAGCCTCCTGAGTAGCTGGGATTACAGGCGGCTGCCACCACGTCCAGCTAATTTTTGTATTTTTAGTAGAGACGGGCGTTTCATCATGTTGGCCAGGCTGGACTCGAACTCCTGAACTCCGGAGATCCACTTGCCTCAGCCTCCCAAAGTGCTGGGATTATAGGCGCGAGCCACTGTGCCTGGCCACGGTTTCTTACTGCATTTAAAATAAAGTACAAACTCCAAATGTACATAATCTGGCACTGGCTTCCTGCCACAATTTTATCTAATGCCATTCTTTTCTCTCTGACTTCGATGATAAAGATTTTCTTCATATCTTTGATCTGGCCAGCTCTTTGCTACCTTCAAAACCTTTGTTGATACTGGCTGTACTGGAATACCCTTTGCTTTTCTTTGCTCAGTGATGAGACCTCAAATTTCATCTCAAGTTGAATGTCGGGTCTTTGGGGAGACCTTTCCTGACCGTCCTATATAACTCTTTCCCCATTCTAATGTAAAGTATTTATTTTTGAACCTACTTTGTGTCTGCCTTTCCCACTAGAAATATGAGTTGCATGAGGGCAGGGGCCATGTCTAATAAGATCACCAATGTATCTCATGCTCTTAGAAAAAGGCTTGGTATATATTTGCTGCTCAATATTTATTTATAAATGAGTAACAAATGGCTGCCTGACTGGCTAGCTGTCTGGGTGGATGGGTGTATTAAAACCTTGTCCCTCTCTCCACAAAATTAAAAAAAAAAACTACTTGTCAATTAAAATACTGATATTATTCCTGAGAATCTGCATGTAAATTGGAATTTGATTTTTAAAACTTGATTTCCCATTATAATCGCATACATTATTTATCTTTTCTTTTAACTGATTTTGTAAGTCTCTGTTTTTTGTTTCTCTAAAGTTTTATTTTATTGTTTAATTGACAAATAATTGTATATACTTATGGGGTAAAACGTGATGTTTTGATACATCTATACATTGCATGATGATCAAATCAGGGTAATTAGCATATCCATCGCCTCAAATATTTTCATTTCTTTGTGGTGAGAACATTTAAAAATCCTCTCTTCTAGCTATTTTGAAATATGCAATATGTTATTATTAACTACAGTCACTAAAGCATCTGATTTTTTGTGTGTGGTGGGGGAAGGCATACAAATTTATTTAACATGTATGTATACATGAGAGCATACGGAATGAAAACTCAAAAATATAGGGGAGATTTTCCATTTTTATGCTTAGGTTCAACAAAGTATGGACAGCTGTGTGGAAACACAATTGCACAAAAAAGGTCTGATCTAATGCTAATAGCCTGAGTCGGGGAACCCAGCAAAGCCTGTCTGTCTAGACTCTTCTTGGCCTCTCTGAGCAGCATTCCTTTCTTCTGGGTATGGGGCAGGGCCCTCTCTGGAATGGGAATCTTGTGACCTACAGTCAAACAAGCTGGGTCAGATTACTTCTTTATGGCCAGTTTTCACACAGAAAGTTGAAGGGAAAATTAGAGTAACAGTTTTAGGTTTTTATGGCTGGCTTTGGGGAAAAAGCATTCTGATTTCTGTAACTTGCATTGGAGAAGAGGGATTCTAGATTCTCTTGCTAGCCTCGGATGGAGAATGGGACTGAGAGACAGGAAAGCAGAAGGTCAGAGAAAAACTTTTATTTCTGAGGCTATTTCTGAAGCCTTCATTTTGGGGTATTGTTTTCTGAGCCCCACAGAAGAAAGGTACATTTTCTTTTTTGGCCTTGAGGTTGATGTTAAAGCTGGGCCTGAGCTGCTGTAGAAAATGACCCACTGTCCCTAGGGTCCCTAGGGTGGGCCAGAGCCAGACCAGACCCAAGGATTTGGAGAGGGCACCATTTCCAAGATGTTGCTTTTATATTTCACACTACCACAGCATTTCACATTTAGCAGTGAGGGGAAGGGACAGCCGTGATTTTGATGATACTGTCAAAGCATTCAAAGGTCTCCAGAGAAAAGAAGACCAGTCGAGTGGGGGTGACAGTATGAAAGGAAGATTTTTTTTAATTCAATTGTATTTTAAGTTCCAGGATACATGTGCAGAATGTGCAGGTTTGTTACATAGGTAAATGTGTGCCATGGTGGTTTGATGCACCTATCAACCCATCATCTAGGTATTAAGCCCCACATGCATTAGCTTAGATGCTTACCAAGCATATGTTTTTTAACAGTTTAAAGTCTGTATTTCTAGACTCTTGATAAAAGAATTAGTAGTGTCATGGAATCATGAGGTTTCAAGGACATTGATCTCATTGGGTATACACGTGACCTCTATCCATAGCCTAAAATTATCTCTATAATATGTGAATCATTCAATTTTGTCATGCAAATTACATTGACAAGGAATTCATTATTTCCTAAGAGCTTGCCTTCCAAAAGATGACAAGATGGCACTTAAAAGAATAAATAACTTGGTCACATTCTTTGAATCATTGGATCTGAAAGCCCTTTAATTTGCCAGATAAAGAGGGCAATATATTTGTTTTCATATTTCTGCTAGTATATGTGTGTTTGCTTTTTGTCAATTTCACAGACGTAGTCCTGACTTATGCCCACATTATATTTAGTATACATTTCAACTTTTTGGATAACATAAAATTATAAAAGACTGGAAAAACCTTCCTGCCTCATTTTGTAGACCAAAGTATGCTAAACTCAGTCAGAAATGAAGCTGTTTATAGAGAAAAAATTATTTATTTATTGTTTAAATTATGTAACCAAATATTATCAAGTGCTCTCTTATACTCTGAGATTTAAATTAAAATTCAGTACCTTTTAAAACCGCTGTGTATTCTCCAAGATTTTTGCCAATTCTTTATAATTTATGTTCTCAAGGTCTCTATTCTTTCTGTTAATCTTTTAGTCTCCTTTATCACACTTTACTTGACTCTTTTGTCATTCTTGCATACTCAGACTTGTAACTCTGGTTTTCTATTTTAGTTTCACTCAACCCTCTTACACAAAGTGTATATGCATATAAAGCTTTTAGTCATGTTGGGTGACAGAGAGTGACATGCATTGCACCCAAGATATTATCATTAACACTGGTCACATAACCAACCAACCAACTTTTGAAAGGACTTCTTTGCCCACATGTTGCATTTTAAAAAGATGTTCAAATAATAGATATGTGGCTCTCTTTTTATTCTACACATATTCACCTGCCATTTCTCTTACCAAACTAAGAATTTGCAGGAAAATAGTTTAGGAGACAAAGTAATCTCTGCTAACCAATAAAAGGAAGAGATGTAATATCAATGCAAGTTCCCCACAAGTGGCCACATGCATAGAATTACCACTGGGCAAGCCAAATTACATCTGATGGCAAGAGGACCACATGTCTGGTCAATATTTGAGTCATGCACCAATTCTCTCATAAGCAAGGGCAGTAACGGAAAAGTGCACTGATTAAGATGTAAAGCAGAAACTTGTTTTGGGAAAGAGAGACAGTTCATCTGTGTGACAGAATAAAAATCTTGTTCGATATTCCTAGATTCTTTATTCAAATACCAGGCTGCTTTCCAATAAAAAATTTGGCCTCAATAAGTAATATAGGAAATTAAGCAAATCTCTCAATGGGCTGATTCTCAGTGTTGCCATGTCAGAACCAAAATTGAGTTCATTTTGAAACACATAGACATATGCTGCTTTAATAATGTTTTCAGGTGACCTTTGCAAATGTATACCAGCAGGATTGTTCTTGAAGTTACAAACCCACATGGGTCAGATGATAGTATTGTCAGAGATTTGTAGCAACCTTGTGCTGCCAGAGCTACTTCTGTAAGACACACTCCTTTCACCTAGAGCAGTGCATAATGCCAATACATTTCCTTTTCTGATCTTGAAGGAACAGCAAGATGGTATCTGGAAGATGTTCTGAATTTCAAGGAACATGAATCTATGCTAATCTGGGACCTCCCTGGGATTTAGTCACAAAGAATATTAAATTGTTGCCTCCGAGCTGAATTTGATTTTAATTAAAATATACATTTTTAAATTTTACAGATCAGCTTTAACTCCCCTGTAAATAGCTGCTAAACTATAAACATCACAGATCAGTGATGAGAAAATGATCTGATAGCATGTCTTTAGAAATCTCCTTCATTTGGCCAATGGAAACAGTGAAAGGACTTGCTTCAGCGTTGAACAGCATTCCATGATAATAATCATGTAAGAAGAAATTTCCTTTGAGTTTAAAACCAAACAGGTGGAAGCTGTCAGGACACACTAGCAAAGAATCTGAGAAACTAATTCTAGCTCAATCTTTTCTATTAATGCCCTTTTGCCCACACAATCTTATTTCTGCCTGATCCACTGTTGTGTAAGATACTGAACACAGCTGTGGATCAATGAAGTCATTTACAGATCCACCTCGTGGGTAAGATAAATGATGGATTAATCTAAGTTCCCTGGGGTCCTTATTTTTGGAACATATCCTAATGGCAACTGAAATCCCTTACTGGAGTTTTCTCAAATTGTTGCCTTCTCTTTTTCTCCTTTCTAAATTTAATGTTTTTCTTTTTCATGTTGCTGTTGTTAACATTCTATTATTGCTTCCAAGTTACTCCAATTCTATAAGAATTATAAACATTGGTTTCTGTGCCTAGCTATGGGTCTTTCCGATCACAAAGATGAAAGGTGCAGAACTTTATTACACAGGCGCTGAATGTTAAAATTATCCCACAGCAAGTAATTTATCTTTTTCAAAATTATGGGGTATGCAACTAAATTCTGGCACTTGATGTCCGTTTATATCGATGCTGAAGAACAAGAGGAAAATAAACAAAGGGCAAACAAGTCTGGAAGGAAGGTAATGCTATTTTTTTTCCAGGACATCAAATTTTGAGATAGTCACAACAAAGCTGCAATTATAATCATGAAGTATGACTACCAAATGAGTTTCCTTACTTTTTCTCCATCATGATATAATCTGTGAATCATCATTTTAGTGGTGAGGATGGTGGTATTGAAGGTGGCATTAAAGGATTGTGGCATGTATGATCTTATTTAATGCTGAAGATAATTCTAGGAAATAGATAGTAGTAATGATCCCATTTTGCAGATGAGGAGCTGTGGCTAATAATAGGCATTTCTCTAAGATCACACTGCTAATAAAGAATTGAATTGAAGTTTGATTGACTATGGGAGATAACAACTGATAGACCTGGAGAAATTACACTTGAAAGACATGCAGAATCTACATTCAATCTATAGTTTTACAAAAGGTATTTTCTTGTATTTTTTCTGCATATCAGAATATAGAAATTGTTTATTATCAGAGTAAATTAAGATATCTTGTTTTGTTCCAGAGAGTCAACTCTCCACCTTCAAGTGAAGCTACTTGCTTTATTTGGGTTCTCTTTGAATATGTCAAATGACCAAAATGGCATGCTATTCTACTTTCAGTATCTGGGTCTCAAATGCATCTTAGAAGATACGTTATTTGATGTTTGCTTCTCTTACGAAGAACTAAGTCTGATAGAACAATGAAGGTAAGTCTGATAGAACTATGAAGGTAAGTGAGAGAGGTTGCTGGGTGTCATATATGATTTAAAAGGGATAACCAGAACTCAATCTTGAAAATCTGGGATGAATTTTGATAGCACTGGATATCTTGCAAAATGTTAAATACCTATTGAACTGTTCTGGTTTTTCATTTGTTGTAGAGAAGATCATTTTCCCAGAAAAGTCTTCAGAAAAAGCACCTTTCTCTCCCAACAGTCTATCTTTAGAAAATCCTTACTCCCTACTATGTGATTTCTCATGCCTTAACAGTTTAATGAATTACCAAAAGGCTGTCTCTTTGAGGTTTTCATGGAGACTGACTTAGAACATACAATGCTGTGGAATACACTGAATTACGTAAAAAAAAAAAAAAAAGTCACCCACTTTCTTACATGTAAAGAATCTTCTTATATCTACACCCTTTGAACTGTGAGATCATTTTCTCTGCATGCTTAATTTATTCATTAAATGAAGTATAAATTTTAGACTAAACCCACCCAAGCATATTCCCCTGTCTGTTCTGAGGGGATAAGAGCAAATGTTCACCTTGTATATCTTGTTAACTGAGAAAAAGTTGCACCTAGTGTCAGTCTCTTTTGGGATTTGATGATCTTCAATGTAGTATTCATGGGCTATGTAGCCTATGGTGACCATTTTTTGCTTTTGTTATGCTTATGAAAACACCAATTATTTAGAAAACAACCATCTTAATGATTATTCTTTATTGTCATAATTAAATAAATCAGATAACTGTTTATAATTAGGTACCCACTGAAATCTCAAGAGAAATTATATTTTCCATGAAGCATTTTTTTATATGCAAATATGTAGTTTTCGTCAGTGATGAAACAACACAGTTGAGTTCTTTGAATTGGAGATGATATCAGGCTTTTTTGTGAATTATCACTGTTGTAGTAGGGAGAATGTTTGATTTTCCAAAGTTACATTGTTGGCAGAAAAAGAAAATCATTGCAAATAAGTTTACATTTAAATATGTTTAGCATTTTATGCATTCTGACATATTTAAAAAGTCAATAAAGTACTTATGATTCACTTTATTAGCACTTATGACATATTTTCATGGCTTGTAAAGAATCTTTAAAACCTTAGAAAGACCCAAATTTATTATGATTATTATAGTTATAATCAGTTTTGAATAAGATAAGCTGACTGGATCCAAAACATGGCACTATGGCTAGGAAAATATATAGAAGTAATAAAATTTTTACAATTATGCTATAAAATACTAGCAAAATTATAAGGAAACATTAATTTTGTACTCTACTTTGATAATAATATGCTGAATAAAATGGATAATCAAAATTTCTTTCAGATCTCTGGAAGGAAAAAAAAACTTCCATAAAAATGTGCCCCCCTTTCATATCCTACTTTAAGAAAGCAGACAAGTTTCATATTAAAAAAGACCTCAATGACATAAAAAATCCACTTCTTACATGTAAAAAATAGTGTTATGTCTAGAGCTTTTGAATTGTGAGATCATCTTCTCTTCATGCTTAATTTATTCATTAAATTAAGTGTAGTATTAAGTTTAGACTAAACCCAACCAGGCATATTGCCTTGTCTATTTTGAGGAAATAGAAGCAAGTGTTTGCCTTGGATATATGGTTAACTGAGAAAAAGTTGCACAATGAATTAGATGCTTTCCAGATTTCCCATTTTCCGTCGATTGGTAAGCCTGACTTTCAGCTATGGCACTGGGACACCTCCAGATCAATACATAGCTTGTTCAGGCACTATTTTGTCAAAGGTGCTCCTCAGTTGGTAAATTTATCCTACACAATTTAGTTCTATCTTGTTTAAGTACACCGTACTAATATTGGAAGATATTATTTTTTGAAATTTTAGAAAGAAAATAGAAATATCATTTAAAAATGGATTCATCCACTTTCAAATTTACAGCATTTTAGACTGTTCTGAATATTTTGTAGTAAAAAAAATCTGCAGCAATCTAAAAAATTTAGTGAAGCATTATTAGTTGTTTATGTACATCCCACACACATACACAGGAAAAGAGTATTAACTTCCAATCTTTGTTGTTAAGAAATCGGCATAAGCTTTGATTTAAAAAATGGGAAAGAGGTCATAAAGATGGTAGGATAGGCGGCCTCAGCCTTTATCACTCACAGAAAGACTTATTTAACAACTATTCATGGGAAAAATACCTTCATGAGGTCTCTAGAATTCAGATTAGAGGTTAAAACACCCAGGTGGGGCACAGAAAGGATAAAAGATTTATTAAAAAGGGTAAGAACACCAGTTCCACTTTACCGAAACCATCTCTCCCACAAGCTGACAAAAGCACAGTGCCAAGAGGGATCCCACTGGCCCACAATTTCTTCCATGGAGAAAAAAAAAAGTGCAAAGTGAGGATCCAACTTACCCCAAATTTAAGAATGAGGCCCAAGGGGGCTACTTCTGGTGTGCTTCACGCAAATCACTATGGGAATTTGCATGGCTAGATTGATTGAAGGTAGGACAACTAAGAAAAGGGGAAGAGGTCTCTCAACAACCTACCTGTGTATCTCACAGCCAGCCCATAGCCCCTGGTAGAAGGCACACTTACAAACGCCAGCAGCAAGTTTGATTGCAGGTCCCAGAATCTTGATTGCCCATGGACCCAGCCAACTTATTTGCCCAGAATCTTTGGCCAGGCTGCTATTGAAGGGCTTTTCCTGGCAAAGCCATCCCCTAAAGATTGAAAGAAATGATTACGTCTTTAAATGCACATAAGCCAATGCAAGGATACAAAGATCATGAAGAATACAAAACTTGACACTACAAGGAATAAAATAAAGCTCCAGTAAGTAATCCTAAAGATAGAGAAATCTACAACCTGCCTGACAAAAAATTCAAAATATTTTTTTCTAAGCTCAGGAGCTACAAGAGAACACAAGTCAACAATTAAACAAAAATAGGAAAGCAATACATGAACAAAATTTAAACCTTGCAGGCCAGAGGAAAATGAAATGATATATTCACAGGGCTGAAAGAATAAAACTGCCAAACAAAAATTTTACATTGGGCGATCCTATCTTTAAAAAATAGAGACATAAAGACCGTCCAGACAGGCAAAATTGAGAGAATTTGTCATTGATAAAACTGCCTCACAAGAGGTGCTAAACAGAGATTTAAAATTGTAGTAAATGGATTTTAAACAGCAATATGAGAGCATACAAAAGTCTAAATCTCATTGGTATAGGTGAATATATAAACAAATACATAATATTTCAATACTATCATGATGGTGTGTAACCTATTTTAATCCTGTTATAAAAGTTAAAAGACAAAATATTAAAAATAACAATAAGCACCAAAGTGCATTAATGGATATACAATATAAAAAGGTATAAAGTTTGACATTAAAATAGAGCATGTGTGTGGGTGATATAAAAGTATAGTTTTTCTATGTGGTTGAAGTTAAGCTGGTATTAGCCTGAAATATATTGTCACAACTATAAAAAATTTAATGCAAACTTCATGGCAACTGCAAAGAAAAAACCTACAATAAATACAAGAAAAATAAAAGTATATCCCTACAAAAATAATCAAATCACAAAGAAAAACAGCAAGAGAGGAAGAGAGAAATAAAATAACTATTAAATAGATAAAACCACAAATAAAGTATCAATAATAAGTTCTCACCTAACAATAAGTAGTTTAAATGTAAATGGATTAATTCATCTGGGAAAAACAGCAGATAGGAGGCAGAACCAAATTGCAGCTTCCATTCAGATGGACAGAGCAGCGCATGGAGACTGACATTGTGACTTTTGCTCCAAGAACTCCCACAGGAACATACCGAGGAAGCCAAGAGAGTCCACAGACCCTTTGAAGAAAGTGGATTGCTCCTGCAGGCTCCAGGAGACAACTGAAAAACTGTGAGTTCCCAAAGTGGGAAAGGAGGATTGTCAGCCCCAAGTCACAGACTCACACTGGGGAGCCTGAAGGTCCAGGTCACAGGAGAAGAATTGACCTTACCTAGAGCTGAGACAAATTTAGTGACCCGAGTGAAATATGGGGGTAGAAGAAGCAGTGGGAAGAGCCCTGTGGGCTCTCTTGGTTCCCAGGAAAGCCATTTCTGACTTTGTCTCTCAGAGGTCTTTGGGGAGGGCTGCCAGAGGAAATGGAAAAGACCACAGGGAGAAGGAAACTTCCAGCTGAACTTTGTTACAATTTTGACTGAAAGTGAAGTTTCCTGGCCAGAACTCAGGGAAGGGGATGAAGTGGGAGTGCAGACACAGCATAGAAGCTACAGCAGGCAGTGTAAAACCTGAAAGCCCTGCTTGCTTTCTCAGCTGGGAGGCAGGTAGCCTGGGTCAGGTTCTCAGCCCTGCTCACCCACTGCCTGGAAATAAACTCAGTGCTATTGCGGGGGGCATGATGAGAGTGAGACTGCTCCTTTGGGTTGTATGGGAGCTGGGTGAGGCCCGCAACTGTCGACTTTCCCCCACTTCCCTGTGAACTGCATAATACAGCACAGGCAGCCATAATTCTCCTGGGAACATAACTCAATTGGCCTGAAAACAACACCTCCATTCCCCACAGCAGCTGCAGCAAGCTCCACCCAAGAAGAGTCTGAGCTCAGATATGCCTAACACTGCCCCCACCCGATGGCCTTTCTCTACCCTCCCTGGTAGCCAAAGACAAAGGACATAGTCTCTTAGGAGCTCTAGGAGCCTGCCCACCAGCTGATTCTCCCTATGCTCTCTTGAAAGTGCCACCTCCTGGCTGGAGGCCAACCAACAAAAAAATAGCAATAAACAAAACTACAATTAAGAGCCCTCACAGAGTGTATTTCACTCCCCTGCCACCTCCACTACAGCTGGTGCTGGTACCCATGGTTGAGAGACCTGAAGACAGTTCACATCACAGGACTCTGTGCAGACACCCCCCAGTACCTGCAGAAAGCCTGGTAGCTCTAGATCCAGAAGGCAAAAGCAATCACTGCAGCTAGGTTCTTAGGAAGTCACATCCGTAGGGGAAGAAGGAGAGTGCTACATCAAGGGAGCACCCTGTGGGACAAAAGCATCTGAAAAGCAGCCTGTGAGCCCCAGATCTTCCCTCTGACATAGCCTACCCCAAAAAGAAAGAATCAGAAAAACAATTCTGGTAATATGACAAAACAAGGTTCTTTAACACCCACCAAAATCACACTAGCTCAGCAGTAATGGATCCAAACCAAGAAGTAATCCCTGAATATCTAGAAAAAGAATTCAGGTCGATTATTAAGCTAATCAAGGAGGCACCAGAGAAAGGTGAAGTTCAACTTAATGAAATTAAAAAAAATAAGATATGAAGGGAAAAACCTACAGTGAAATAGATAGCATAAAAAAAAAACAATCACAACTTCTGGAAATGAAGGATAAACTTAGAGAAATGCAAGACACACTGGAAAGTCTTGACAATAGAATCAAATAAGCAGAAGAAAAACTTCAGAGTTCGAAGACAAGGTTTGTGAATTAACCTAACCCAACAAAGACAAAGAAAAAAGAATATTTTAAAAAATGAACAAAGCCTTTAAGAAGTTTGAGATTATGTTAAATGACCAAACCTGAGAATAATTGGTATTCCTGAGGAAGAAGATAAATCTAAAAGTTTGGAAAACATATTTAAGGGAAGAATTGAGGAAAACTTCCCTGGCCTTGCTAGAGATCTAGATATCCAAATACAAGAAGCTCAAAGAACATCTGGGAAATTTATCACAGAAAGATTATCAACTAGGAACTTAGTCATCAGGTTATCTAAAGTCAAGATGAAGGAAAGAATTTTAAGATCTGTGAGGCAAAAGCATCAGGTAACCTATAAAGGAAAACCTATCAGATTAACAGCCGATTTATCAGCAGAAATCTTACAAGCTAGAAGGGATTGGGACTCTATCTTCAATCTCCTTAAAACAATTATCAGCCATGGATTTTGTATCCAGGAAAAATGAGTTTCATAAATGAAGGAAAGATATAATCTTTTTCAGACAAACAAATGCTGAGAGAATTCACCACTACTGAGCCAGCACTACAAAAACTTCTAAAAGGAGCTCTAAATCTTGAAACAAATTCTCAAAATAATAATACAGCAAAATAGAACTTCCTTAAAGCACGCAGGACTTATAAAACAAAAACACAATTAAAAAACAAGGTATTCAGGCAACAGAGATTATGATGAATATGATACTACCTCACATCTCAATGTGAACATTTAATGTAAATACCTAAATGCTCCATTTAAAAGATACAGAATGGCAGAATGGATAAGAATTCACCAACCAAGTATCTGCTGTCTTCAGAAGATTCACCTGACATATAACTACTCACATAAACTTAAGGTTTAGGGGTGGAAAGAATATTTCATACAGATGGACACCAAAAGTGAGCCAGAGTAACTATTCTTATATAAGACAAAACAAACTTTAAAGCAACAGTAGTTTAAAAAGGCCAAGGGGAACATTATATAATGATAAAAGGACTTTTCCCAAAGGAAAATATCACAATTATAAATATGCACCTAACACTGCAGCCCCCAAATTTATAAAGCAATTACTTCTAGACAGAAGCAATGAGATTAGATGGCAATACAATAATAGTTGGGGACTTCAATACTTAACTGACAGCATTAGACAAGTCATCAACACAGAAAGTTAACAAAGAAACAATGAACTTAAACTATACCCTAGAACAAATGGACTTAACAGATATTTATAGGACATTCTAACCAACAACTGCAAAATATACATTCTATTCATCAGCACATGGAACATTCTCCAAGACAGACTATATCATAGGGCACAAAACAAGTCTCAGTAAATTTAAGAAAATCTAAATTATATCAAGTACTCTCTTAGACTGCAGTGGAATAAAATTGCAAATCAACTCCAAAACGAACCCTCAAAACCATGCAAATACATGGAAATTAAATAACCAGCTCCTGAATGATCATTGGGTCAATAATTAAATCCAGATAAAAATTAAAAAATTGTTTGAACTGAATGATAATGGTGACACAAGTTACCAAAACGTCTGGGATACAACAAAGGTGGTGCTAAGAGGAAAGTTCAAAGCCTTAAATGCCTACATCAAAAATTCTGAAAGAGCACAAAACATAATCTAAGGTTATACCTCAAGGTACTAGAGAAAAAGAACAAACCAAACCCAAACCCAGCAGAAGAAAAGAAATAACCAAGATCAGATTAGAACTAAATGAAATTGAAGTAAACAAACAAAAAATACAAAAGATAAATAAACAAAAGCTGATTCTTTGAAAAGATAAATAAAGCTGATAGATCATTAGTGAGATTAACCAAGAAAAGAAGAGAGAAGATTCAAATAAGCTCAATTAAAAAAGAAATGGAAAATGTATTAATCCATTTTCATGCTGCTAATAAAGGCAAACCTGAGACCAGGTAATTTATAAAGGAAAAAGATTTAATTGACTCACAGTTGCACATGGCTGGAAAGACCTCACAGTAATGGTAGAAGACAAATGAGGAGCAAAGTCACGTCTTACATGGTGGAAGGCAAGAGAGCTTGTGCAGGGGTACTCTCATTGTAATACCATCAGATCTTGTGAAACTTATTCACTACAATGAGAACAGTATGGGATAACCACCCCCATGATTTAATTATCTCCACCTAGCCCTGTCCTGGACACGTGGGCATTATTACAATTCAAGGCGAGATTTGAGTGAGGACACAGACAAACCATATCATTTCACCCTAGCCCCTCCCAAATCTGATGTCCTCACATTTCAAAAGCAATCATGCCTTCCCAACAGTTCCCTGAAATGTTAACTCATTTCAGCATTAACTGAAAAGTCCATAGTCCAAAGTCTCCTCTGAGATAAGGCAAGTCCCTTCCACCTATGAGCCAGTAAAATCAAAAGCACATTAGTTACTCCCTACATACAATGTGTGGGCAAATACACACATTCCAAATGGGATAAATTAGCCAAAATGAAGGGACTACAGGCCCCATGCTAGTTGAAAATTTAGCAGGGAAGCTAAATCTTAAAGCTATAAAATGATCTCGTTTGACTCCATATCTCAATATAGGTCATGCTCATGCAAGAGGTAAGCAGCTCCAACCCTGTGACTTTGCAGGGTATAGCCTCCCTCCAAGCTGCTTTCATTGGCTGGTATTGCATATCCATGGCTTTTCCAGGCACATGGTGCAAGCTGTCAGTTGAACTACCATCCTGGGGTCTGGAGGATGGTTGCTCTCTTCTCACAGCTCCACTAGGCAATGCCCCTGTCGGGACTCTGTGTGTGGGCTCCCACCCCACATTTCTCTTCCACACTGCCATAGCAGAGATTCTCCATGAGGGCCCCACTCCTGCAGCAAACTTCTTCCTGGACATCCAGGTATTTCTATAGAGCCTCTAAAATCTAGATGGAGCTTCCCAAACCTCAGTTCTTAACTTTTGTGCACCTGCAGGCTCAACACCACTCTGAAGCCACTTCCTGAATGTACCGTGGCTCCTTTTAGCTATGGCTGGAGTGGCTGAGAAGCAGGGCACCAAGTCCCTAGGCTACACACAGCACAGGAACCTGGGCCTGGCCCGTGAAACCGTTTTTTCCTCCTAAGTCTCTGAGTCTGTGATGGGAGGGGCTGCCGTGAAGACTTCTGACTTGCCCTGGAGACATTTTCCCCATTGTCTTGGTAATTAACATTCAGCTCCTTGTTACTTATGCAAATTTCTGCAGCTGGCTTGAATTTCTCCTCAGAAAATAGGTTTTTCTTTTCTACTGTATAATCAGACTGCAAATTTTTTGAACTTTTATGCTCTGCTTCCCTTTTAAACATAAATTCCAATTCCAAACCGTATCTTTGTGAATACATAAAACTGAATGCTTTTAACAGCACCCAAGCCACATCGTGAATGCTTTATTGCTTATAAATTTCTTCTGCCAGATGCCTTAAATCATTTTTCTCAAGTTCAAGATCCTGCAAATCTCCAGGGCAGGGGCAAAATGCCACCAGTCTCTTTGCTAAAGCATAACAAGTCACCTTTGCTCTAGTTCCCAACAAGTTCTCATCTCCATCTGAGACCACCTCAACCTGAGCTTAATTGTCCATATCCCTAACAGCATTTTCATCAAAACCATTCAACAAGCCTCTAGGAAGTTTCATACTTCCCGACATCTTCCTGTCTTCTTCTGAGCCCTCCAAACTGTTCCAATGTTTGCCTGTTATGCAGTGCCAAAGTTGCTTCCTCATAATCACATATTTTTACAGCAGCACCCCACTCTACCAGTACCAATGTACTGTATTAGTCAGTTCTCATGCCACTAATAAAGACATACCCAAAACTGGATAATTTATGAAGGAAAGAGGTTTAATTGACTCCCATTTCCACATGGCAGGGGAGCCCTCACAGTCATGGTGGAATGTGAATAAGGAGTAAAGTAACCTCTTACATGGCAGCAGGAAAAAGAGCTTGTGCTTTGGGAGGCCGAGGCGGGCGGATCATGAGGTCAGGAGATCGAGACCATCCTGGCTAAAACGGTGAAACCCCGTCTCTACTAAAAATACAAAAAATTAGCCGGGCGTAGTGGCGGGCGCCTGTAGTCCCAGCTACTTGGGAGGCTGAGGCAGGAGAATGGCATGAACCCGGGAGGCGGAGCTTGCAGTGAGCCGAGATCCCGCCACTGCACTCCAGCCTGGGCGACAGAGCGAGACTCCATCTCAAAAAAAAAAAAAAAAAAAAAAAAAAAAAAGAGCTTGTGCAAGGAAATTCCCATTTATGAAACCATCAGATCTCATGAGACTTATTCAGTACTATGAGAACTGTATGGGGGAAACCACACCCATGTTTCAGTGATCTCTACCTGGCCCTCACACTTGACATGTAAGAATTACTACAATTTCAGGTGAGATTTGGGTGGGTACACAGACAAACCATATCAGAAGATATTATAACTGATACCACAGAAATACAAAAGATCATTCAAGGCCGCTATGAACACATTTACCCATATAAACTAGAAAACCTAGAGGAGATGGATAAATTCTTGGAAATATACAACCATCCTAATTATACCAGGAAGATACAGAAACTCTGAAAAGACCAATAAATAGTAAGAAAAAAAATTGCCAACAGAAAAAAGCCCAGGACCAGATGGATTCACAGTTGAATTTGATCAGACATTCAAATAAGAATTGGTACCAATCCTATTGACACTATTTCACAACATAGAGAAAGAGGAAATCCTCCCTAAATCATTCTATGAAGACAGCAACACCCTAATACCAAAACCAGGAAAGGACATAACAAAAACAAAAAATACACACAAATATCCTTGATGAATATAGATGCAAAAATCCTTAACAAAATACTAGTTAACCAAATCCAACAGCGTATCAAGAAGATAATCCAGCATAATCAAGTGGGTTTCACACCAGGGATGCAGCAACAGTTTAACATATACAAGTCAATAAATATGATATACCACATAAACAGAATTAAAAACAAAAATCACATGTTCATATCAAATGACACCGAAAAAGCGTTCGACAAAATTCAGCATCTCTTTATGATTAAAACTCTCAGCAAAATTGTCATAAAAAGGACATACCTTAATCTAATAAAAGCCATCTGTGAAAAACCCACAGCCAACATTGTACCGAATGGTGAAAAGTTTAAAGCATTTTCCCAGAGAACTGGAAGAAGACAAGGATGCTCACTCTCATCACTGCTATTCACCATGGTACTGGAAGTCCTAGCCAGAGCAATCAGACAAGGGAAGGAAATAAAGGGCATCGAAATCAATAAAGAGGAAGTCAACCTGTTGCTGTTTGCTGATAATATGATCATATACCTAGAAAACCCTAAAAAGTCCTCCAAAAAGCTCAAAAAACTGACAAAGAATTCATCAAAGTTTCAGGACATAAAATCAATGTACAGAAATCAGTAGCACTGCTGTACACCAACAGCAACCAAGCTGAGAATCAAATCAAGAACTCAACCCCTTTCACAATAGATGCAAAAATAATAATAAAATAAAATACTTGGAATATACCTAACCAAGGAGGTAAAAAACCTCTATAAGGAAACAAGGAAAACTAGAAAACACTGCTGAAAGAAATCATAGATGACAGAAACAAATGGAAACACATTCCATACTCATGGATGAGTAGGATCAATATCACGAAAATGACCATACTGCCAAAAGCAATCTACAAATTCAATGCAATTTCTATCAAAATACTACCATCATTCTTCACAGAACTAGAAAAAACAATCCTAAAATTCATATGGAACCGAAAAAGAGCCCACATAGCCAAATCAAGACTAAGCAAAAAGAACAAATCTGGAAACATCACGTTACCCGACTTCAAACTACACTACAAGGCCATAGTCACCAAAACAGCGTGGTATTGGTATAAAAATAGGCTCATAGATCAATGGAACAGAATAGAGAACCCAAAAATAAACCCAAATACTTTCAGCCAACTGATCTTCAACAAAGCCAACAAAAGCATAAAGTGAAGAAAGGACACCCTATTTAACAAATGGTGATGGGATAATTGGCAAGCCATGTGTAGAAGGATGAAACTGGATTCTCGTCTCTCACCTTACACAAAAATCAACTCAAGATGGATCAAGGATTTAAATCTAAGACCTGAAACCATAAAGATTCTAGAAGATAATATTGGAAAAACCCTTCTAGACATTGGCTGAAGCAAAGACTTCATGACCAAGAACTGAAAAGCAAATGCAATAAAAACAAAGATAAATAGATGGGACTTAATTAAACTAAAAAGCTTCTGCACAACAAATAATAATAATAATAATCAGCAGAGTTAACAGACAACCCACAGAGTGGAAGAAAATCATCACAATCTGTACATCCAACAAAGAACTAATATGAAGAATCTACAAAGAACTCAAACAAATCAGCAAGAAAAAAAAATCCCTTCAAAAAGTGGGCTAAGGACATGAATAGACAGTTCTCATAAGAAGATATACAAATGGCCAACAAGCATATGAAAAAATGCTCAACATCAGTAATTATCAGGGAAATGAAAATATCAAAACCACAATGGAATACTACCTTTTTCCTGCAAGAATGGACATAATCAAAAAATCAAAAAATAATAGATGTTGGTGTGGATGTGGTTTCCAGGGACTAGGGTGAGGAGGATGAGGAGTGTTGGTCAAATAGTGCAAAGCTTTAGTTATATGAGATGAATAATTTCTAGAGATCTACTGTACATTATAATGCCTATAGTTAACAATACTGTATTGTAGACTTCAAGTTTCACAGAGGGTAATACTTGTGTTCTTATTACACATAAAATAATAATAAAGCAAAAACTGCTTGAGGTGATGGATGTGTTTATGACATTGATTGTGGTGATGGTATTATGGGTATAATTTATTTCCAAAGTCACTAAGTTGTATATCTTAAATATGCACATAAATCATACCTGAATAAAGTAACTTAAAAGATAGATAATAGTCATGTCATGATTCTGTGAAGATCTTTATTTTCTATTCTCCTCGATTCCGTAGTAATGGCAAAAAACGCAGTTATGTTTGCACCAACCTAATACTTCTCACCCTAATGCTGATCCACACTCTGTAGGAATATAAAGAGGAGAAGTTACTCCCTATATAAGAGGTCCTATTATTAATACAGAAAATTCTCAGTATCTGCTTGATATTGATCAAAGTTGAAATTCAAATTTTTCACTATTTCAATTTATACCTCTATTACATTTGTATTTCTATTTATTACTACATAAATCCTTGAAGTTTGTGAAAGATATGTCTTCTAATGCTGTGCCTCTCAAAAACATTATGTGCCATACATCACCTGGTAATATTTTAAGAGCCTGCATTTCTTACAGGTTAAGTCCAACCCTGCTGGACCTGGTATACATTTTGAGTAGCAAGACAATATGTACACTCAACACAGCTCTCTGCTGCTGCTACTAGAGAATACCTTTCTCTGTGCTACCTGTGGTAGGTGAACAAATATGTGTATGTGTGTGCATTTGTGTATGTGTGTAAGGATGCAAGTAAGAGAAAATTATGATTTATTCCAGGTTTGGCTTCCAAGGTAAGTGCTAGCATAAAACGTCTTGCTTTCATTAATCAATAATTTAGTTATCTATGAATCAAGATCTCCCGTGGCTGAAGCTGGTTGGGGTGTTACTATTCAGACATGTCTGGCTACACATATACTTTCATTTGTTTATTTACTTAATAATCATTATTATATATTATGTGCTAGAAAATATACTGGGCAGCAGTTATAGAGTGGAGCTTGAGACACAATCCCTCCATTCAAAGATCTCACACCTCAATGGAAGAGATGAACTTGCTAAGAAAAATAGTAATATTGAGTTAAATACAATGTACTACATTTGCACAGAGGAAAAGGTAAAAAATGCATTTGTGGGATTCAGGAAGATTTCACAGAAGATGTGGCACTATTCAGAGACTTGAGGAAGAATATTAAGACAACAGAACATTAAGAATGAGCTCTCCTTGCAGAGGCAGTAACACTTGCACAAGCAAAGAAGCATTAAAATGCATGGCATACTCAGTGAACCACAGGTAGTTCAAGATGATTGTAGGGGAGTGGCAAAAAATAACTAGGCAAAGCATCAGATTATGAAAGGCCTTTATTCCAAGAAAGATGAATTTTTATCTTATAAGCAATGTGGAAATATTGAATGGTAGAGTATTAGAAAATAATTTCAGTAGTGGTATAAAGTGCTAAGTAATAAAAAGACAATTTTGAAGGCATCAAATTAACACGAGAGGGAAACAATGAATTCCAAACTGAGGTAGTATCGATGATAGGGGAAGATATTCTAGAGGTAGAAATGACTGGACTTCGTGGTAAATTGGACATTGGAATTGAGACCGAGGAAAGATATGTTTTTAAAATTTCAAGCCTGATTAATAAGGTGGGGGATATAATAGCATTTGCTAAAGTTTTGCATATATTCATATGGGAACTATTTTGGAAGTAGTCATAATGAATTCAGTTTTTATCTTGTTGAGTTTGAGAGTTTTGTAGGAAAAACAGACAACTGGGCTTCAGTTGGTTGAGAATATGCAGCTTAAATAAAATACATATGAAGTATGGAAGTTGGATCTTTTTCTTGGCCTGGATTACCTCATATCTTCTCTTTGTAAAATGCTTTAGTCAAAAATGCTGCTTTGGTGAATGTCACGGTGAGTATATCTACTATGTCAATGCTCATTAATGTTCTAATTTGCTTTGGAATTTGAAGAGCCCAAAGACCATATGATGATAATGGTTCTTTCCAGGATGCTATACAAAAGGAAGGGTGATTTGCTATTTTAGAGCAGTACTCTAATAATTTAAACTGTAAACATTTTCTGATGGCTTTGATGTATGAAGATATTTTGAATGCTACTAAGAATTAACTACTTTTTTTGTGATAAGACAACAGAACTAGGTCTGACATTTTTTAAAAGACACTGTGAAGTATATTGCTCTGATATGTAAGAGCAGATATTTCAGATCAGAGATTTACATCAGCTTGTGATATCAGAAAGTTTTTGGAGAATATTAACACATGACATAACTTGATCATACACAAATAGAGAGAATAAGCATGATTTGATCCCAGTTGATAAATGATCAGGTAGAATGGAAGCTCCTATCAAGTCTCCTATCTGACTTTCTTCTGGCATTCAAAAAGGAAGTTGGTTTCTCAGACAGTAAATAATTGGTTTATATGGATATACTATATACACTGCTTATAAAAAGGCTTCAGATAAACTGCGACTCTTAAGGTGATTACATTTAAAACTGAAAGAAAATTGAAAATGAGAACAGCTGCAGGTAAGATTGGACATTTTGGGACAAAACAAGTATTCATGCTGCTAGTGAGCTGGTGTCTCATCTGCAGTCATTACATAAAGCAAAGAGCTATTATAGCTTGTGATTATTTTTATTTACATACACATCAAAATGATGAGATGAGGTTTACATTTGCTCTACTTCTCTGTTTCCATCTGAATATCATTTACTTTCAGGATTAAATAAGAAATTTATTGAGCTGTACCATCAAAAACTTGTTAGTAATTGCTATATAATTATATATATTTTTATATATTTATATATTTATACATAGCTTACCTAAATCTGCAACCAAAGCTTGTAGTAACTTTGTATAACTCTGCACCATTAATTTCTTCAGAGTGACATTCTGATGTGAGCTGAACAGATGGAATTGCAGGATTGTTCTAGCAAATTTATCATAAAAAATGCATCCGACACCTGTGTAATTTGCCTAATCATTTTCCTAATAAGCTCCCACCATTAATTATGCACGATTTCCACAATGCAATCAAGATAAAAGTAAATCTGATGACTTAATACCCTTCAAAATAATTGGTTCACCCAACACAAGGCCTCCTTTGCTTTCCATAGCCATTTTAGTTAATTAGAGAAAGGGTGCACCCTGTTGGAGTCAGCAGAACGGAGGCTGATCGCTTGGTGGGAGGTAGACCTGCTGGTGTTTGGGCAGGAGTCAAGGATATTAACTCGTGAAAGAATAGAAGATAATTTTGCCCCTTCCTCTTATTTTCTTCCCTTCACATTCCCCCTTTCAACTTCCCTGCTTCCCCCCACCCACCCCAGTAGCAAACAGATGCGATTAGTGTTCTTCAGCCATCAGAAAACTGACTGCAGGACTCTGCGGGTCTAATAAGAATCAACTTTTCCGAGGCTGCTGTCTTGCGGTGCAGTCCACCTGTCACATCATTAGGTGCAGCATGTGCCTTGAATTCACTTTGCTAAATGAGATTTACAGGCCCCACTGAAACCCATCCTGCAGCATCCCTGCTTCAATTAGCTAAAGATTAATTGTCTGAGAAAGGGAATGAAAGTTTTACTTCAACTGACCTGAAAAAAAAAAGGTAAAAAAAAAGTATGGTTCAGGTATTCCACATAGGCCCGAGGCAGTGTGGAAAAACGTGATAATTTAAAGGTGCTGCAAATTTTCTACACCTCGCCTGGATGAATGAAATTAACTAGCACTAAAAGCTGTCAAATTAAAGGTTGACTTCCAGATATTAGCACCTTAAATGTCACTGAATATTCTCTTTCTTTTTTTCTTTTCTTTTTTTTTTTTTTGGCAAACATTCACGTCAGCACACCTGCACGTGCACACAAACATTTTCTTACTGCTGCTCCTGCTAACTGCTTGTTCGTGCCCAGCCGGGAGTTACTTGCTATAAATCTTTGATGTAACCATGGCTACAGAACAACTGGCAATTACAAAATTTCCTCCATGTTAATGTTACACTAATTATATTTGAATATATTTTAATGGAGAAAAAGATTTGGAGGTGAGAAAAGCTTCTGGAAGAAGGGCAGAATGTGGGATCTCTGCACCCATCTGCCACACGTTTCCTTCGCTAGTCAGACACACAGAGGTCTTGAGTGGAGGTATGTCCCTAGTAGCTAGAATTTCTTAACTTCTAAATCTTAATACAAATTATAAAACTGGAAAACTTTAATGTTATGGAGAATGGCCTAATGTAAATAGACAATCGATTTTTAGCATTGTGGGATATGCAAGGATTTATTAGGATTTGGATAGGAAATAGGAAAACTTCTCTTATCAGCTCAAATTGATTTTTAACTAATTAAATAAGAAAAACATTTAGCATTCCTAATATTCAGCATAAGGAATGGCACTGGAAACCACATTTGGCTAGGATGTCAGACACGGTGTAGAGTACTTGAGGGAAGAGTGGGGGTACTCCACATTTGGAGGCAGAGGTTATCAGGGGCCTTCATTCTTCAGTTCACTTTTCACATATTTCAACTAATCACAGTTTGTTTGTGCCGATTTAAATTTGTGGTTTATAGCACCTAGTTTTAATTAATAAAATTTCACAAAATACAAACATGCCTGGAGAAAATCTTTACCAAGACAATATACAAATGAGGTAATACTAAATATGTATGCAAAAGAGAATAATAAAAAAATGCAGAATGCAGAACGAACATGCCTCTACTTTGAATATGAGTTCCCTATCTTCTACATTAAGAGATTAAAAGGAAAAACCAGAAGAAAAAAAATGATGTAATCAAAAAACTTAAATAAATTCTTTTATACATAACAGGGAGTCTATTTGAAATATGCATTTGAATCCAATATCAGTAACAGTCAACCTCACTCTAAGAATATATTTAATATGAGTTATCAACTAACAATACCTGTGAAGCATTAGGATTTGAAAGTCATGTAAAAATATTATTTTATTTGTTTTTTAAACAGCATTATGCTTATGTTTTATAATATGGATATTTTATTAGTACAGTTATACATATATACTACTTGCAAATATAAATATGTGTATATATATATATCTACATACATAGCAGGCATATGCTGAATTTTTAAGTTTAAATTTAAGTCTTTTCCTAAATATGATAGATATCCAAGAAGTTCAGAGAATTCTATTCCAAGATTCCACTCCTTATCTATAAAATTAGACAAGGGCTGGAAAAACTATATGACTACTTTGAGTTATAATTTTCTCTTCGACTTGAGTATTTCCATGCCTATGGATCTTTGATAGTCAAAGGTTCTTCTCACTGACTTAAAGTTAATAGTTAATCAAACAGGAGGAGACAGCTAGGAAATAGTCCTCAGTGCAAAATTCTCCATATTATCTTTTCATGTTGATAGCACTATTTGTTATGTTCTTAAAAGAACTTATTGCAAAAGGATGCTATATACTGGGTGTCTTTTTTTTTTTTTTGACAGCGATTTGCATGTTCGGTTAGCCTAGCCTTTAGAATTTTGATTTAAAAGAAAGGTATCATACGCTTTGTGTCCCTTTCTCCTCACCTAAGTACCCGCATTTAGGTAATGACATCCAATCTGCATCAAACATTTACTATACTCCAGACATTTTTTTAATCAAATATTACCTCATTTAATCTTTACCACAATCCTATGACTTAAGATTTATTACTTTTCTGCTTTGACTGATGAGCAAAATTAAATTACAGATATTAAATAACTTTATGAAGGGCAGTCTAGTAAATACAAGGCTAGGATTCAAACCACTTTTCATATCTTATGCCACACTTTGGCGTGACAAAACTCACACTTATGGGTTATTGTTTAAAATTGATACCCTGCCTGTTTCCATGGGGATTTGAAATAGTGAAGAAGCAGATGAGTTGTTGTATAAACTTGGGTTCAATCCAATGTATGTGGGTGGGATTGGTGTTGGTGGAGGCAAAAGTGTTTATGTGTGATCTACCATATAGATAAACTGACATTTAATTAAATTCTGGGTGGCATCATTTCCATGATTAAGATGTAATATCTATAGTTATGAAATTTTATGAGTTTTACCACTGCTTATGTTTGGTTCCAGTTTATGTCTTAAAAATACAAGTCAGCATAAGATACATAGAACCAATATGGTAAGATATGATTAAAAGCAATATGAATAAAGCTATATAATCTGACAAAAAGACACCAAAGAATTCTGAATATTTCAGAGGTGTCAATTATTCTTCATTGAAGAACATATTGAATACAATTCTAATTAAAACCCTAGTAGAGATTATTTGGACCTTGGCAAAATAATTCTAGAGCACATCTGGAAAATTAATGAGGCTATTAGCATTCTGGAAAAAAAGTACAAATAAAAGACACTGCCTACTAGATAGTAGATTATATAAAACTGTAGTGATAATAAGAAGGGACTATTAATAAAGAATTGACATAAAGATCAAAAGAACAAAATAGGCAGCCCAGAAGCAGGAAACCACATACATAAAACTGTCCAAATAAAAATGATATCATTAAAATCTCTTAGGGAATATATATATGTCAATACATGATGATGTAACAAATAATTAATTGCAATAATTATACATTTGTACTAGATTTTATATTTGAATAATTAAATATATTAGACATAAATAAAAGTAGAATAGATTTTGTCCTAGAGAAGAACTTTTAAGTACCGAAATAACATAAAAAAAATGAGCTACAATTTCTGCATATCACCAAATATAGTAAACAAAAGTAAAATCCACAATTGGGCTAGAATTTAAAAAATTTAATCTGTATGATGGAGAAATACTACTGTCATAAATAAAATTGAAAACAAGTAACTGTGAAAGAAAAACTGTTGGGAAAGGATTGAAACAGGCAATTTAAAAAAGAACAATTTGAAAAACAGTAAAGGTATAAAAACCATGCTAAACATAAAAACTAAAATATTGAGACACTATTTTTCACTTTTGAAACTATGATTTATGAAAAATATTTATGCCAAAAGACTACCAAAGGCATATAAAATAGGTACTTTAAACAATGATCCCAGAGGTAAAACGTATACATTTCAAAAACATTTGGCAACAAAAACCGAGATTTTTAAAAATGCTCATACTCTTTTAATATAGCGAATGGCTTTGCTTCAATCATACTACCCTGATAAACTAACCAATGCCTCACTACAGTTCTCAAAAGAGGAAATAATCTCAGTGTCCTGCAAAAAGAGGAATTGTTAAAAAGTATCAATTTAAAAATGCAATGTTGAAGGATACATAATTCAGAAGGGAATGCTCAGAATTGTTATTATAAGGAACCACATAGCTTCGAAAATAAACTGCAAGGAAGTCTGCAAATGTATGAAATAGGCAAAAATATTTTAACATCATAATATAGGGTTAAAGGCTAAGGTTTGTAAATATTCTAAGTTTGAAATCTTGTCTTACCACTTTAATTATGTAGCTTTGAAAATTTACTTACTCCATTTGTATCCCAGTTTTCTCATCTAAAAGATGATGATAATAGCCTGTACTTTACAGTTTTATGGAACATAAAATAGAATAACTATGTGAATGATATGCTTAGCACAGGACTTGGCACTAAGCAAGTGCACAATAAATGTTATTAGCTATTATTATCCCTAGATGGTGGTATGGCATTGTGAATATTTTTCTCCCTTTTAAATGTATATGAGATATTTTCATAACAAAATTTTGACTAGCTCTTTTTCATAAGTTTCATCAGAATAAAATGTGTATCTTCTTAAAAGTCAAGGTAGCAGCATAACCCAAAAAAAATGTGTATAGATAAAAATTCTGTCTTTTGTGAGCCCCTTTTCTATTAACTGCAAGTCTATTATATATGATTACCTCATTTATTCATTCCACAAAAAAGTATTTTTTATACTGAATGCCAGGTAACTAAGTTCTGTAAACATATTAGTGAACAAAATGTGTCCCTTTCTTTATGGGGTTTATAATCTGTTGGAGTTGACAATAAATAAGTGCAAAATAAGTTGTTATTTTGAATGTAATAGTCTGAGAAAACTTACCTGAAGAGATGGCTTTTAAAACTGAAACCTGATCAGGCATTCTGTTAACACTGAACTTGTCAAATCAAGAAAATAAGAAATGTCCAACAGTTCAAAGGTCATAATTCTATAAAAATATATTCAAAGCAGATGTAATGGTGTATTCAAAGTACACTATGAAAATTAAAAGACATCATAAAGATAGTGTATTTCTGAGTACGTCTGTAGCTTTCATAGCCTCAGATTCAACCAACCGCAAATCAAAAGTATTTAAAGAAAATTAAAAATAAGTCAATTTTAAAAGTACACACAAAAAGTACAGAATAATAACTATTTATAGCACATTTACATTATATTTGCTATTATAAATAATCAAGACATGATTTAAAGTGTAAGGGAGGATATGCATAGATTATATGGAAATAGTACTCCATTTCTTCTACTGGACTTGAGCATCCACTAATTTTGGTATCCACAGGTGTCCCACAAGCAATTCTCCATAAATAGATATCAAGGAATAACTGAAAGCAGATAAGAAATATTTTAAGTTGATTTAAATTTAATTTAAATATAGTTCTGATATATTAACGCAATCAATCTTCTTTTTAGGTAGATTAATGTATCACACACATAACAATAGCAATAGCAACAACAATAAATAATATTTATTGAACACTTAATATGAGCTGAGATATGCTAAGCAATACGGGGACAAGAGGTTGTCCCAGTATTATCCCTGTTTTACAGCAGAAGAAATCAACATAAATTTTCCTTTTCCAAAACCACCAGTTCATTTGTGATGAAATTGTGATTCAAACCAGGTCTGTCTGATATCAAAATCAGTGTGCATAATCTATAGGCTTTACTGCTTTGGTTTGGATATCTGAATGCATTTGAGAGATTTCTATTTTAACTGAATTTTCCCTAATTATTTTTTAATTAAAAAATTCACACATTAAATCAGTCATTTGAAAAGAAACTTAGTAAATTTGGCTGCAATACAATAATTAACTGGTCCATTGGTTTTAAATATGCATAAGGGTTTGAAATAATTCAACTGCTAGCTCATTCAATCTAATCCACAACTTCTAAGAATTTCTTGAGATTCTATTTTTTTAAAGGGAGAGAAAGTTGAGAATTTACATGTATTACATTAATACTTCTGTATTTTGGTGTGTCTACCAGGTCTTGGGTATTTTATAGATATTAAATAGATTATATAATAGAGGACAAATAAGCCAATTAAATGTGTATTAAATGTGTAGGTATCTCTGAATAACTATAATTATGTTATAATGACAAAGAATAAAAAATGACTTATATCGACTAAATTCTCACTGTGTGCCAGCAGCTATACTTTCCATGACTGGCAGGCATTTGTTCACTTACTCATAACTCTATGAAGTAGGTAGTATACACCAATGTGCAAAATGAAATGTTAGACAAAATAAAATACCCAACTCCTCTTAGCTGCTTGGCCTAGAATGAAATTTTTTTTTTTTTTTTTTTTTGGAGACAGAGTCTCGCTCTGTCGCCCAGGCTGGAGTGCAGTGGCGCGATCTCGGCTCACTGCAAGCTCCACCTCCCGGGTTCACGCCATTCTCCTCCCTCAGCCTCCAGAGTAGCTGGGACTACAGGCACCCACCACCACTCCAGGCTAATTTTTTGTATTTTTAGTAGAGAAGGGTTTTCACTGTGTTAGCCAGGATGGTCTCGATTAGAATCAGATTTTTAACTCATATCTGCCTAGTAATACTAAAACTTCTAGAATGAAATTCACTTCTAGAGATGCAGCATCCTTATGCAAACCAATTTAGCTACTTATGTTATACTTACTTCTCTAGTACAGAGGTTTTCATCCAGAATGTCATGGGTAGCTCTGCTAATTGAAAGGAAGAAAATAACTCCTAGTACACTAGAAATTATACAAATCTCTTAATGATCTGATTTGACTTTGGGCTAAGGGTCAAAATATGAATATGTGTATGGAAGTGTGGAATGTCTGAGTTGTACCATTTAGTCATACATCTTTTACAGTAATTAATGTATAACATAACCAACTTTGGTAGTTCAAGTAACCATCTGTCACCAATGTTAGAAACCACTTACTGTTTTGTTATAAGTTACATTACAGAAGGCCAAATATCATGGTAATATTCTGCAGGAATATCTCATGTGAGTCTTGTTTGTAGATTTTTTTTTCTCATTTTGGAAAGCGGTTCAGATAATGTTATTTTCCTTCCATTGAGGTGTATAGCTTTATGCCCTCTCCACCTATCCAGTTCTAACTCCAGTCTCTGCAATAGATATAAATGTATCTGGTAAACAGATACATGATGTGTCATTTATAGGGTTTTAGGTCCTATTAACATGTTTTATTTCCAAAAAGTACCATTGATGTCTTCTCTCATGTGCCTGACTTTGCTGTCAGTCAGTTTTACCAAATGGCTAAATCTGCAAATGGAGATAGAGATGGATCGAAAAGCCATCAAAATGGGGCCATGGAAATGTAAGGAAACAAAGTACAATGTTGCCTTGATACCTGGGCTTACATCCAGTGCTTTGAATTACCAGATGCCACCTCCTCCTAGCACTAAAAACACTAAACATAAACAACAACAATAACATACATTGGTATAAAGAGTGACACTCACCTGTATAAAAAATTCTCATGAATTTACCTGTATTTACCAAAAACAATTTATCCTCCATATGTATATTGCATGTAAAAAAAAACAGATTCCATGTATCGTACTAGTACTTTCTGGAATACTCTAATAGAATTTCACATTGAATAAAAGGGTATTCGAATGCTATGCACCACACAGTCTCATTTAGCAAGCTGTCAAAAGTGAAACTTAAGGGGTAGAGAGCTGAGAGATATTTAAGATACCATACATTTATAATAAAGGAATGAGAAACATATTACTTTCTGTGGTATTGAATTTTTTTCTCTCTTTTTGCTTTCTTACCAGGAACATTTCACACACACACACACACACACACACACACACACACACACACACACACATCCTACCTGTCCACTGGTGACTGTGGGATGGGAATACAATTGCAAGTTTCCTCACAGCAGTGAGTTCTCAATCCCAGCTGTTCCTTCAGCGGCATGAGCCAGCATGATTACGCTAAAACACCCCTGGACTCCTTCCTCTTTTGTTTCATTCCACCCCGGGTCTTAAAGCTTAGACATTTGACACGCTTGGGCAGTTTTCTCTCTAATTTCACCCAAGCTGACTGTGTAGTGAGTTTAGTGTGTAGGTGTAGCCTGTAGGTGCAAGTAGCTGCTTCAGTATTTTTTCCCTTTAGCTATCTGAACACTGGATGCATTCCAGGTTGGAGGAAATCTCTTATGGTAAAAAGTTAAACCATATCACAAGAGAGATAATATTACCAGACCAAACTGATTTAGATCAATATCTATCCAGGCACAGGTTGACTCTGAAACTGTGAATATAATGCTTCTGGCTTCAACAACATAAAAGATGAAGCTTCTTAGGAGGTAAAATATTCCTCATATAGTTACACTAAGTTTAGTTCCTTTTAAAATCATGTGATGAGGCTTGTTGATATTGTGATATTCAGAGTAGCTTGCTCATATCTTAATTTCCCATGATCTAATATTAAAGAATAGATATATGTATAATACAGATACATATTACGCAGATTATATATAATATACATAATGTATATAATGTATATATATAGCAAGAGGTATATATAAGGTGTGTACACACACACACACACTCACACACACACATATAGCTTAAAATTTTTGTATAACAGCCGTCCTGTTCCCAGACTAGAATATGGAACATCAATTTCCAATTTTTTCACCCTGGTGCCCTGTAACTCTTTGCTACTCAGTGAAAATATCTGGAAATACATACATTGTTACTGAAGTAGCAGGTGGTTGAAGCATTCTGAATGTGTCTAGCTCATTAAAAGGCATTGAAGAATCCAAATAAACAGCATCGTATACATATCTTAGACTCACATATATGTCTGCTCTATTCTGAAAAAGAGAGTGCATTGATTTTACCCTTCCTTATTTCTTGGTCATCTCAATTCCTTGGTGGAGTTATTCAACATTGAGAAAAACATCTACACATTACGAGAGATAGAATTTTGAGGGGATAGAATTTCAAAGCCTACAGTGAAACATTTTGGAGATGGGGAGATGCTGATGGCAATCCATAGTTTTAGATTCTGTGATGTGTGTGTGCATGTGTATGTGTGTAAAACTCCACAAGTAAGTAACTTGAAATAAATACATCCTGAAAGAAAACTTGTCAGAGCTTTCTTTGTGCACCAGATAGAATTTTGAGGGGTTAGAATTTCAAAGCCTACAATGAAACATTTTGGAGATGGGGAGATGCTGATGGCAATCCATAGTTTTAGATTCTGTGATGTGTGTGTGCATGTGTATGTGTGTGTAAAACTCCACAAGTAAGTAACTTGAAATAAATATATCCTGAAAGAAAGCTTGTCAGAACTTTCTTTGTGCAACAGTTCTCTATTTATTGCCAGCTGCACATGTAAGAATGACAATCACATGTGTAAACAATTCTCATGTAGTATAAATGTATAATTCTCATGTAGTATAAATGTATAAATAATTCTCAAGTAGTTTATTTGAAAAATGTGGCAATGAAAATGTTATTAGAAACTTACTTTGGGCTGAGCACTATGGCTCACGCCTGTAATCTCAGCAATTTGGGAGGCCAAGGCGGGCAGATTTCTTGAGCCCAGGAGTTTGAGACCTGTGTGAGCGACATGGTGAAACCGTCTTTATGAAAAATACCAAAATAATTAGCTGGACATGGCGATATGTGTGTCTGTAGTCCCAGCTACTTGGGATCCTGAGGTGGGAGGATTGCTTAAGCCCAGGAGGTAGAGGTTGCAGTGAGCTGAATTTGCACTACTACACTGCAGCCTGGGTGATAGAGTGAGACCCTGTCTCAAACAAACAAACTAACTAAAAACAAACAAAAATACCCTATAATGAATGACAACATGCTATGATGGTGTCACATGTCAGATAAGAATTGTTATGTTTAACCAGCAATGGGGAGAAAGTTTGGGCCACAAAGTATCATCCTCTGATACTTAAAACCTTTTGTTTTAAAAATCATGATAAAGATTGCCTTAGTGCTTATAAAACTTTTCTCAAGCATCATGAGTAGAAGTTCTGATCTTCCGTTTGGGAACACTAATAGAGTAGTGACTGTCACCTTTACATCACTTACATCCTCTGATTAACCAGTTAAGGACTGTCATTCTGTCAGAGCCTCAGCAGTCAACATTGACTAGAAAGCCGACATTCAGTCATCTAAAGTGGTGTTTTAAATGGTTATGAGAGATAAATTATTCCCTGTCACAGTGCATTTGAAGTAAACTCTCTGTACCCATCATAGCAATGAAGAATTCCCCAACTAAATTTACAATGATTCTGATTGCAGTAATCTGGACCCAGGTAGAACTTAAATGGAGAGTAAAGAGGAATAATATTAAGTTATTTCATAGAGAAGAAAGAAAAGAGCATTAGACAAGGAAAGAAAACCCAAGTCTCGGATTGAGTTCTGCTATTAAGATGTGAGACTTTGGGCAAGGACTTAACCTCCTCGACCTTTCATTTTCTCTTTGGTAAATGAGACTGCTCGACTACAGCAGCAGATCCCAATCTACTTCAAGAAACATCTGTTCTCTAAGCATTAATACATTCTGTAAGAATAAAGATTTACTGGTGAAATATATAAATGAAATATGTTCCCTCATGAGCCTGTATCAAAGCACATTTTAACAACTTTAAGTCTATAAAGTATTTTGTCATAAAACTTTGGTTAGAGAGAGACATACACGTAGCTATTTGTTTAGTTTCCTGGAAAACCTTAGTGGAGAGATTTTGAGTTAAGGTTCTGAGTTAAAAGCAAAGGATTTTTACCATCTCAGCTATGAATGTTGTGCAAGAGTTTTGTTTTCATTTATAAAGTAATATGCTAATTATTTAAAAATAATTATTTAGAATAATTTAATTTTAGAATATTTTAATTTTGCTAATATTAATTTTTAAAATCTATTTATTGCCTCTTCTCTTTTAATTTCAAAAAGCAGCATCCAATTTCTTATGGCTTTCAAAAATGACTTATGTCTTTATTTACAATGTGCCAAACATAAGATAAAGAAGAATCAAGACTAAAATAAAAGATATTTAAGTTCATGATGAACTAAAAGTATGAATATGTTTAATCCAGAGCAAGAATTCTTGATATGAAATCAATACAGGGATTAATGAGTAAGTATTAAAGGTTTCATATACTGAATCAAATAGGAAAAAAATTTGGTATATGATTATGTGCATTTTTTCAGAGAAAGGGCCAAGAGATGTCATTAAATAGTCAAAAGGCCTTCAATTAAAAAAAATCCAGTAAAACCAGTAATCAAAGGGCATTCTAGAAATATACAAACATCTCTCCAAATTTTATGAAAAGTTATACTCACAAATTTTATAATTTTATTAATTGAAGTAAGAGACTAAAGAAAAAGACAAAAAGCCACTTTGTGGATGTTTTATTTCATTAATAACAATCCTCTCTGTGGAGCTCTCTTTCTGTGTCTGTCTCTCTCTCCTCCCTCCCCTCAACAACAACAAAAAATATCTCTTAATAGCCTTGTTCATTGTTCCTTTCACTAACATAAGGAATTAACACCAGTTGATTTTATCATGAAAAGCCCCACAACTCCTGAATGCAGCTATCTAATATTATCGCTGTTGAAAAAATATTTCCTTTTAAATCTACTTTTGTTTTCTGTACCATGGGTTAGCAAAACTTTTCTTTAAACAGCCAGATAATAAATATTTTAGGTATTGCAGGCCATATCACTGCTATAACTACACCGAATCTTTCCTCGTAGCACAAAAGTAGCCATACACAATACATAAATGGATGAGCATAGATGTTTTCCCAGATAACTTTATGTACGAAAACAAGTTTGCAACCCCTGCTCTAGATCATATAATGTGAAGATCTCCACTGAGTATAATTGTAAAATATTTAATTATCAATATGTGAATCAGTAAATTTATAAACTATGGTTTTCTTTTTCCCCAGTAGCCAATACTCAGACAATTCTGTCATTATCTCTCATATTTGCCATGCTGGTAGGTTTTCTTCTAAAAATCTGCATAGGTTTTATTTTAATTCAATCTGAACTTTAAAATAAAATTTAAGTTCTAACTTCTTTGCTACATTTTTGTATTTATACTTGTACTTCTCGGTAGTCTTGGTTTCATTGTGGATTTTCTCCAAGATCCTTTTCTAATTCATAGGTGTTATATTATTTCTTTTCTACTTGTTAATAATTTTCATTTTTATAATAAGATTTTAAATATCCTACAAAAAGTTGATTATCTCTTTTCCTTTATGATATTACTTTCTAACTCCTTAAATTGATTCTGTGTGGAAGAATATCAGCTGTCTTCAATCAGGTTTTTAAGTTTTAACTCCTTTGCTTCCTTTCAGGGGAAATATGTGCTGATATAAATATGACAATTTATTCTCAGTTATAATTTTATTACTTGAAATAGGAGACAAAAACTAAATTTTATTTTCTGTTTTAAAAAACACCTTTAATGACAAAAGACCTTGGAAGTTCAGCAATTGTAGTTTTTACAGCTTTAAATCACCTATCATACTCAAATCTTTTTGGCCTCCAAGTATATAAAATCAACTGAGCCTTTTGCTTTGTCATATGCAAATATCCACAGTATAAATCAATGTGCTTCATGATATGTAGAAGTTACAGCTTCTGAGATATTAGAGAATCATGCAGCAAAATAAACTCTTTAGTTCTATTGTTATTAAAATATTTAAAATGTTCATTAATTCAGACCTCAACAAATTGGATATTAAGTCAATTGCCACAAATGACTATAGAAATTATTTTGTTTTCCAACTAACTGTATTGACAGATTAGAGAGGAAATTAAATATTTAAATTGATTTCTTACTCGAGGCTAATCTTTCCAGTTGTCATATTTTTCTTTTTATTTGTAAACTTCATTGAAGTATAGTTAATATTAAATGAAACACATCAATTTTAAGAGTACATTTTGATGTCTTTATATGTCTGTCTGTAATCATCATCCCAATTAAGATATAGTACATTTCATCATGCTAAAATGTTTCCTCCTGCTCCTTTACAGTAAATTATAATTTTCATACCTGACACAGCCAACTACTGATCTATTTTTTTCTATTCCAGAATTTCATTTCAATGAAAACATACAGTATGCATTTAATAGTGCCTGAATGCTTTTATTAAAAATATATATCTGAGCCTCATGCAAGTTGTTGGATGTGTCAGTAGATTGTTCCTTTTCATTCCCAAATGTGTTTTGATATTTAAAGTATTTTTTGTGAATAGAATATAATTAGATCTTGTTTTTTTAGGCAGTCTGACAATTGCTGTCTTTTGGTTTGTATGTTTAATCCATTTATATTTAATGTAATTATTGATATTGTATTGCAGTCTATATCTTAGTATTTCTTTTCTGTTTGCCCCATCTATTTTGTTCCTGTTTTTCATCTTCCCTTTTTCCTTCAAGATTACTTGAATACCTCTAGTATTCCTTTATTCCTTTTTATCTTCTCTACTGATGTTTTTGTTATATAACTTTGTTGCACAATATGTTAGTTGTTCCAGTGTTTGCAATATATATTTAGACCTTACTATAATCTATTTACAAATAATATTATGTCACTTACCTATACAACAGTGTATTTCTACACTACTTGTCTTTTGTGTTATTTCTATCATATAATGTACTCCCACAATGATATATACCACTCAAAATACTGCTTTTACAGTGGTATATATTTTTTGAGTGGTAAAAAGTACTACTTTTTATCAAAACAAACAATTGTATTTTAGAAAGTTTGGAAAACATAAAAATTGTTTATATATGTTTATACAATGGACAAATATGATTCTGACTTATCTGAATCTGATAACATTTTCCTTTATCCCAAAGAAGTTCAAGTAGTACAGGTTGGCTACTGCTATATATTTTTAACTTTTTTCTGTTGTAAATGGCATTATTTTGCCATACCTTTTGAAAGATATATTCACTGTGTACAGAATTCTGGCATGACTAACCAATTTCCAATAGATTAATAATTTTATTTTATTGCCTCTGGCTAAATTCTGTCTGATGAGTATTCAGTAGACATTTAAATTTTTTCCCCTAGATGTAATGTGTCTTTTTGCTTTGCTACTTTTACAATATTATTTTCTTTGTCAATGGTTTTCTGCAATTTGATTATCATGTCTCTTAGTGTAATGCTACTTGGGGTTCATTAAATTTCCTGGATTTCTGGATTAATTTTTAAAAATCAAATTTGAAAAATTTTCACATATTATTTTCTCAAACATTTACCTAACCACCCATCTTTAGGATACTTGAATCACATATGTGTTATGTTACTTAATTTTGTCCAAAAATCATCAAAATTTTAAATTTTTTCAGTGTTTTATTTTTTGTTCTTATGTTTTAGTTTGGATAATTTCTAATGTCATATTTTCAAATCTACTTAAGTCTTACTTGAGAAAAACTAATTTCCTATTAAGTCCATCCGTGTCAGATATATAGTCAGGTATATAAGTTCCATTCAGCTCTTTAACCTTCTATATTTCTCATGATCACATTATGCTTTTCTTAAGTACTTGTACGTATTTACTTAGCTCTTTTAAAGTTTTAATGTGCTAATTCAATTATCCCTGTCATTTTTTATTCTGTTTCTATTGACTAATTTTCTCCTGATTATGTGTCACATTTTTTAGCTTTTTTGCCTATTTAGCAATCATTGATTGGCTGCTGGAGAGTTTGAACATCGTTGGGTGTATGAATATTGTTGCCTTTCTTTAGTGTTTGGTTTTGTTCTGCAAACCATTAATTTACTTGCCAATCACCTTAGTCTTTTTAAGCTTGTTTTCACACTTTGTTAGTGCCCATCCAGTGTAGTCTTTCATCTCCTCTTAGTTTAGTCCGTATTTTAAGGTATGGCATTTCTGAAGCATCCTCTGAATTTTCTGGATGTTGGATGAGATGTCTTTGAAACTGTGGGACCTCAAATGTATCTCAGTGGATGTGAACTTGCAAGCTCAGGCACTAGTTTGGTTTATAGCTCCCTCGTAAGTCTTTACTCCTAGAGTTATTTGCCTGGCTTCGTAGAGTGGCACACTTGGCATATTAATCTTAATATTTAGTCAGAGCTTTAAGTGAGGCTGTTTTAAAATTTCTGGATATATCTTCCTCTCTGTAGCTATCTCCTCTATAGTAACATGCTCTACAAATTCTAATCATCTCAGCCTTTTTAACCTCAGGAAGACTTTCTTGTTCCGCTTGGATTTCCTTTCCCTGTGCATTGTTCTGCAAATGATTCTAGCAAGAAAGCCTGGCAATTGTAGGGTGTATTAGATATGTTTTTTTCTTCTTTCAGGGATCCTAGGTCTGTTATGTCTGTTGTCCAAAATATGTGAAGAATTTCTTTTCGTATTGCTTTTCTAATTTTCTAGGGCTTTGTTGTTGTTGTTTGTTTGCTTTGTTTTGCATTAATGGCAAGAGGACTAATTTAATATCAGTTTTTCAACCTTGGCCAGCAGTTCTTATTACTTTTAAACTGTTTTATTAATGTGATATCAACTTTCTTTTCACTTTCTTTACTATGAAAATTCTTATGGTTGTTTACTTGGTATAACTGTTGATAGCTTTATATTGTGACACTTTCCAAAGAAGTATGTGACAGAGCTCCTGTATGCCTCTCTCTAGACTCAGGGTTCTTGAGAACAAAGATTGGGGACCACTGTTTCAAAAGCAAAGGTCACCGTTGTCAATTTTCATGCCTTAGGACTGATTAGAATGGATGGAAAGTCTCAAATAAAAAATCTTTTAGAAGTTAGTATCATTTACTTTCCACTTTTTTTGGAGGTTTCTATTACATATGCAATCTGTTTTCAAAAAAACAGTAAAAATAGAAGAAATTAGTATAGCAATTGCGTTAAGATATTTAAGAGTGATTAAAACCTATCGTTCTGACTGGCAAATTGGATAGAGTCAAGACCCATCGGTGTGCTGTATTCAGGAAACCCATCCCACGTGCAGAGACACACATAGGCTCAAAATAAAGGGATGGAGGAAGATCTACCAAGCAAATGGAAAACAAAAAAAGGCAGGGGTTGCAATCCTAGTCTCTGATAAAACAGACTTTAAACCAACAAAGATCAAAAGAGACAAAGAAGGCCATTACATAATGGTAAAGGGATCAATTCAACAAGAAGAGCTAACTATCCTAAATATATATGCACCCAATACAGGAGCACCCAGATTCATAAAGCAAGTCCTGAGTGACCTACAAAGAGACTTAGACTCCCACACATTAATAATGGGAGACTTTAACACCCCACTGTCAACATTAGACAGATCAATGAGACAGAAAGTCAACAAGGATACCCAGGAATTGAACTCAGCTCTGCACCAAGCGGACCTAATAGACATTTCCAGAACTCTCCACCCCAAATCCACAGAATATACATTTTTTTCAGCACCACACCACACCTATTCCAAAATTGACCACATACTTGGAAGTAAAGCTCTCCTCAGCAAATGTAAAAGAACAGAGATTATAACAAACTATCTCTCAGACCACAGTGCAATCAAATTAGAACTCAGGATTAAGAAACTCACTCAAAACGACTCAACTACATGGAAACTGAACAACCTGCTCCTGAATGACTACTGGGTACATAACGAAATGAAGGCAGAAATAAAGATGTTCTTTGAAACCAACGAGAACAAAGACACAACATACGAGAATCTCTGGGATGCATTCAAAGCAGTGTGTAGAGGGAAATTTATAGCACTAAATGCCCACAAGAGAAAGCAGGAAAGATCCAAAATTGACACCCTAACATCACAATTAAAAGAACTAGAAAAGCAAGAGCAAACACATTCAAAAGCTAGCAGACGGCAAGAAATAACTAAAATCAGAGCAGAATTGAAGGAAATAGAGACACAAAAAACCCTTCAAAAAATCAATGAATCCAGGAGCTGGTTTTTTGAAAGGATCAACAAAATTGATAGACCTCTAGCAAGACTAATAAAGAAAAAAAGGGAGAAGAATCAAATAGATGCAATAAAAAATGATAAAGGGGAAATCACCACCGATCCCACAGAAATACAAACTACCATCAGAGAATACTAAAAACACCTCTACGCAAATAAACTAGAAAATCTAGAAGAAATGGATAAATTCCTTGACACATACACTCTCCCAAGACTAAACCAGGAATAAGTTGAATCTCTGAATAGTCCAATAACAGGATCTGAAATTGTGGCAATAATCAATAGCTTACCAACCAAAAAGAGTCCAGGACCAGATGGATTCACAGCCGAATTCTACCACAGGTACAAGGAGGAACTGGTACCATTCCTTCTGAAACTATTCCAATCAATAGAAAAAGAGGGAATCCTCTCTAACTCATTTTATGAGGCCAGCATCATTCTGATTCCAAAGCCGGGCAGAGACACAACCAAAAAAAGAGAATTTTAGACCAATATCCTTGATGAACATTGATGCAAAAATCCTCAATAAAATACTGGCAAACTGAATCCAGCAGCACATCAAAAAGCTTATCCACCATGATCAAGTGGGCTTCATCCCTGGGATGCAAGGCTGGTTCAATATATGCAAATCAATAAATGTAATCCAGCATATAAACAGAGCCAAAGACAAAAACCACATGATTATCTCAATAGATGCAGAAAAAGCCTTTGACAAAATTCAACAACCCTTCATGCTAAAAACTCTCAATAAATTAGGTATTGATGGGACGTATTTCAAAATAATAAGAGCTATCTATGACAAACCCACAGCCAATATCATACTGAATGGGCAAAAACTGGAAGCATTCCCTTTGAAAACTGGCACAAGACAGGGATGCCCTCTCTCGCCACTCCTATTCAACATAGTGTTGGAAGTTCTGGCCAGGGCAATTAGGCAGGAGAAGGAAATAAAGGGTATTCAATTAGGAAAAGAGGAAGTCAAATTGTCCCTGTTTGCAGACGACATGATTGTATATCTAGAAAACCCCATTGTCTCAGCCCAAAATCTCCTTAAGCTGATAAGCAACTTCAGCAAAGTCTCAGGATACAAAATCAATGTACAAAAATCACAAGCCTTCTTATACACCAACAACAGACAAACAGAGAGCCAAATCATGAGTGAACTCCCATTCACAATTGCTTCAAAGAGAATAAAATACCTAGGAATCCAACTTACAAGGGATGTGAAGGACCTCTTCAAGAAGAACTGCAAACCACTGCCATGAACATTCCATGCTCATGGGTAGGAAGAATCAATATCGTGAAAATGGCCATACTGCCCAAGGTAATTTACAGATTCAATGCCATCCCCATCAAGCTACCAATGCCTTTCTTCACAGAATTGGAAAAAACTACTTTAAAGTTCATATGGAACCAAAAAAGAGCCCACATCGCCAAGTCAATCCTAAGCCAAAAGAACAAAGCTGGAGGCATCACACTACCTGACTTCAAACTATACTACAAGGCTACAGTAACCAAAACAGCATGGTACTGGTACCAAAACAGAGATGTAGATCAATGGAACAGAACAGAGCCCTCAGAAATAATGCTGCATATCTACAACTATCTGATCTTTGACAAACCTGAGAAAAACACGAAATGGGGAAAGGATTCCCTATTTAATAAATGGTGCTGGGAAAACTGGCTAGCCATATGTAGAAAGCTGAAACTGGATCCCTTCCTTACACCTTATACAAAAATCAATTCAAGATGGATTAAAGACTTACATGTTAGACCTAAAACCATAAAAACCCTAGAAGAAAACCTAGGCATTACCATTCAGGACATAGGCATGGGCAAGGACTTCATGTCTAAAACACCAAAAGCAATGGCAACAAAAGCCAAAATTGACAAATGGGATCTAATTAAACTAAAGAGCTTCTGCACAGCAAAAGAAACTACCATCAGAGTGAACAGGCAACCTACAAAATGGGAGAAAATTTTTGCAACCTACTCATCTGACAAAGGGCTAATATCCAGAATCTACAATGAACTCAAACAAATTTACAAGAAAAAAACAAACAACCCCATCAAAAAGTGGGCGAAGGATATGAACAGACACTTCTCAGAAGAAGACACTTATGCAGCCAAAAAACACATGAAAAAATGCTCATCATCACTGGCCATCAGAGAAATACAAATCAAAACCACAATGAGATACCATCTCACACCAGTTAGAATGGCAATCATTAAAAAGTCAGGAAACAACAGGTGCTGGAGAGGATGTGGAGAAATAGGAACACTTTTACACTGTTGGTGGGACTGTAAACTAGTTCAACCATTGTGGAAGTCAGTGTGGCGATTCCTCAGGGATCTAGAACTGGAAATACCATTTGACCCAGCCATCCCATTACTGGGTATATACCCAAAGGACTATAAATCATGCTGCTATAAAGACACATGCACACATATGTTTATTGTGGCATTATTCACAATAGCAAAGACTTGGAACCAACCCAAATGTCCAACAATGATAGACTGGATTAAGAAAATGTGGCACCTATACACCATGGAATACTATGCAGCCATAAAAAATGATGAGTTCATGTTCTTTGTAGGGACATGGATGAAATTGGAAATCATCATTCTCAGTAAACTATCGCAAGAACAAAAACCCAAACACCGCATATTCTCACTCATAGGTGGGAATTGAACAATGAGATCACATGGACACAGGAAGGGGAATATCACACTCTGGGGACTGTTGTGGGGTGGGGGGAGCGGGGAGGGATAGCATTGGAAGAAATACCTAATGCTAGATGACGAGTTAGTGGGTGCAGCGCACCAGCAAGGCACATGTATACATATGTTACTAACCTGCACAATGTGCGCATGTACCCTAAAACTTAAAGTATAATAATAAAAAAAAACCTGTTGTTCTACCAAGGACGTTAAGATGCCATTGAAATCGTATTTATTCTATTATTTTGTCCAGAGAAGCTTTTTATTCATTCGGAACAACTATTATAAACTTTTATGCTTTCTCTTATATGCTTCCAATTTTCCCCTTATATTGACTTTTCTTTCCCTTAATACTACTATCTTTCACTTCAATGTATAGGTATCCTTTAACTCCCTTTGTTATAGTCAGTTACAGAGGTTTGTGATGTTTGCCTAAAGGCTTTATCTGAATCAAAAATGAAGCATCAGTAAATACCCTGTGATCTGGTCACTAGAACCTAAGCCATTGAAGGCTAATTTCATTTGCCCCTGGAAATCTGCAATATGTGGAGAAAAACATGTAAAAGGAAGAAAGCAAAGCACAAAGCTACACAAAATCATTTAAAAAACTTTTACACTGTTATTATACTGTATTAAGATTTATACTGTGATACTGATGAATGCCTATAGTCAGAAAGAACAATTTAAAATGTCATTTATATTCTTCCTGTATTTCCAAATAAATGTGGTTTAGTCATTAATCTAAGGAGAAGACAGATATAAGCTAGAAGTCAGCTCCCTGTTGTCAGAGGATCTGAGAAAATTATCATGGAGTTCAAAAGTTAAATAAATATTTTACATTTAAATAAGTCATAGTGAATTGGGCTGAACCATATGTAAGCCACAGGAGTATTCTTTTGTCTCCCAGCCCAGCATATGTCTTAAAAATAGGCCTTCATGGATCTTTTTCATTGTCTCTCACTATGGTCTTGGTATGTATTGCCTTACTCTAAACAATAGTCAATAAAAGAGGTTTAGTGTACATTTTTTCTTGTTCAGTACTGATTACTTTTAAAGTGCTATTCCATCCTACATGTGCATATAATCCAAGTAGTTCTGTCAATCACCGTCTCTCATCTCACTTACGGTCAATCTGCTGGGCATGTGTCCCAGTCAGAAATAATCCATAGACATCCCCCTGGCAGGTCCAAACAGAGTTTGTCCCAAGGTTGCTATATGGGCATGGGAAGAGAGAGGTCTCTTTCCCTTTATACCTGCTAGGATTGGTAAGCTGGAAGGTTGTGAATGGGGCTCACAGTGGATATCTTTCCTGCCATGTGCAGATAATTTATTTGCTGAATTAAAGCAACATGAAGAGGATAGTAGAGCCAAAAGACGGAGAAAATAAACCGCACATTTAATCTCCTGAGTACAGCCATGTCTAAGCCAAATCCAGGACTAAACTTTCTAGTATGTAAACCAATGATTTCTGTTTTATATAAGGTATTTTCAGTTAGGTATCTATGAATTGCTACATAAATTACCTACTAATAAAAGCAGAGAGAGACAAAGCTTTACATTCCACTTATGATTTATAATTCTATAATGGGATTTATGTAGACACGTTGACATTCCTATGGTTGATATTTCATGATATATCTTATTTTTGCATCCTTTAATGTTTCATTTTGTTTTAGGTGTTTTTATTGTAAGTAACACAAAATTGATTTTTTAAAATGCAGTCTCATAATCTCTGAATTTTCAAAACTAAATTTACTTCTCTACATTTGTTTTATTTTCTGACTTATTTGGACTTACTTTAACATCTCATTTGAGGTCTCTTGTTTATTACCAAGTAATTTGTATAACTTTTTTTACTCTTCCTTCATCTTGTTATATGGATAAAGATATTTATTTTCTATACTCCTGTTGCAAAGATTAAGAAATGGGTCCAAGTTCACACAGCTGGAAAGCAGTGAAAATGGGATTTGGACCCATGTATACTTGAATCCAGTGTTTGTACTCCTAATGGTGAGATAATATTGCTCCTAGGGAGTAGGAGCACAGAATTTGCTTAAAACATTTGCCATGGGGGTGCAGACTCAAAGATAAACAAAAGCTACAGTATTAACTTGAATTAATTAGAGAATGATTAGTAAAGTGAAAGTATTATTTTTTAGTTTTACTTTACTGAACATGTTAAAAGTAAAAGAGAAAAGCATGTGGGATGACTGAAATAATTCTTGTTTGGGTGACTTGAGGCTTGCTGTCCAAGTAATCAGGACAACAAACACAGAGGGAGAGAAAATATTTTGAGCTGGAGGTGCCAGTGTGCCATCCAAATGGAGAAGTTTTTTTGGAAAACTTAGAAACACAGAGGGTTTTTTAGATGTTTGTTAGAAAATATCCAGTTCAGAGACATTGTCTGGACTAGAACACAAAAATGCATTATGTCTGAATGACTAGGGAGGCCATGGATTTGAATTGGGGCATGCAAAGGAACGTTACAATAAAGTAAAGCCAAATGAGGACAAAAGTTGGAACTGTAGGTGCACACATAGAAGACTGTGTTCTCAAGTTTAAATAAATTAATAGATGCGGAGCACTGGAAACAGCACCTGATATATAGAATATACTAAATAATGGTCAGTATATAGAATATACTAAATAATGATTATGATGATATGACAATGATAATGATGACAAATAATATAAGCTGGACTTTGTCATAGTTTTTCTAGTTTACAGACACTGCATTAGGTTCAAGTCCAAAACTAGACCTTAGAAAATTCATCCATTATCTACCACATGTGATAAATAATCTCTGACTCTTATTTTGACCTAGAAAAAAATGTTGAGCCTGATACCCCAACTATGTTTTGCTTCCAATGAAAGAGAATGAATACTAGTAAAGTGATGATGAGAACTATTTTCTCTCACAGTGATTTTTCAGCCTCTGCAACAACTACGCTAATTTCTAAGGCTGCTAAAATAATCTTAGATAAGTAGTTGGGAGTTTTATATAGTAGCCATATAAATTTTCTTCCGGATAAAGCAAAGTAAGATTTATCTTTTAACTTTTTTTTTTTTTTTTTAACATTTCTCATCAGGTTTCACTGGTATAATTTGGTCATGTTCAACTGTATGTGAAAAACACTTTTTCCTCTTTTCCCAAAACACATCTTCACATAGTGAAGGTAAAATTTGTGCCTCCCTGGGTATTTGGGGGAAAAGAGAGGCGGAAGGAGAAGTTGAAAGGCAAAAAGTAAGTTCAAATTGTCAAGCCACGTGGTCTGTCTGAATTTTACCCAGGAGATCCCTTTTTCTTACTGTCAGAGCAGAGATGTCTTGGGAAGCAAGAAAGACAATCCAAAGATATGGGAAAATCCCAAGCAAAATGGCAAAATGAATGATAATATTTTACAAGTTGTGAAGCAGTTTTATTCCAAAGGGCTTTTTTAGAACAAGCACAGTTTCTTAGCTACATACAGTTCCTGAGTGAGTTAAGCTTCATAACTACTGAAATAACATTGGAAGGAAATGAGATTTCTGAATTAAGTTTAATTTACATTTTATTTTTAAAGAGTAATACTTACACAATAGTATTTCAAGTCTAAATGCAAATCATGCAGACGTTTCATACTCACCTAGACTCACTCCAGACACTTCCATTTTTGTTTCATGTATCGTGTTGCTCAATTCTGATATATTTTTCTCCTGTTATTTTTGGAAAAATTGATGCTGGAATGAACAAATAACATTTAAGGATCATTTTCAAAGGACATCTCTCTGTTATCCTCAATCTGGTCATACATATCTGCTTTGCATGATATGTTAAATTGAAACTAATTAATGTTTTATTAATAGGTCCTTGCAAAATTACTCTACTGCCCATTTTTGCAGATTAAAAAGAAACTTGCTTAAAGTCAAAGAGTAATAAAATTAGGTCTAGGATGGTCTAACTTTAAAATTCAGTTTATTAGTTTGTTATACCAAATTTTTCTTGGTTTAAGGATTTTGAATGTCATGATCATAAGAAATTATTTATAACTTTATTAAATACCTCTTTGAGCATGGTGCTGTATTAGCTATTTGACACTGGGTACTGTACAGAGAGAGCCTATATGCTTTATGAATTCATAATATAAGAAAATGTATATGCTGGACTAGATACAATCTAGTCAGATAACTAGAAAACATTAAAATATGTTTATTAAGATTTTAACAAATAAATTATGAGTGCATTTTAGAGATAAATGAATACTGATTTCTTTGCATTTCATGTTTGTATCTAGTAGTTTGAGGAAAACATTAAAGCTATTTCAACAAGATCAGTCATGAAAACTTTTATGGAGTATGTTATAATTGGTATGATCTTGAACATGCTACACGCTGAGTAGTCTCATCAGGACAGTAGAGAAGAAACAGTACATAAAGCCACATAAAAAGCAATATTTGAATCACTAGGATATATATAAATGAAACGTTCCCAGTTTCATTTGTACTGAGATGTCCTAGTAAAGTGACTTCTCTTTCTTCCTTTTATGCATCTATGTCTTTAATTCTCTCTTTCCATGTCTGGATAGTTTAAATGTTAATATTGGCAGGACTTAGAAACAGGGACATAAAAAAATTAGACACTTCTTTGAGATTGTCACCTTTGAATTGGGTCAGGTGCTTTTGACATCTGGATATTATGGGGAAAGACCTCTCATAATGGTCCTGACCCAACTTAGTCCATCTGTGTCACCATTTCCAGATAGAAATCTCCCCCTTGGCATCTTGTGGTCCTCAGATAATACTTAAACTTTTGCCTTCATAACTTTAAACTTGATTTTCTTCACATCCTCTGGAATTATCTTTTTCTATAAAATAACAAAAAAATTGGAAGGTGAGGTGGCAAAAAGTCATACTATCTTAATATAGAACAATAAATGTAACTTATTCCCATAACTGTAACCCTCATAACATTAATTAGTCAAACATAAACAGTTACTTACTTCTCTCTTTCATACATAGAGTTAATTTTACAACATGAGGAAGATGAGTAAAGGTGTGTGCCTGTGGGAGAGGAGAGTAGTCAAGATTGAAATAATAATGTACTTTGTGATATGGCTGGGCTTTGTCTCCACACTCAAATCTCATCTTGAATCGTAATCCCCAGGTGTTTAGGGAGAGACCTGATGGGACATGATTGGATGATAGGGTGTGGTTTCCCCCATGCTGTTCTCGTTATAATGAGTGAATTCTCACAAGATCTGATGGTTTTATAAATGGCAGTTTTTCCTGTGCTGACACACGCTCTCTCCTGCCACCGTCTGAAGAAGGTACTTGCTTCCCCTTTGCCTTCCGCCCTGATTGTGAGTTTCCTGAGGCCTCCCCAGCCCTGTGGAACTGTGAGTCAACTAAACCTCTTTCCTTTATAAATTACCCAGTCTCAGGTATTTCTTTCTGACACTGTGAAAATGGACTCATAGCCTCAATTTCCGTTCCCTATGCATGGACCTAAGTGTTTGCACTATGAACTCATATGCAGTAATTTTATATACTATATCAGCAATTTATTGTTTACTAAAAAACTTAAGATAAAAAAATTGAGATCAAAGTAGCAGCAGTAATGGTGAGAGAAGATAACTTTGGCAAATGTTGATGAGTACTGATCAGAGAACACTTGATGAAATTGATTTAAAGAATTATGAACTCACATATGGTAGGTAAAATTTTAAAGTTGATTCACTCCGTAAGATTCCTGTCTCCTGATTATTCAGTGTAACTAACCCTGGTGTAGGTACTGCTGTGAAGGAATTTATAGATGAAATTAAGGTTATCAATCACCTAATTTTGAAAGAGTGAGATTGTCTTGTATTATCTGGGTGTACCCAGTGAATTCACATGAGCCCTTAGAAGCAAAAGTCGGAAGAGTCTGTCAGTCTGTAGCAGAAAAGATGAGGCAGAAGGTGGAGTCGGTGAATTAAATGAGAAGAACACAACTTGAAACTCCTGACTTTGAGGAAATCTACAAAGTAGGGATCAACACAACTTCTCTAGAAGCTGAGAACAAACCCAGCTGCCAGCCCACAGAAAAGGTGTTCTTAGTCCTACAACCACATGGAAATAAATTCTGCCAGCAACCTGAACGAACTTGGAAATGGATTCTTCCTTAGAGCCTCCAGATAGGAACACAGCCCTGAAACCACCTAGATTTCTGCCTTGTGAAATTCTTCGCAGGGAAAATAGTTGAGCTATGTACCTGGACTCCTAACCTACAGAACTGACAGATAATAAAGTTGTGTTATTTTAAACAGCTAAATTGGTGGCAATTTGTTATGTCAGCAACAGAAAACCTAATACACCAGATAGTCCTCTTTCTCAAAGAAAATCTGTGATAATAGAGGACAGCTGGGTGTAGAATGGGCTCAATCTATTGCAGCTGATGACCTGAAGAAGCGAAAGGCGGCTGCTGTCCCACTGATGCTACAGAGAATACTAGAGGGCTCAGAAACAATCCCACAGATAATACACAACAGTTTTCTGGTAACTGTCTAGAAAGGCAACCACTATTGATATTACTGCAGAAATAGAAATGGCTAGGTTAAGCCTCATATCCAATGCAAGAATACTTTTGCCAACATTGAGAAGTTATTAGTGATCTTGCCCTGGCCCTTTGCTTCAATATATCATGCAAAATATCCATACAACAAATTTCTGTGAGGGATGGTATCAAATCAAGATAGATAATACAAAAGGCAAAGCAGTTTTTTAGTTAGTGAAAAGAGCATGTTGGATACGTTAGATTTGAGTGGCAGAGATACCCATACCTCACTGAGGCGTCATGAAAATATCAGTGATAAAAAGTAAACAGCTTGAAAGAGAACCTGTTCCATTTTTATTTTAGATGAAAAAATAAGTTTAGACATCATTTGCTTTGTGTTCCTTTTTAACTTTACTGAGATGCAATTTGCATACCAGGAAATGCAGTCACTTTTTAAGGGAAAAAATGGCTTGAGTTTTGACCAGTCTATGAACCTAGGTAACCACAACTCCAATTAAGATATAGAACATTTCATAACCCCCAAACATTTCCTCATGAGTTGCAGTCAGTCCCTGCTACTTCACATCTCAGTCAACCATACTATTTCTCTCACTCTAGATTAGTAACACTTGTGAGAACTTTATATAATAGGAGTCAGACAATATTCAGTTTGAGGCCTGAATTTTGCACTGAGCTAAATATTTTCTAGATTATCTATGTTCTTGTGTTTATCAGTTATTTCTTCCTTTTCCATTGTTCTGTTCCTTTTTATTCCTCTGTGTGACTATACTACATATTGATTAATTTTTAAACTGTTTCCAGTTTTAGGTGATTATGAATAGATCAACTATAAACATTTGCATATGAAGTCTTTTTTATAAAGACACGTTTTCATCTTTGAGTCAAATACTAGAGGAATTGCTTAGAATTGCATAACAGCATATTTAACATTATTAGAAGCCACAAACGGTTTTCAATAATTGTTTTACCTTATTACACTCCCACCAGCTACATGTGAGAGTATCACTTGCTCTACATCCTCACCAACAACTGGTATAAATTTTTTAAAGTTCAGCCATTTTAGTATATGTGCAGTAGTACTACATTGTGGTTTTAATTTACGTTTTCCTAGCAACCTATGATATTAACCAACTTTTCACTTTCTTCTTTTATAAAGTATTTAAATGTTTTGTATATTAATTTTTATGAAGCTATTTGATTTATTATTATTGAGGTACAATTTCTGTAAGTATTACGGATGTAAATTTTTTGACAGATATGTTCATTAAGAATGTTTTCTCTTACTCGCTGGCTTGCTTTTCTATTTTCTTAATGGCGTTTTTTGACAAACAGAAGTTTGTAATATTGAAGAAATCCAATTGATTATTATTTTCTTTTTCGGTTAGTGCTTTCTCTGTTCTAGCTAGGAAATGCTTCTCTACCCCAAAGTTTCATAGATTTTTCTCTTATGTTTTTTTCTATGTTCGTCATAGCTTTAGCTCTTATATTCTGAGCAATCATCCATTTTATCAGTTAATTTTTATGAATGGTATAGTTTTACTTTTCTTCAATCAGAAATGCAGAATATCCCAGCATCATTTGTTGAAAAGATTATTATTTCTCTACTGAATTTCTGTGGTTTTTTGGTTGAAATACAAAGGCCATATCTGTGCATGATTATGTCTGGACATTTTATTTTATTCCATTTATCTCTATATATCCTATGCTAAAAGCACACTGTCTTAAGTACTGTAACTTTATATTGAGTTTTGAAATCAGAAAATGTAAGTCCTCTACATATTTTTTTCAAGATTAGTTTGGCTAGACTAGATTGTTAGCATCAACATAAAATTGAAGAATCAATTTATCAATTATTCTATAAAAGTCAAATAGAAATTTATTTGGGATTTTATTGCATCTACAGATTAACTAACAGAGAATTGATACCTTACAAATTTTGAGTCCTTCTATGCATAAACACTGCAAATAATTTCAACTATTTAAGCTCTCTTTTATACCTTTCAGCAGTAATTTGTGGTTTTATCTGTATAAACCTTGCACATATTCGCTAAATTTATACCTAAGTATTTTATGTTTCTTGATACTCTTATGATGATTTTAAAATTTCTTTCATTTTCAAAATGATTTTGCTTGGAAGTAAAATTTGTTTGCATATACTGGCCTTGTGTCATTTGACCTCATTAATTTCACTTATTAATTCCTTATTTTTATTTTTTGGTAGATTTTAGGATTTTCCATGCACACAATCATATTGTCTGAAAATAAAGATTATTTTAATTTTTATACACCTGTACTGCTTTTTATTTCTTATTAATTATACTGACTAGGATGTCCAGTACAATGTTAAATATAAGTTCATTCATTCTGTAGTGCATTATACTGATGGATTTTTGAATATCAAAACAACCTTACATTTCTGGGACAAAACTTGTCCCGGATGTCTTCCTTGTATGTGATTGTAGTTAGATTTATTAATATTTTGTTAAAGCTTATCGGTATTCATGAAATACATTGGTATTTTTTTCCGTGATATATTTGTCTAAATTTGGAAATATTCTCTACCCCTGAATGTTCTGAAAGGTTTATGTGAGACTTGAAATATGTCCTTATTAAATAATCAAAAACTCACTAGTAAAGGAACTTGGTCCTGGAGAGTCTGTGTTTATCTATCTACCTATCTATCTATGTATCTATCTATCTATCTATCTATCTATCTATCTATCTATTCGTGTGTGTGTGTGTGAGAGAGGGAAAGATAGAGACAAAACAAAATACATATAGTTTAATCCATACAGGGTAATGTAAGTTTTCTATATCTTCTTATGTCAGTTTTTTTTAGTTTATCTCAAAAATTGTAATATTTCATCTAAGTTATTGAATTAATGAACATATTTTGTTCATAAGTCCCATTATCATTTCAATATCTGTAGGTTCTTAGTGATATTCTTTTTTAATTTTGTTATTAATTTACAGTTTTTTTCTACTTTTTTGCTTCATTACTCTAGAGTTTTATGAGTTTTAGTGATCCTTTTAAAGAAAATACTTCTAGTTTCATCAGTGTTTCTGTATATTGTGCTTGTTTTCTATTTTACTGATTTCCAATGATATGTTTATTTTCTTTCCTTTTACAACTATGAGTTTAATTTATTGTTCTTATTCTAATTTCTTAAGGTGAAAATTTATGTTTTAGAACATTCTTCTTTTCTAATATAATAGTTTAAAGGTGTAAGAGTTTTCTATAAGCACAGTTCATTTGCTTCTACACATTTTAATGTCTTATATTGAATTGTAATCCCCATGTGTTGTAGGAAGGGCCCAGTGGGAGGTGATTGAATCATTGGCATGTACTTCCCTCTTGTTCTTATGATAGTGAATGAGTTATCACAATACCTAGTTGTTTAAAAGTGCATACTGCTGGCCGAGAGCGGTGGCTCATGCCTGTAATCCCAGCACTTTGGGAGGCCGAGGCAGGCGGATCATGAGGTCAGGAGATCGAGACCATCCTTGCTAGCATGGTGAAACCCTGTCTCTACTAAAAAATACAACAAAAATTAGCCGGGCGTGGTGTATACTGCTTCCCCCTTCTGTCTCTGTCTCTCTCTTGCTCCACTCTAGTAAGATATGCTTGATTTTCCTTCACCTTGTGTAAGTTCCCTGAGGACTCATAGCCATGCTTCCTTTACAGTCTGTTGAACTGTGAGTACATTAAACTTCTTTTCTTCATAAAATACCCAGTCTCAGATAGTTAGTTATACTGGTGTGAGAAAAGACTAATAAAATGAGCCTGTGTTATTAAGTGCACATACATTCAATATTGTTTTATCCTCTTAAACAACTGCCTACTTGTCATCATAAAATGACTCTAAACATCCCTGTTAAGGTCTAGAGTAGACTTACATTATAATTAGTTTAGTTGTAATTTTAATGCGTAAACCATCTGGCAACTCCACAAAATGTTTGATATGTTCCATGAGGTCTCTTCACTCTGATTTGTTAAATTCAAACTCCAACCCCATGGGAGTTCTGAAGGATTTTTATTTTATGGCTCTATGTCTATGATAGCTGTATTTTCTTTTTTTTTGAATTGGAGTCTCACTCCGTTGCCCAGGCTGGAGTGCAGTGGCATGATCTTGCCTCACTGCAACCTCTGCCTCCCAGGGTCAAGCAATTCTTCTACCTCAGCCTCCCAAGTAGCTGGGATTACAGGCGCATGCCACAATATCTGGCTAAATATTTTTGTATTTTTAGTAGAGATGGGTTTCACCATGCTGGCCATACTGGTCTCAAACTTCTGACCTTGTGATCCGCCCACCTCGTCCTCCCAAAGACCTGGGATTATAGGCATGAGCCACCATGCCCAGCCGATAGTTGTATTTTCTTAATGTTATTCTTTGCCTGGTCTTGTGCAACATATCATTCAGCCAAGCATCAAGATGGCCCTTATGCAGATCTTTAAAACTCTCTTTGAGTAGCTTTTCCTTTGTCAGTACTCTGTCTACCAAATACTGGTTCTCTAAATCTTGCTGATATCTAATTCCTGGCTGCTCAATTCAGCAATATTACAAAAACATTTTTATGTTACTTCTCCTTGGGCCAGGGCCCAGTAATTAACTCCATGCAGAAAGCCAAGGCATCCATATGACTCATCCATTGTTGTTATTTTCCCTCTATAATGGTTCACAATTCTTTGGTGTCTACTTTCCAATGAATGGAAAGAGTTGTCTCATATTTTTTTTTTTCAGTTTTATAGCTGATTTCAGCTACATGGCAAGTTCAGTATTTGTTACTTCATTATGGCTGAAAGTGGAACCTCTAAATGTTTCCACTCATATTTTCTAGGTTAACATAAATTTATATTCTTATAAATTTTGCCCACTAATCTTCATTTTTCCTTTCTCACACAAAATATAAAAATTCCATACTTCTCTTATATTACCACAATTTTTATATCTAGTAAAACACTAAAGTCTGAAATAAATAGTAGTTTTTACTTTGTTTCTGTTCATTATTTCCACCAAGTATTTAGCTTACTCTTTTGTGTTCATCGTTATGTGCTAACACAGCTCCAGTTTACCTTTGCCTTTTTTTTTTTAAAAAAAATAGATATTCTTATTCATTTTGCTCTTACCATTTTCAACTATATCCTCACCTATTCATAGCATTTCTTTGCCCTTTATTTATTAAGGTTGTTAAATTATTTTATTGAACAGTAGCAGATGTCTATTAAAACATGAACAGTAAGGAAAGATACCAAAATGAAATGGACTCACAATTCAAATAATATTTCTCTGTCTTTTACATTGTCATAATTATTAGGGTTTATCCATTCACATTTTGTAATATTTCTAAAGTAGACAGTGAATCTTGCCTTCGAGAACATTTTTCTGGAGGAAATTCCTTTCTCTAATCACAGCATTGCTATAATGAGAAACATCAATGTATAACAAAATTCCTTTTTAAAAAAATGTCGTCCAAATGCTGTTTTAAAATTGACATTCTTAAAGTAATTCTTGATGTGACCAATTATGTCAAGTGTGATTTCTTTAAGTGGTGATTTTCTTTAGGAAATTTGTAACAAGTTTGAGTATGCAAGTTCTGTCATACAGTAACTTCCTCATACTTTGGTTATTCACTATAATTCACATCCCCAATTTTCATTGCTTAGAATATATGTTTGAAAGTATTAATATGTTGAAGTAACTTCTCTTTTTAAAAATTCCATTTATTTGCATAATGAAACAAATTATAATAATGAACATTTGTTAAGAGTTCCTTTATTTATTTTATATTAAGCCCTTTACATGTACTATAAGTAACTATTCTCACTGTATATTTATTGCTTTCTTTTTCCTTTGATGAATTAAAAACCTTGCATAAGGATGTTTTCTCATCCTCTCTCTAGTCATCATATTTGGAGACCAAAAAGTCTACATTATGGACACAACTAACAACTGATTTTAGCTTCTCTATCTCTTCCATCCTAATAATTACACTTTGAATATTCACCAGCAATTCAGCATTTTGGATTTCATCAACCTTAAGATCTATAAAATTAAAAATAATTGAAACCTGTAGTAGAATCATGTAGAGAAGCTACATGTGTAATTGTAATGTGTAAATTAAAATTTCTCCTTTTCTCTCTTTCTGTTTATAAACACACACATCCCCACACACACACATACATATAATATTGCATCTTTTAACATACCACAATAGCCAAAAGGATACATTGAAAAATGTTAAGTTTGCTTTTTAATGCATTGCTTGGTTATTAATAATGTGAATTTTGACTTGGGAATAACAGAAGGAAATTGAAAGTGTGTGTCTGGAGCATCATGAAAAGACTGAAGCTGTAAATAACCGTTTGGATTGTTCTACTTGCTGGTAAACTTTAAGCTTCTGCATTGAAAAGTTTTCCTTGTTCTTGAAGATACACTTCCTTTGCTGACACCCTAATTGTCATTTTGAGTTTCTATAATTGGCTAAGAGATATTAAAATAATGAATACCTGATGGTTGATTATATTTGGCATTATTTTGTACCAAACATTATGCTAATCATATCTGCTACTTCATTTAGTTATACATAGAATTTAGGTTTCTGTAAATCTAAAAATAAGATCACATAGAATAATTACGTTTTTAATTGATTACAGCTAAAATTTTGCATTCATTTAACTGAATGAAGCTTTATACTTTTTTTTTATATTTAAGTACTTTTTTTTTTTCAAATAACAACTCCTTCATTGAGTGCAATGATTTGAATGTGATCTCTCCAAAATTCAGGGGAAGCCAACGTGATAGTATTAAGAGGTGGAGTCTTTAAGAGCTAATTAGGCCAGGAGGGCTATTCTTTCATGAATGGGATTAAGGCCTTTACAAAAAAGGTTTCATGCAGTATTCACTAGCTTGCTTTTCCAGCTTCTGCCATTTAAGGACACAGAGTTCCTCCCTTCTGGAGGATGCAGCAATAAAATGCCATCTTGGAAGCAGACAGCAGCCCTCACCACACAACAAACCTTTTGGCCTCTTAATCTGTACTTTCCAGCCTTCAGAACTGTGAGATATAAATTTCTGTTCTTTGTAAATTACCCAGTCTGTAGTATTCTGTTATAGCAGCATAAATGCACTAAAGACAGTAATTGATAGAAAGTGGAAGTGTTACTATAAAAAATACTTAAAAATGTGGGAGCAGCTTTGGAACTGGGTAATGGGCAGAGGCTGGAAGAGTTGGAGAGGCAGGCTAGAAAAAGCCAAGATTACTATAAATGAAGCTATTCCAGTGAGGGCTCAGAAGAGGTGAGCTGTAGAGAAAGCTACATTTTTCTCAGAAATTATATAAGTGTTCATGAACTGAATGTTGGTAGAAATATGGACAGTGAAGATCATTCTGGTGAGGTCTCAGATAGAAATGAGGAACAAGGCATTGGAAATTAGAGGAAAGGCAATCCTTGTTATAAGATGGCAAAGAACTTGGCTGAATTGTGTTCATGTATTTAGGATTTTGTAGAAGGCAGAACTTAAAAGTGGAGAACCAGGAGACACACACACACACACACACACACACACACACACACACACATAATTACGCTGTACCACATAGATATGCACAATTGTACATATTTTATTTTCAATATTTCAATACATATATACAATGTGTAGTAGTCAAATCAGAGTAATTAGCATATTCTTCACCTCAAACATTTATCATTTTTATCCATTGGGAACATTCAAAATCCTCTTTTCTAGCTATTTTAAAAACATGATAAATTATTGTTAAGCATATTTATGCTACAGTGCTATAGAAGACTAGAAGATACTCCTCCTATCTAGCTGCTGTTTTGTATCCATTCGCTCACCTCTCTCTATCCCACACATCCCCTGTGCTTCCCAGCCTCTAATAACCACAATTTAACTCACTAATTCTAAAAGCTTAATTTATGTTTAAGTCTCACAAATGAGTGAGAACACATGGTATTATCTATTTTTCTGTGTCCTAGTTATTTCACTAAATATAATGTCCTTCAGGTTCATCAATGTTGCTGCAAATGACATAACTTCATTATTTTTTTAAAGGATAAATAGTATGTCATTATATATATACATATGTAAACAAATAAAAATTATATCCTATTTGAATATAATTTATATATATACACACCATATATTTTTTATTCAATTATTAATGGTCATTTAGGTTGACTTTGTATTTTGGCCATGGTGAATGGTGCTTCAGTAAACATGGAGTTGCAAATATCTCCTTGGTATACTGAAATCCTTTCCTTTAGATAAATATCCGGTGTTGGAACTGCCAGATGATATGATTGAACCTGAATACTTGCCAGAATAAATCTCTAAGAAGCAAAGTGTTCAGAAGGCTGCGTGCCTTCTCTTAACTGCTTAGAGTAAAATATGAGAAGAGGAAAATGATTCAAAGGTAGAATTTTTAGTTTAAAAGTGAAGCAGAACATTACGATTTGTAAATTCTCAGCCAGACCATTTAGAAAATAAAAAAGTATGTATAGGGGAGAGAACCAAGGGTGTATGTTCCAGCAACCTAACCGACTATTTGATAAGAAGATTACCATGAATACAGAGAAGTCAGGTGCTATTCACAATGGGAGAATGACTCCAAAGGGATTTTAGAGATCTCGGAGGCTACCATATCCGTCAGGCCCAGAATACCGGTGCCTCAATGGAAGGATGGTTTTGAGGGAGGGACCTAGGGTGTCTGTGAGACCATGGGGCTCACTGCCTAAAACCATCTCAAGTCTGCTCCTTACATGCTGGCACAATGCTCCTTAGCGCTCTAGCTGTGGCTCAGGTGGGCCCAGGTGCTGCTTGGACTGTGATCTGGAAGGTACAGCCATAAATCCTGGTGACTCCTACATGCTACTAATTCTGTAGGTGCAGAGAGTGAAAAGTCTGTGGAGGGAGACATGTCTGTCTCTATCTAGATTTCAAGGTTGTTGCAGAGAGCTTCTGGGCCTAGGCAGAGACTTTGAGATAGGGGTGAGGCTGCCACACAAAGAACCCACTAGGAAAATGTGCAGGAAAACTGGAGTTGTGGCTACCTCAAAGAGCCCCAGTTTGGACAATTCTTAGTGATGCCATTGGAGGTAGGTCTGGCCCTAAGACACCAGACTTGTAGAACCACCAGCGTGCAATGCCAGCCTGGGGGAGTCACAGAAACCCAAGTCCAAACTCTGAGAGTTGTGGCACATGATCTGCACCCAGCAAAGCCATGAGACAGGGTCCCCTGAGGGTTTGGGGACCAACTCCTGCTCCAGAACATCCAAAAGGTGGAATGGAGAGTCAGGGAGGATTGTTCTTAGGCCTCAAGATTTGGTGTGATTTGTTTAGTTAGGTTTTGCACTTGCTTTGGACCTATTACTCTTTTCTTCTTTCCTGTTGCTTCCTCTTGGAGTGAGAATGTCTGTCCTACTCCTGTCCCATTATTGTATTTTGGAAGCACACAACTTGTTTGATATCACAGTCTTTTAGTTGGAGGGGAATCTGCCACAGGATGATTTGTACCTTGAGTCTCACTCATATGATGCTTAGATGAGACTTTGGACTTAAACTTCAAGGTTGATGCTGAAATGAGTTAAGGCTTCTGGGGGCTACTGAGATGGAATGAATGTATTTTGTGTGTAAGAAGGACATAAATTTGAGAGGGTCAAGATCAGAGTGCTATGATTTGAATGTTTCCCCTCCCAAATTCAGGTGTTGCCGATGTGATAGTATTAAGCGATGGAATCTTTAAGAGGTAATTAGGCCAGGAGGGCTCCTTTCTCCTGAATGAGATAAAAACCCTTATAAAAGAGGTCCCACTAAGTGTTTGGCTAGCTTGCTCTTTCACCCTCCATCATGTGAAGACACACTGTTCCTTCTCTCCAAAGGATGCAGTAATAAGACACCATTTCAGTAGCAAAGGGCAGTGCTTCTTAGACACCAAAACTGCTCACACCTTGCTCATGGACACCCCAGCCTCTAAAACTGTGAGAAATTTCTGTTTTTTATAAATTGCCTCACTTGTGGTATTCTGTTATAGAAGCACAAAGGGACTAAGACACTAACGTTTATATTACAAGGCTCAGTCTCCAAATTACTGTTTTTGTTTTGTTTTGTTTGTTTTTTTTTGTTTTCTGTTCCTTAAGATTATTCTTAAGGGACTTAGATTCTTTATATCAGGGATCTCCAACCTGTGGGCCATGGACTGGTCCAGGACGAGGTCAGTGGTGGGCAAGCGATTGAAGCTTCATCTGTATTTATAGCTGCTCCCCATCGCTTGCATTACCTCCTGAGGTTGGCCTCCTGTCAGATCGGTGGCTGCATTAGATCCTCATAGGAGTACGAGCCCTATGGTGAACTACACATGCGAGGGTTGTAGGTTAGTTGTTCCTTATGAGAATCTAATGCCTGATGATCTGTCACTGTCTCCCATCACAATGGGACCATCTAGTTGTAGGAAAACGAGCTCAGAGCTCCCACTGACTCTACATTATAGTGAGTTGAATAATTATTTCATTATATATTACAATGTGATAATAATAGAAATAAAATGCACAATGCATGTTATGCATTTGAATCATCCCAAAACCATCCCCGTCACCCCTGGTCCATGGAAAAATTGTCTTCTATGAATCCAGTCCCTGGTGCCAGAAAGGTTGGGGCTCACTGCTATGTATAACTGGAGTTTAACTTTCTATGTTATACTTTCTGAGGTACAATCAAATGTATTATCCAAGGTAACATTTATTTCTCTACATAAACTGTTGGATTTGTATTAAAACTATGTATTTATTTATAAATACCTCTCTACAATAGGATAAAAATGAGTATGTATCTTTTACTCAAAAGATGTGGATTCCAAAAGTAATGAAATCTTACTGTACTAGACTCTCCTAAGAATGAAAAAGCCAGTAGAAAAAAAGATCTAAAGATGTTTATTTACTATTGTGGAATTAATGCTTCAGTTGCTTTCTGAATAAAACCAATATCCAACTGCAAAATAATCTTAGATGCCGCACTTGCCTTTTGTGTTAATTTCATTTGTCTTACAAAAACAGTTAAATAGTGGCATTATTTTCACCTTACATTATAGATTAGTCATCAGGACCAAGAATCCTATATAGATGAAATAGGCAATGGCGACCCCTTATTAAAGATTATGAACGACCATCTCTACCAGTGGAAATTATCTAGTTGTCTAAAGTAGAGGATGATTACCCACATCATTTTTATTTCTATAAGCCCTGGGAAACATTTTGATATGAGTTAAAAGTATATTTTGTTTGACCAATCCAAGTTTCTTCTTGATCCAAATGGTTTGGTTATAGTAGATGTAGAGTAAAACTCTTTCTTAGCTCATTTATGAGTCAATATTATAGTGATCCAAAAGATTACTCCCCCATTCTTCAGTGGTACCTGCAGTTCCTTTTACCAGTAGCAAAGACCTTTTTAATTTCCAAGTTAAGCAGAAGTTTAAAGGGTCTTATCACTGACTTAAATGTACATTAAAACATACCACAATCCCCTTGATTGGTATTTACGGTGGAATTTTAGAGAACAAAGTCAATAAGTGAACATTGACTGTTTACAAAAGGGAGTGAGGAAAAAAACTGGGCTGAAGCAAACTATACTCAATTCAAATGTTTGCCCATAATTAGCTCTGTAAGGTATCTATACCAAACTCTTACTAATTTAAGTTCAGGTAGATCAATAAAGCAGCATTTTTCTGTCAGTTTTTTCTGTGCTGAGTTTGCATGCAGTGACACAAAAGTTAGTGGCATGGCTGGTAACTAGCCATATCCCTGGGAGTTGGGTGCAGAGAGCCAAGAGGAGACTAGACACCATGAAAGTTACTGTTTTCTTCTTTCCAGGTAAGTGTCTCTGGGAGCTCATCCCTGGGGCTTTCCTTAGACAGCTGCTCCTCTTAACTCCCTCTCATCCCTCCTCTAGCACAGGACAGCAGCCAGGCATTAATGGCTAAATGCTGGGAACACCATGGTGCGTGATGGTATTCAGACATCCTTATCCTCACATGCTTTTGCTGTGCAGTTCATTTTTTAACAAAGGACTAGAAACGAAAATGTGGATGTGAGTGAAAGAGAAGAGCAGGGGGTGAAAACCCACTTTGTAGCAAATGAATTACATTCAAAGTCAATTTTTAACTAATTCTTCCTGTGGCTATTAAAAGAGCTAGTGTTATATGGAGTCACAAACCAGTCCCCAGAAAATGAGTATCAGTGAGAGATCCACTTCTTAGGCATAAAGCTTCCTCTTTAGAGAAAATCATTCTTGAAGTCCGTATATTAAGTGAATTCTCAGTATTCTAAGGTAGGTTTAAAAAATACAACAGAAAAGAAAGAAAAACTATCGGATTTATCCACCTTAAAGGACCATAAATTGACCTCCTGCTCATGACAGAGTACTCAGTCAGGTGAAAAAAAAAACCAACAACAACAACAACAACAAAAAAACAACAAAGAAACCCTTCATAGCCAACAATAGAGATTGCTTCAGTTCAATTTCTTCTGTTATACAGGATCTGAATTCATGTTTTAACTCCATAATACATTTATTAGAATAAAATTCAGGAACATTATCGAATAACTGGAAATAAATTCTAGCATCCATGGCCACAAAACATTTTTTATAACTTATTTGCCCTAATGGCTATAAGCTTTTCTATTCCCTCCCTCCCTTCCTCCCTTCCTTCCTTCCTTCTTTCCTTTTTCTTTTTCTTTCTCTTTATGAAAGGCCTTCCCTCAAACTGTGGAATGTATTAGAGAAAGCTAAATATTTTTCCTTAAAGAGCTTTTTACTAATGGTTTCATTTATTAGCCTTTACCTTTAACATAAGGTCTTACACCCTTAATTGTATTGCAGTATACAGTACCTCTACTTTAATTGCACCAGAAAGGAAAGTCTTACAAAAGTGCCTTTATTTCCACAGTTATCTAGTCTGTGTAGTAACTGCTGTGTAGAGACTTCTTGGAGGTGACCTCGTCAAGATACGCACATCTTGTCATCACCAATCCATAGGAGAGTTTGAAATGGGCTGTGAGAACTTGCAACATTTTACTCAGTGTCTTGGGAGACGCCATTTTCCTGACCCCTTAAATTTACTGTCTTTATAGACAACTTGCTCTGGGAAAGGGGGACTTCAGAGTTAACTCAGCAGCTTTGGCAAATGAATGTTCCATGAGAGTATTACTGCAGACCCCAAGAGGGGACATTAGTCTAGCTCTTCATCAGCAGGGGTGAGAAAAAGCTGTCCTCTGTGTTCCTGGATAGGCAGACTTATTCTGATAGGAGTTTCTCTCTGGAATTCAATTCTCTGAAATTCTTAGTGCTCCCAAAGTCAGACTTGTCTTTAATGGAAATGGGATAAGGGGAATCCGAAAATGTCAAGAGCAGAGTTTTATTTTTCAAGGAGATCATGGGTTTACAAATTGGAAGAAAATAACAATTCCTTTAAGTAGAAATAAAGCGCAATTGTAAAAGTCCAACACATTGCAATTTGACAATGTGCACTAACTGATAATGCCACCCACTTGACTCATTTACCAATTTAAGGTTATTTTGTAATCTCCCTGTGAGCTTCTCAACATAATAGAAGAACTCTGTAAGAAAGTGTTTGTGTGTATTGCCCTAAAACAGCAAATCACTTCCTGCAATGCTTAAGAAAATATAGCTAACAACTCCTTTCCTTACCCTTTACATAGCAATGATGTTTGTATACCAGTAATTGTTTTTTACAAATTTGAATGTTGATGCAATGTGTGGGTAAACAAAATGAAATGGAAATTTCAAAATCATATAAATAAAGTTAAAGAAAATAATTAGGAACAAAGGAAAAATATGGGTGATATTGCTGAAAGTTTTTAAATTCAAATATAGTGACTATGAAATCTGAGTAGAAAAATATTCTCAATATTTGATAATAAAAGTATTGAAAAGACATAGTCAAATTTACTTAACTGTCTATTCCTGAGTTCAAAGTTTATAGCCACTGAAGCCATTCTAAAATAATTTTGTCTTTGTCTACCACTACGAAAGTATACTGACAATAATGAATGATAAATGTAGAATGACTTTATTCATTAAACTTTCAAGCTCCTTACATTTTATAATTTTTAAAATATTTAATTTTTGGATATAGCCTTTTTTATTTCAAGTTTTATTTCAGATACGGGGGGAGATGTGCAGGTTTATTACATAGGTCTATAGCATCCAGGCAGCTGGCATATAACCTAACAGGTAGTTTTTCAACCCATGCCGCCCACCATCCTCCATCCAATAGTCTGCCATGTCTGTTGTTCCCATGTTTATGTGCATGTGTGCTCAATGTTTAGCTCCCACTTATAAGTGAGAACATGTGATATTTGGCTTTCTCTTCTTGCCTTAGTTCACTTAGGACATATTCTAAATGCACTAACTAGAGAAAAATTTTGATGGGAACGTCTATCTATACTTACAATGAATATTGTAATGAGTGCTAAACTTTCTCATGTCATGATTTTTTTAAAACATTCATGAGAGCAGACTAATGAATAAACCACAGTATTTTTTAAGATGTCCAATAATGATCTCAATCAGAAAAAAACAATTGCAAAGTGCTTACTCATTACTGCGCTGTGCTTGGTGCTTTAAAAAGAGATTTATTGAACTCTAGGAACTTAAAAATCAAGTGATTAATTGTCATATTGGTTTGGTAATTTTTTATGCTGCTGATTTTTTAGAGCTTTATAGAACATATAGCTTGTGGCTTGAAAAAAATCTGTAAGAACAATGAGACGTAGCTCTCTTGGCTCTGAACAATTTTAAGAGTGGAAAATTCCTTATAACATGAGAGAAACTGATCCATTTATGAGGAGGTGTGATGGGAAGCCTCTCTTGATCTAAGCAATGGGTAGAATTTTATTTTCTAAAGCAATCACAACCACTTTACCATACCTTGTCCACTTTTACAGTGTTTGAATCCATTTGTTTAATTTATTCTCCTATATTTCCAAAGCTCTCACGTATTTTAATCTATTTTTACATTGTCTCTTGTATTCTGGTAGGAATTAATTATCAGAGCTTATACCCTATTAGTTTCTGTAAGTTGAAAACTTGCCATTTGATCTTTTTTCACCATGTAATCTATCAGTGCTTCCAGATATCGCCTATGCTTTTCTTTTTTGGCTCTTCTTGTGCTCTCCTCCCCTACCTCCTTAACCCCTTAAAGTTATTTGGACCTAGACATGTTTTTTTTTTTTTTTTGGGCTTGGACTTCATTGGATTGGAATCTCTATTTGTCCTACTTCTTTCCTTCTTGGGTTCAACTTCATCTCTACACACTGTTTTGGGTTTGTCTTTCCGCAGTCTTCCACCCATTTCCATAGTCGCAGGACAGCCCCCCTCACCCAATTACATGCCAGCCTGGTTCAAGGAATCTGACTTAAGTCAGAGCTCAAACATTCTAGCTTTCTCAGAAAGACTTATGCATATTTAGTCCATGGGTTCCATATCCCAGGCGCTTCACTTTGTCCCAGTCTCTGGACCTGAATAGGTTAGTGGCCTAGGTATGCCACAGGTCTAGCAAATTCAAGAAAAGTGGAGAGGGCTTCCTGCTTAGCTGGTGTGTGTATCTCTTCTGATTTCCCATTGAGAGTCTCATTAGACTCCCACTCTGGCTTCTCACAAAAGATTTCCCATTAAAAAGGTTCAATTTTGTCTAGGTACGGTGGCTCATGCCTGTAATCCCAGCACTTTGGGAGGCTGAGGTGGGAAGATCATGAGGTCAGGAGATTGAGACCATCTGGGCCAACATGGTGAAACCCCATCTCTATTAAAAATACAAAAATTAGCTGGACATGGTGGCACGTGCCTGTAATCCCAGCTACTTAGGAGGCTGAGGCAGGAAGGAGAATCACTTGAACCCCGGAGGTGAAGGTTGCAGTGGGCGGAGATAGCGCCACTGCACTCCAGCTTGGCGAAAGAGCAAGATTCCATGTTAAAAAAAAAAAAAGGTTCAATTTCAGGTTTCTGCAAAGTTCCTGTGTCAAAAAGTGCCCCTTAGAGACAGGAGAACTTATTTAGAGCAGGGTTCAAAGTGGTGAGAATGCTCAAGTCACTAGCTGCTAGACCTAGGAAAATTCACCAATGTTGATGATCTTCCTTCTCTCTTATGTGATGATATACTACGATGTAATAAATTAAACTTCTAAGAAACCAATTTGAGCCAACTTCCTGAGTGGACAATGCCTCATCTTTAAGTAGGCCAGGCTGTTGCTTGATTATTGGAACATTCATCCTATCCACATTGAGACCTTTTCTGTGACCCTTATCGATGTGAGATGAATACACATACTATACTCAGGATATGAAAGAGGGTAGTGTTTTTTGGCCCATACAGGAACAACAATAGAATGACTGAGGTCTATATTTTTGCTTCAAGAAGTCTTCAAAGGTATCTTACATAATAAACATATGTGTCCCTGGAATTTCTGACTTTCTAAAAGCTTTTCTGAGCTCATGACCTAGCCCCAAATAGAGGATGCTGAGAAGCTTATACCTTTTGGGATTTATATTGATGCCTCTTACTTACATTTATTGGATGAAACATTCACTGAAATAAGGACACCTAATGGTTTCTACTCTTTTACTCACTAAATGGGACTGTGATTGGTTGGATCTTACTCTCAGATTGAGGTTATTAGAGACAGCATAATTGGTAGCTTTGAGGATCGAATCATAGTATATTGGATGCAAATACCTAATCCAAGACTGAATTCATATGGAGGAGCACTGCTAGTGGATAGTTTCAGCTGGAGGTAGGGGTTATGCTCATGGAAGTGATCCCATCCCACTGCATATGGCGGAGCAAATGAGACCCATGACATGTAATTCCTCACGGAGTGTGACCTTTCCTAACTGGAAGTACACTAATTCTGATCTCATTCCCCTCCATAGTTATCCATTCAGGCTGAAACTTTTTAGGCAGCTATAACACTGTGGGTTTATATTGAGTGTGGGGAAACTAAACCACCGAGTACTCCTATACATAATTTTCTGTTTCTCCATATCTTCCTACATCATGTGCTTATCCAGTAGTTTTTTTCTTTAAAGTAAAAATTTTACAATTATCACTGGTCTAAAAAGAGATAATTAGAACCAGAATTCAGTCACCTATGACCAATCCTTTTCAGCTGCCTTCTGTTAAACATTCTTGTACTATGGTCATTTCCCTTTTACATTTAATCTATACTCTTACTCACACATTTTGTTTGTATTTTATATGCTTTGAATTTGTGTCCCTGCCTAAATCTCATGTGCAACTATAATCCTCATTGTTGGAGGATGGATGTGGTAGGAGGTGATTGGATCAAGGGAATGGATTTCCCCCTTGCTGTTTTCATGATTGTGAGTGAGTTTTCACAAGATCTGGTTGTTTAAATGTTTGTAGCACCTCCACCTTCTCTCTCTTTCTCTTGATCCTGCTACATAAAATATGCCTGCTTCCCCTTCACCTTCCGCCATGACTGTGATGGAAATGGTGGACGATCAGCAGAGGATGCCATCTCACTGGCTGCAGCAGGGAGGTGTGGCTGGGACCACGTGCTCCATGGAGCTGGTGGGAGCCCTGCCCTCCCGGGCACAGTTGCTGCTGCCCAAACCATGGCTGCATACTCAAGCCTCCTGCTCCATGGAGCAGGTGGTAGCCCTGTGACCCCCCCCCCCATCCCCCTTGCTCTGTGCAGCTGCAGCAATCCAAACCGTGGCTACAGGCCCAGGCATCCCTGCCCTCTTGGGGGCCCAGGAAGGCCCCTTGACCTCTCAGGCTCAGAAGTGCCTGCTCCCACTGCCTGGCTTCTCCTTGCTGTTGGTGTGTGCTCCAATCTTGTGGCAAGGTCGAGGCTGCACCCAGGCACTGTCATAGCCCAACTGGGTGTGAACATGCTCAGGGCAGTGCTGACATGCAAGCCCCCTGCTGCTTTGGTCCCCTCTGGATATTGGGTTCTGACAAGCATGAGAGAGAAGCCAAGGGGTTGCTGAGAGCAGCTTGGCATCGGCCTGAGGATGCCCCTTGGCAAGAACAGCCTAGGCACCATGAAGAGAAGGCAGAGAGGCTCCTGGGTGGAAGGGGGCAGGTCTCTGGTGAGGCTCAACCTTCAGGCCAGGGAGGGCCTGAAGTCTGGGGGCTGGGCTGCCAGTCCCATGGACAGGAGTGGGAACTTGTGGTGCCTTTTCTGGGCCTGCCCATGGACCAACTGGTGTGTACTTCCTCCTCTCTGAGGCCCATAAAAGTCCTGGGCTCAGCCATAGCTGAGTAGATATTGGGATGACCAGCTACAGAGGGGCTACCTGCTCCAGGGCCTCCTCTCTGCTGAGTGCTGGGAAGATGACAAGATAACCTACTTGCTAACAGGAGCTTCCCACTCCAGGGTCTCTTCTCTGCTAGGAGCTGAACACTCACTGGGACATCCTGGTTGTGGAAAAGAGCTGCCCCCTGCAGGAGATTGAGCTGTTCTATTGCTCAATAAAGCTCCTCTTCATCTTTCTCACCCTCCACCTGTCTGTGTACCTCATTCTTCCTGGTGACAGGACAACTTGGGACCCCTCTTATGGTGGGGCTAAAGGAGCTGTAATACAAACAGGGCTGAAACATGCCCCTTGCTAGCCACGTTGCAGATGAAGGAAAGCACTGTGGCCCTTTGGGGAGCCCAGACCTGGTAGTTCCCTAAGCCAGAGCTGAGGCTCCTTCTTTGGGGTCCTGCAGTTCCTGGTGTCTCCAAGCTTCCAGGTGCCACTGCATTCCCTGTTGCCAGCTGCCGGAGCTGCATGCTGTTTACCTGGTCCAGCCACAGCCTCACAGAGAGCTGGCATCCATGCTGCCACCTGGAGCTGTCAACCCCATGGCAGCAGGTGGCATGTCTGACTGCACAGTGGCTGGACCCCACACTCACTGTCACACCCCTTGCCACTCTACACCTGACTCCAGTCTTCCTTGGAGGCATGAGATCAGGAACGGTAGCATGAGCTGAGCACAGCCTGCCAGGCTGAGTTGGCAGAATGAGCCCAGTGGGCCTGATCAAAACTCAGGCAAAGGTGCCACTGACCACAGGTTTCCGGCAAGAAAAGCAACACCCCAAGGATCCTGCAACAATTGTAAGCTTCCTGAGGCCTCCTCAGCCATGCTTCCTGTATAGCCTGTGGAAATGTGGGCCAATTAAACCTCTTTTCTTTATAAATTACTCAGTTTCGGGTACTTCTTTATAGCAGTGTGAGAATGGACTAAGACAGGATCCATGTTTCAGACTTACATGAGTGATATTTCTTAGTAGTTGAGGTTGATTAGAGAAGAAATCCTCAATTGTTTCCCATGTCATTCAGTAGGTAAACATGAGGTTCTTGTGGCATGATGCTGTCCTATTCTAGTCAATGTGGACTTTGATGGACTTTGATGTATGGTGTTAAAACCATTTCTGCAGATTCCTGCTTTCAGATGGCCAAGGGATGAAGGAAAATGGTGTGGCAAAAGTTGCTTTACCTTACATTTCTTCAAGTACTTATTTATCTAGTACCAGCATTCCCAACAAAATAACCCAGTAGTTTCATTGTGGCACCTTACAGATAGACACTTTTATCAAAGAAAATATGACTGCAATATTTTTGACTATCCATCTTGGTGAAATAAGGAGGAAAAAATTGAACAACTATGTCAGTGAGAACCACCAATAAGCAAAATTATCCCTTGAAAAGGCTATAATGCTCAGTCATGAGACTTTGAGGTCAGAGTTACATTAAACATTTGCTCAATTTGATCACTTTCCCATATGTACTCAGGCAGAATAGTTTCAGGAAATGACAATAAAGTATTTCTCCAAGGTATTTTACTTAAAATATATTCAAGATGACAAGAATTGTACAGCACTCTCACTGACAATTACTAGCATACAGATGATTCCTTATGAAAAGGTAATAGACTTTAAGTATACTATAACTACTTTTAAAACTGCTAGCACCTCATGAGAAAACTTTGAAGAGTTTATTCAGAAAATTCTGTTTGGCTTATATTCTATTGCTCTTCTTTTTCTTTTTATTGATAGAGACAACGATGTAATTATGAATTATTCCAAAGGTTTCATACATATTTTGTAACTGTGTCTTCTTACTCTGTAACTATCAAATTTTCTCAATTCTATACAATCATAGAATTAAGTTTCTTTCCTTACCTCCTATTGCAATCACTTTCTCCATAACAATGGAAATTCAATAATATCTTGTGTTATATTTTTATAATTTCACTTACAGTTATGTTCTTTTATGTGCTTTCTTTATAGAATATTTTTCTTATGACTGTCAATATCTGTCCAAGCAGAAATTATATAGATCATCAATAGCTAACAAAGTATCTGACACATAGTTGGTGCTTCTTAATAAATGTTTGTGGATATAATTGCTTTGGATTATATTTTGAATAGTCTTTATCTGTAACATTCTCATAATGAGATTTGTATTGACCCTTATTTCCCACTTCTCACCCTTTAAATTTTATTTTTATAGGAGTTGAATATTTGGGCATTGCTATTCCATCACTGTTATGGATGATTCTTTCCCTGGATAATGTTTAAGAGCTTAGACATTGTTGTTCCTTTCTCAACAAATAACATAGTGTTTCTTTGAAGGCATTGTGGCATAGGTCCTGGGCAATTTTCCAAGCCACTTGGCTAAATATTTTTAAGTTTTTCATCTATAAAAAATGTCATATAGTAAACATAATAACTAATGTTATGCAATCACTAGAATCAACTTAACCATCTTCTTAACCCCCACCATCTTTATTATGTTTCATTTTACTGAAGAAAGGAAAACAACCTTTAGCAAATATTCTCAGATTTTGGTCATAGACATAGCTTGTCATGAAAACCAAGTAAAGGGACTGATGTTTCTTTTTCACACTCTGCCTGATTTCCATTGGACCTATAACTAATTTCTTTTATGACTTGGGCATGTGGACCAGTTCTATTTTCATGGATTCATTAAGTTGTCAAAAGCTAAGGGCAATGACTTGACAAATCATCTTCAGGAGAAGGTGAGTTTAAGAAACATATTTGCTTTCATAGCTTCACAGTTAAAATAAAGAAAGAGAAATGCATAGTTTATGGCCTGTTGTCGTGGTAAATGAGTTTTTGAAAGCTATTATTCAAACTGCACTTTTTTCTGTATGGCACAGATTTAAATACTGCGACCCAATTCTCTCATATTTCTAATTTCAACTCTCTGGGCATAGTAGTTGCAAGCACCATGTTCTAATATACAACTACTCACTCTACCTACACAGTGTCAAACATTTAATCTTATCTTTGGAATAAATTAGACTCTAAAATATCTGCCACCTGTCTTTTAGAGTTTCAGGTTCTTGAAGATTACATAATTACAAAATTGTTTATTTATTTGTGCAAACTTTCTTGAGCCCCTTCTGTGTCTAAAGCACTTTACTCAAGGTAAGGAACATTAAAATAAAGATGCAGCTTCACCTAACAGCTCTCAAAGAACACGTATCCTCATAGGAGAGCCCACTTGTGTAGTGGATACAATAATAACAAAAATTTGTACAATAGCAATTATTTTATTATATGTGTGTGTATGTCCTCATGAACTCAGCTAGAGGAACTTTAATTTTATTTGTTTAAATGTGGTTATAGTGAAACCCCATTCTACCAACATGGTGGCAACTTTGTGGCAGTTTGGCCTGGTTTGGGCTGGGACTTCCTCCTCCTTTTCCGGAATTCAACTCTGTTCTGGGAGGGCTTGTGTAGTGGCAGAGTCATAATGATGAGGAGTGGGAGGCTCTTTAATCGTCATGTATCTCTGCTTGAGAAAAGCTGCAATGTATACCTTTAAAACAACTATTCCAGCCAACAATAATAGATCACATATGGAAACTGCTCATAATCTTCTCATCTGAAGTAGTCACTTTCTAATTTTCCTGCTTTGAGAAAGGCATCTTCTCACCCATGAGCATGTAATACTAAGTGATGTAGATGTTACCAATTTACATTTGACCATATTATGCTCAAAACTACCTATCTATTCTGAGTTAAATACTGGAGACTTGCATCTAGAATAATCATTATTAGTAGTAGTAATAGTAATAATGGAAGTCAAAGTCATGAAAAATTAGGTCATATTGTTGAATCCCATTCACTCAGTGGGTGCTTTGCCCCCATTGTCTCTATGTTAATACGTCAAGTTTCCTGTTATCTCTAGAGAGAATGTTGCCAACACTGCTTTCTAACCTTGAGGGATTAGCACATTTTGCTGCACTCCTGTCTACTCACCCCTCACATTTTGAATTAATAATTTATTAATAAGCCTTCTTGACTTATTCAAGTCCAAAATAAGTCCCTCTATTGCTCTATCTGTACTTTTACATATAGAACATGTATTTTGGATTACAATTCTCTGTCATCCCAACTAGATAGTAAATTCTTGGAAGGGACACACTTTATCATTTGTTATGTTTTATTTACTTCTTCTTACCAAATTCTTGACACGTAGCCTGGGATAATGGAAATGACAGTGTAGACATATTTTTTCACTTCCAAAGACAGGTATACCTTTTTCTATCAATTACAGGTAAAATTTTAATAAAATTTAGTTGTCATCAGTATTATATGGAGCTAATGAATGAGTCACACATAGGGTCCCTATGACCATTTGAAGGACCTAGTTCAACTGATCCACGCTATGACCTGGTCACATGTGAAAAATAGACTGCTCAAAGTAAATCTCAAAGATTCACTTTTATCAGCTGAAAGAGAACTGATACATATGTTACTGAGCAAGAGGATTTGGAAGCTCAGCAGCAATGCAAGTGAAACTGCAGCTGCCTGCCCAAACACCATTACAAATCACACATAAGCTACCCAAGGATGTCAGCCTCCTGACTGTATCAGGTCATGAGAGCTGTCACAACAAGGGCTCCCTAAGCAAGCAAGCACCAATGTACGGAGATTAAATGCTGTGCTTAGGAGGACTGCCCATCCCTTTCCCTCAGTCATGTTAAGGTCCACCTCCTTCTCCATAGGAACATCTTCTGCAGCTGACAGTATCTGTGACTTTTTTTTTAAAATAAATTATATCCACATATCTTTAAAATTGGACCAACTTTCAGGTAGCGTCTGAAATATGTTAGGTCAACTCAAGGGCCTGAAAACAGGTCTTATTTTACACAATGCCACTCAAAGTTCTGAAATTTATCTTTGATCTTTGGCTTTACTTATTTCCTTCAGTTCCCTTCCTTTTTTTTTTTTTTTTTTTTTTTGAGACGGAGTCTCACTCTGTCGCCCCAGGCTGGAGTGCAGTGGTGCAATCTCAGTTCACTGCAAGCTCTGCCTCCCGGGTTCAAGTCATTCTCCTGCCTCAGCCTCCTGAGTAGCTGGGACTACAGGCACCCGCCACCATGCCTGGCTAATTTTTTTTAGTACAGACGGGGTTTCACTCTGTTAGCCAGGATGTTCTCGATCTCCTGACCTCGTGATCTGCCCACCTTGGCCTCCCAAAGTGCTGGGATTACAGGCGTGAGCCACCGCGCCCGGCCCCTTCAGTTCCCTTCTGTCCACATAGTTCTATAGAGCATTCTGCGATAAAAGTGGTCATAGGCCTCAGAAGTACCTGTCTCAATTTTTCCTCCTCCTCCTTGCCCTACCTAAGTATTAGCTTTCCTCTGAAAACTATAATTTCTTTATGATCTTATATAGGGATGTTATTCATTTTTTCACATATTAGAATGAGAAGGTTAATGGACTCAAGTACAATGCAGTTTCCAGATGATTTTTCAATGTACTTCTTTTTAAAACAAAGATATACAGAAAACTGGTTTGATATTTGTCTTAGTCAGCTTGGGCTATGATAATAACATACCATAGGCTGGGTAGTTTAAACAACAGACATTATTTCTCACAGTTCTGGAGGCTGGAAAGCCAAGGTCAAGGTATGGTCAGGTTCAGTTCTTCGTGAGGGTCCTGTTCCTGGCTTGCAGATGGCCAGCTTCTCCCTGTATCTTCATGTGGTAAAGAGAGGAAGCTCTGGTGTCTCTTTCTCTTGTAAGGACACTAATCCCATCATGGGGGCTTTATCCTCTTGACCTAATCACTCCCCAAAACCCCATTTACTAGGGCTTCAACACACAAATTTTGGAGGGACATAGACGCTCAATGCATAACAATATTCATGCTCCTTTTACTAGATCTCATGCTTGCTGGTACCTACCCACTTTCTGGATTCTCCACTTAAAGGCAGTTGGTCTACTGGAACCATCTTTCTCTTCACCTAAGGACTTTTGTCATTATCTCATATGATTCTGATATCATGATCAGAAGCCTGATATAAATGACTTGATCATAGCTGTCATTTTAAATTTCAAAACACTGAAATTTTACTGCTAGTTAGCTCTCTGAAGAAAATGGCATCTAATGATTAGCAATGTCCAGCTGCCGTATCTTTTTAAATAACCTAGAAGTGAAACCATTGCTGTTCACTTAGAATCCAAAGTCCTATGGTGAAAAGTTATTCCTTTAAAGAGAATGTGTTAGCACCTGCATGGTGTCAGCATTTCAAAATGGAAACGTATCTGGTTTTATTACTTTGTAGGTTAGAATATTAAGAACAACTTCCAACAAACTAAATATTTTTATGTACTTCATCTTCAGATGATCCAAGATACCTTGTTGGCAATAGGTCCATTATCACCTCCTGCTTAAAACATTTAGATTTTACCAAGGTAGATATATATAATATATAACAAATTGATAGAAATAAATACTAAAGAGAGAAAGGGAGATAGGACATATCAAGGGTAGGGGAAAGTTGAAGTTGTAGATAGGTTGGCCAGGAAAGGTTTCACTGAGAAGATATATTTTGGCAAAAACCTAAAGGAAATGAGAGTTCACCATGTAGATATCTGGTGGAAAAGCATTCTAGGCAAAGGCACATCCAGAGGAAATCCCAGAGGCGTGAGGAAGTCAGGATGTTGAGGAGTGTCTGGCGGGGGGCAGTGTGGGGAGTGAGATGGACTAGGAGGAGATGAGGCCAGACAATAACAGCAGGCCAGATCATATGAGGTCTTTCAGGTTATGGTTAAGAAACTGGCTTTTTATTTTCTGAAAGTTAATAAGAAATTAAAGGCAACAGTGGTAGTTCACATATTTAGGGATTAGAGCCTCAACTCGAGTGACAAGAATGGAACAGAAAAGAAAGGCAGAGAGGCAAGAGTGATTAACTGAGAGTGCATATCCCTATTTCTATGCAGGTCTCCACTAAGGTTAACATGAATTTCTTATACTTTGGCCTCATGTCTTTCAGTAGAATAACCAATAGTCAAGGAAGGCTTCGGTCCTACACCTTGGTCATCTTTGCTGCTGTGTGTATGCTGGACTGACGGCACACCTGACAGTGTCATGCTGTGTTATGGTTGGAATTGCCTGTAAAGTGCTGTAATAAAATTCATTCAACGTTCTTTAAAAAATAGGCTTTCCATGTATCATGGCTAACTGAAAACTAAATGAGCAGGGCTAGTCTTTATTTATTTATTTATTTAGACAGAGTCTCACTCTGTCTCCAGGCTGGAGTGCAGTGGTGTGATCTTGGCCCACTGCAACCTCCGACTCCCTGGTTCAAGTGATTCTCCTGCCTCAGCATCCCAAGTAGCTGGGATTACAGGCACATGCCACCATGCCCGGGTAATTTTGTATTTTTAGTAGAGACGGGGTTTCTCTATGTTGGTCAGGCTGGTCTCAAACTCCCAACCTCAGGTGATCAGCCCACCTCAGTCTCCCAAACTGCTGGGATTACAGGTGTGAGCCACAGGGCCTGGCCAGAAAAGATAATTTTTGTGTTTTTAGCAGAGACGGGATTCACTATTTTGGCCAGGATGGTCTCCATCTCCCAATCTTGTGATCGATCCACCCAACTTGGCCTCCCAAAGTGCTAGGATTACAGGCGTGAGCCACCACACCCGGCTGAGCAGTGCTAGTCTTTAATAATTATTTATTGCAAAACAAACATGCGCGCACACACACACACACACAGTTATTTAATTATTTAACCATACTAAGAACTCTATTAAAAATCTAGACCACAAATTTGTTTTCACAAATGAAAACACCTTTTTAGTCATGTCTATTTTCATGATTGATTTAACAGTTTTGGACATCAGGCAAGAGTTCTAATATTTTGTATAAAAAGATAAAATATTAAAGTTTTGAGCAAGGATATCATGTTTTAAAAGGAGTGAGGATAAACCCAAGTGTTCAGATTTATAATCTTGTCAGGAGGATCTTCAATGATCTAATCTGATTCTAAGTGTTACATATGCAAATAAAAATAAAAGAATTAATATGATAAATATTTTTCCTCTTATTGGGTGTCTTCAGTTATTCTTATTTGAATTAAGTTGTTAGTTGTGATGTCTACGGATTCCAAATTACTGTCTTACTAGGATGTATATTCTTAGGCTCTTTCTCTCTCTTTCCTTCCTTTCTTCCTTTCCTCCCCCCTCTTCCCTTTCCTCTCTCTCTCTGGATATCTGTTTGTTTTGTATAAACATATTTACACATGTATATATGCACATATATGAATTTTCTACTTAAAATGTTCTTAATAATTTAGTTTGCAACATTATGTTGATACATTTTGTTTCCTCCTCTATATTTTTTTTAGTACTACAGGATCTATACTTAGATACCAAAAGTTGGAATAGCTGTCTGAGGATAAACATTATATTAAATCAGCCCTACATATTTAAATAAATATAGAATCTAAAATAAGATTTGGAAAAATAAACAAAAAACAAACACACAAAACACTAAGCACTGAAGATTTGACTTAACAAAATAGCTCAAGATAATAAAATAGTGTATTTTATTGAACACATTATCACCTCAAATTACGTAGTATTGAGCACCTCCCCCAAGTTTTGGTGGTGTTAGCTTTAAACTAAATTAATCTAACCTTTAAAAATTATATAATTAGTGTTTCATTTATATTAGCTATAATGATAAATTACACATGCATGATTCCAGCTGTCTTTTGAGCTTATACTATAAAATGGGAACAATGCATTTACTATGTCATCAAATAAATGAATATAGAATTATACTTAAGGTAATTTTTGTGAGGAAATGGTGTATGATACGGTGAAAACAGAAGAAAGGGGTATATTTGAGAGGAAAACCGATGCCTCTACTTTGCAGTCAAACACACACAGATTGTATTTGAGGTGCTTTGAGAGGATTCACACAGAATTATTTATAGTTATGCAAACACATACATATCAGAATATAAGGAGAGACTGAGAAAATATCACAGGAAATGGGTTCTATCAATGTGATCAGCCTCTTACTATGTCTGGGGATCTTGGTGTATATTGTATATCTACTTATTTATAATGTTCATAATACTCTTATATTTGTAAAATTACATACATATTTATATATTGAGTATATATGTTAGATATAATTCTATTATGATTAATAGAATTTTAAGGGAAAGACAAAATACAAAATATATTAATATATTTAGTAAGAGAAATATACATGCTATATTCTGGTTAATTCAAACTCTCAAATGTTCAAACTCATAATAAGTTGTAAAAAAGACAACTGATATACATTATTATCAGTTTGAGAAACTAAAATATTCTCAGTCATCTTAAAATAATTATGCTAAATGATACTGTAACCTTTATGTTCAGAATCAGCGAAGTCTTCGGATAATATTTTGAAAGTTTTTTAATAGCAAGTGTTAAAACTAAACAAATTTTCTTTAAAAAATGAGATTATTCCAAATAATCTAAATGTCTAATTACCAGGCCATCCCCTTCTATATATTTAAGAATTTAGTTTTCTTACTTGATTTACCTTAATTTCAAAATTGACATTAGTAATTTTCTATGTCTACATAGACCTCTTAATCTCTTTTAGTAGCCATTATGCTAGTATTTATTTATCGAGTACTTCTCTGCCCTGAAGTTTAACCATGGGATATTTTATTATAGGATAATTTTTTTTAAATTAGTTTGAATTAGTGAAATGTTTGAAACAATGCTTGTTCTTTGATTCAGGGATAAGATAATACTATATGTGGATTAATAATTTTTTGTTGTTACCTGCTACTTTAATATGCTACTTCCTTTAAATTAGAAGATAATATCTTTACTGAACAAATAATTGATGGAAAGTATTTTAGAAGAAGTATATTATTTTTGGAAGATGATATTTAAAATAAGAAAAATAACAAAACCAAGAAAACATTATCAAAATAGAGGAGAAAACATATACTAAAATAACAAAGCTAACTCTTCTTGGCAGTATTCTTATTTGAGGTATACTAAATTTGTACTTTTGACATGATTTTCACATATCCAAATTCAGCCTTGAATATTTTTATTTAAGAATCTGATGCATTTATTTTAGCAAATTATGTGGGCTTCAAAACAAAAATTAGCATGACATAATTATTTGTATGTCTACTTATATACATTGTTTTCATCTGTTTCTAATCTCCCACTCCAAAACACACACACACACACACACACACACACACACACACACACAGTAACTGAAATGTTAGGAAACTTCTATCGAACAATAGGAAAATAAAGTTATGTACCTTCTAACATATTCAGGTTAAACATATTATTTAAAATAAGAAATAAAATTGTGTTTTCCAGAAAATTTAAAAAGCATCAATGTGAAAGCTTTGCAGAAAATTCCTCATGCAAAACAATGATGAAAAAAGAGTAAGTACTTGAATGACAATATAGAAAATAATTAAAACCAGAGAATTAATCTTCGTCTTCACACACACTGGCTGATGCTAACACAATTGCAGAAACCATGTATTTAAAGCTACATTTTACAAAACCTCACTGGCACAAATCAATAGAAAGCTTTAGTGGCTAGAATGTGTGTAATAGTAACAAGTAGAAAGGTTAGTGTAGAAGTTAATGGTTCTATCAGGAATAAAACAGAGTTAAAATGTGAAGGAAAGGTCTACCACAAGTGGTTCATTAACCTTTTAGAACCCCAGTGTATCCTCTCTGTAAAGATTACAGCAAATCTGACTCAGACTCTACCAGCATTTGCTAATGCTCCATCTCAGCACAGAACTGTTTAGATTTCTTATGGTAGAATTATTTTCATTACAATTGCACGTTACTGCTGAAATTAAAACAGCAGGACTAGACTCCAGAGGGTATCAGTAAGCACTCACCATGGAGTTATTTTGTTTTTGTTTGTTTCTTTCGAGGTCTCCTTTTATATCTGATTCAGCTTCAGACTGACCAAAAGTGCAAGGTCCAATATAGAATTATCTTGTGGTCACAGTCATGTTTTTCATGGGTAGCTGTACTTCTCTTAGAATTCTGTTAATTTTCAGCTTGCTTTTTAACATTCATTGAGTGTTGAAAAGGGTGAGGAATTTTTCCGACCCTCCCTGAATCGCTGAGAAATATAAAATAATATTATTGTCTTTGTGCATAAAAATATATTCCATGACCTCTGAATCACTTGGCAAAACTGTTTTTGGAGAAGGGCGATAATTTGACTTGCACTGTAATAATTCAAAGTTACAATTATGGTAACAAAAGCCACAATTTGAACACATTGGCATTCGCAATGATTTAATGCCTTTCGGTGCGATTTATTCACAGTGTTGTCCCTTATCTTTCATAATCTCCGTTATTTTTTGACCTTAACAAAAGAATGAAAGGAAAACCGCATCCTTGCCTTCCCTTGTTACAGCATCCTTCCTGCTTCCTTCCTCCCTGCTCCTTCTTTCAAATCTTTCTTGCTTTTCTTTCAGCAAATTTCAGGGTAGAAGTTTAAATGAGCAGCTGCCACAGCAGGCACTGCCAATGTTCTCTGGCCAATCAACCAACAGGGGGTACTCTTGTACAGTATGCCTGGCTCCCCTTTGGAGACAGAACTAACCTCTGTGACAAATTCAGAGTCCACCAGCTTGGAGCCCGAAATCCCAGACCATACATTCCTTCCAAATTTTCCAGTTGGTAATCTATCCTGCTGGGCTGATTTCTCTCAAATTTCCATGTAATCCAAAAATAAAGTTATTTTTTATTTCTTCTTCTGTTTTTTTTTTTAAAGAGGGGCAAATTCAGTTCATAATTAGGGGAGGAGTAGTTTTTGGATTCCATCCCCTGCATGAAATCTGTTATAAATATGTCCTGCCAAAATCCTGCACTGTAATGTGCCAGTTTTGTAATAGGTTTAGTTCTCTGGTCTTTTTCTCTAAGTCCAAATTCTCTGTCATTTTAAAACATTTTGTCCTTGAAAACCTTTTTTTTTCTCACAATTTTTTAAAGATGATGTGGTATGCATGTTTTAAGCCATCCCATCTGTGACAGCTGAAGACAAAACCGTCAGCTTGAGTTTTGGCACAACTTGGGCCTCTGTCTTGTAATCTCATTTGTGCCTGTCCTAGAACTGTTCTTATTAACCAGAATTCTTATCTCATAGCCACAGCCGAGGGCAGCACTGTGGCTCTTTGAGTACAATCAATGCACTGGCTAAAATGACGTCCAGATCTTTGTTAGAGCAGACACCATCTTTGGAATCGACTGTGATGTTGAAAATTGTCGAACCCCTTAAGCTGTCTCATTTCTTTTGCTTGAATGATGGTCTGAACTGGGCAACGTCAGAGAACAATGACTCTGGCTCTTTGAAATGTTGATTTGCATCTGTGCCATGATGTGATGAGCACATAAACTCTTTATATAGTTGGTCAATGATAATAAGGCTTTCTACAAAGAACACCATATTTACCATTTAGTTGCCATCTCGCTTGCCAGAAAGCTTTGTCCATAAACAGAGCAGACTTCATGAAGCCCAGAGTTAAATAAGAACCTTGACATAGCTGAAGCCATATCAAATTTTTGTATTTTCATTGTTCTTATTTCACGTAATTTTAAACGCAGTACTTCATCGGATGTCAAGTCACTGGCACCAGAATTTTTTAAGAGTCAAGCCTATAATCTTCTCTTTGATTTGAAACTTAGGATTTTTTGAAAGATAAACTTTTGTGTCTTCATGCTGTATATTCAATAACACAGACATCCTTTATAATACAATGATGTCCATTTATCATAATGGTTAGATTACAGGATCTACCACTCTAGACTGTTGCCTTATTTTAGCTCTGTGGCATACATAATTTATGAATTGTTGGTAACTCAAGAATGTGTTTATATCCAGAAAGAGTGACTATATAAAAAATAACTCCCGAAGACATTTGCCTATTGCTATTGAGATCTTTCCTTTGTTTTTCAAATATGGAAGTATTTCTGTCTGCAAGATATAAAACCCATGTGTTAATTTATTATCATCAAAGACATCATCTCAAAATCTGAAAGTTGAATCTAGTTAACAACTCCAATATGTGAAGCCAAACAATTGACTGATTTTTTTTTTTTTTTTAAGATTTGGAAATACAGGCATTACATCTGCTATTTTAGAACAGTTGAGCTTAGAAACAAATGCTTAAGGACATGAAAGCTATGATACTACCAGGCAAATAGTTTTCTTTGCACTTTCTCTAACATGAGGCTAATTTTATCAATTTTCAGTATTTATAAAACCTACATATGGGTTACACTATTTCTTGGGTAGATTTAGTCGATGATCTCACCCAGAAATCTTGGCTAATACACCATATATTAGCCTGAAGCTCCCCACTTATGAACTTTATTAGCCCACTATTATACAATGAAAGGGAAACAGTGCATATATGGCAATGGAGGCATCACAGTGTAAAGTAACCCTACCATCTTGTGATCATAGACTGTTTAACAGTAAGAGAGAAGTTTTAAATTAATTAGGCTCAACAATGAGAAAAGGTATTATAAAGTTCTAAAACTGAATTTTCAGATGGTGAAAAGGAGAAAAACTTACAAAAAGATATAATTTCTTTCCAGACAATTTGTTTGATGGCAAGTGAGTAATTTAACATCCAAAATAAAACAGAAAATGTTAATAAATTTATTTGAAAATGTTTGGTTACAAATATATACTATTAATCTTCAATAATTTAAAAGGTATACATCTCCTGTTTTTTCATTAAATTAAATTAGAATCCCCCTTTCTTATTTTTTTTACAGTTTTCATTATATTTAGTCTTTTTTCTTTTTTTTAATTTTATTATTATTATACTTTTAGTTTTAGGGTACATGTGCACAACGTGCAGGTTTGTTACATATGTATACATGTGCCATGTTTGTGTGCTGCACCCATTAACTTGTCATTTAGCATTAGGTATATCTCCTAATGCTATCCCTCCCCCCTCCCCCCACCCCACAACAGTCCCCGGTGTGTGATGTTCCCCTTCCTGTGTCCATGTGTTCTCACTGTTCAATTCCCACCTATGAGCAAGAACATGCGGTGTTTGGTTTTTTGTCCTTGCGATAGTTTGCTGAGAATGATGGTTTTGAGTTTCATCCATGTCGCTACAAAGGACATGAACTCATCCTTTTTTATGGCTGCATAGTATTCCATGGTGTATATGTGCCACATTTTCTTAATCCAGTCTATTTGTTGTTGGACATTTGGGTTGGTTCCAAGTCTTTGCTATTGTGAATAGTGCCACAATAAACATCTGTGTGCATGTGTCTTTATAGCAGCATGATTTATAATCCTTTGAGTATATACCCAGTAATGGGATGGCTGGGTCAAATGGTATTTCTAGTTCTAGATCCCTGAGGAATCGCCACACTGACTTCCACAATGGTTGAACTAGTTTACGGTCCCACCAACAGTGTAAAAGTGTTCCTATTTCTCCACATCCTCTCCAGCACCTGTTGTTTCCTGACTTTTTAATGATCGCCATTCTAACTGGTGTGAGATGGTATATCATTGTGGTTTTGATTTGCATTTCTCTGATGGCCAGTGATGATGAGCATTTTTTCATGTGTTTTTTGGTTGCATAAATGTCTTCTTTTGAGAAGTGTCTGTTCGTATCCTTATTTTTCTATGACTTACAAATGTATGAAAATAAGCAGTGGATCTTCAATCCTGACATGCTTAGTGATTGCTATTCATATTCAGTGTGAGGGATAATCTAAACATGAATCTATTTATCAGTCATCATGCTTTCCAGATCAGCACACAGTTCTGACTCCACTACATACTAGCTGTGTAATGTTGGGCAATATGCTTAATTACTCTGAGCTTCAGTTTTCTAATTTATAAAATAAGGATGACAGATCAGTTTTCTACTATGTCTCTTCAGATTAAATTTTTGGCTGTTTTTATCTCTCCCTGTTTACCTCTCTTCCCTCTCTCCCCTTTTCCCCACTTCCTACCCCACCGTGAGTATCCATCCATTTATTTTTCTGTCTATCTACCAATCATCTATTTGTCTACCTATTTACCTGATGTTAACACATGGAATTGAAAACAGAGGGCAAAAATATTAAAGATATTAAAATTTAAAGGTTGTCAAAAAAGAGTCAATCAATTGTACAAAAAAAGAATGAATGTAGCCCCTCTGTTTTACTATACTTTCCAACTGCTTTTTGTCCCCTCACTTTAGAATATGGTTGTACCCATTTCTATATCATCATGAGAAGACCTGGGTTTGTTTTCACCATCTAATGTAATTGATAAGGTTGGCAGCATGGACATAATGAATGTCGTTTGATAAGAGAGCTGTAACAGTGTCTAATATGCAAAACAGTATATGGCATTTTGCAAAATGTACATTTCATTTTGCTAATGTGGAAATAACCTTAATTTTTGAATTTATTCTTTATGAAGCCATAATAAGGAAGCATACCTATAAATACTTTATTCTGATATTCTTAAAACCATTTGTCTGGATTATAATGATAACGATACAAAGTGTTTCAGCACAAATACATTGGCTCAAAAGAGTTAAAAAAATATATAACTTCAATTTTTTGGCTAGAAATGATACATTTTTTAAAACAAATTTACAGTATTTATAAATATAAATCAGCTAGTGATTACTCTTTTATTTTAACTTATAGGAGACAAACAATTGGATTTACTATATTTCACAAGATAAAAAAGGATTTAGTAAATTCAACTAAATTTTGAATTTTTCACATATTTGAGCATATTCCCAAGGTTTTGAACTTGTGAATGAACTTGAAACTTTAAGTCTTAGAAAATGTATCTAAGTTATTTAGACATCAGGATATATTAATCAAACTCCCAATGTAGGTTCAACAGCATTAATCATTAATTCCTATTTTAGAAAGACAGCAGCAGAACATTTTTTCATGTGTTGATTAAAGACGACTTGACGTTGCCTATAAAGGGATCTTGTACTTATAAGTTCCTTGGAAATAGTTAAATGCAATATACCGAAAAATCATCAACTACAAATGTCTATTAATTCTTGGCCTTGATTAACACATGAAACTTACTGTAATGAGGAAACACATGCATATTAAATGAGCTGGTATTTTTAAAGTATGGACAATGCTAATAGCTATGCCAAAATCCTTTGAAATAAATGTATTTTTATTTATAAATACATTTATAAATGTATTTCAGTAAAATACCATTAGATAGAAAATTCGATACTATATCTCAATTTAAGTCAGGATAAAATTTCAAGCAATAAAAATGTTCACCATTTACCTCAAAGATCAAGGAAAAAATATTTGGAATCTTTTGAGAATTTCAAGTCTATATTCATGATGCAAACTCCATTTCTCTGGCTCAGAAAACCAAGATGAATAAGAATCCAACTCTCCGGGTTAAAATATTTTCCTTTATTCATCTTTTATGGCCATTTATCTCTATATACCTACTTTGCAGGGATCTTATAAAGATGTGTGGAATAGTTTGTTCTAAAGTGCTTAAACTTGGAAAAGTATGCTATAAGAGCAAATTATTATTATCTTTATTACTGTAACAAACACAGGGGATAATTATTTTTGAGTCAAAAAGAACAAGGCAAAGTGTGATTCTGCATCAAAAATGACATGGTGGGTGGTAAATGGTTTTCACTTCTATAAAGAGCAATACAATAATTTTCACATTGCACTGCTTATAACATTTATTCTCTGAAGGCCTTGCTTAATGTGCTCACTTTCAAAATTTCTACGATCTTTTCTTCCCCCATAAATTTGCTAACTTTTGTCCTTTGCAACACTGATGTAGGCTTAGCAAATTTTTTTAAAGGAGTTATTTTTTCTTGCCTATAAGAGAATATAAAGAACCTGAGACTTCAAGCATAAGAATTTACTATATTCTGTATTTTCTTTTACATTACAGTCTTTTTTACCAATTTTAAATTTTTACTGGCTGTTTTTCTTTGCAGTTTTTTTGTGATTACTTTTTGTTTATGTCATTATAGCACAGACTATCCTGTTAGTTTTATAAGGACATCACCTTCCCTTTTCATACTGTTCCTGAGTTTCCTTTTCTATGATGTCTGTACATACATATATATGTTTTTCTCATTTGCATTAATTTTATATATTGTGTGGAGCTGTTTGTGAGCTTTAATTGATAGCATTTCCAGTAAAAGCAGAGGAATAATTCCATTTCCTAAGCTTAGTGTTAACAGAAAAGCACAAACTAGATTTTGCAAATGACTGTAGGTGAAAACAGTAAAGGGGTTACCAGCATTTAAAGTGACAATAAGTCTAGAAGTCGGTTCTTAGTTCATCTCCTTTTTTATTCTTCTTTCTCTTGTCTTACACATAACCTTTCATTTCTCTTTCCCTTCTGATGTTTCTGCATTTGAATTTTAGCTAGACATTCACCTACATGTGCATATTTTTTTCCCACAGCTTTACTACAAATATCACATTCAGTTAAAACAGTTAAAACCCAGGGCTTAGTCAATTCCTGAGTTATTTCCTGGAAGGCACGCTCTACTCTCTCCTTTCTATAGATGGAAGTCTTGATACTAAGAAGGAAAAAAGATCAACGGGGCGTCTAAAAGATTGAAACACCATAAAATACTGTTTCTGCTGTTCCCTTTGACCACTCTGGGACATATAGCAATAAATCAATAATTCGATACTATTTTCTGTTCTATGGATTCTTCTCTGTCTCTCTCTGTCTCTCTAAGTTTCATAAATAAATAACTGCATATTATTTGCATTTTAGTCATTTTTGGTTACTGTTGAGAGGGTTCACAATAAAATCACATTCTTGCAATTTCCTTACTCTGACATTATTCAAATTTAGAGTTCTCAAGAAAGGAAATTTGATTGCTCCTGTAAGTATTCTTTATCAAGTTCTCATTTTGGAGCTGATTTATGACTCACCATGTAAATTTTCTGAGCATTTGACTTAGAGAGACAGACATATGTCAATTGCTTACTGATAGCTTTAAAAAAGGTATCATAACAACCAATAATTCCAAAGTAGTAAGACCCTGTGTGACACTGGCACAGAAACTCAACTTCATGCTAATTTCTGCACGTGGGTTATAATGAGCTTTAGTGGACCAGGGTTCTGACGAGGTAATAGGTAAAAGCGTCCCATGGAAAACATTTGTTGTAAGTTGCTGTAGCTTATATTCGTGAACTTAAGATGTTTACACTATAAAGTATTAAAATAAATTTGGTTTAGTTATTCTAAATCAATAATTAATTTATTCTGTGCGCTATGCACTGCTCTAGGCTTTTGGCATACACTGTTGAATATAACTGGCCAAGATCACTTACTTCGTGGGGTTTACAAGTTCATATAGAGGGACAGAGAAGGAGCCTTAAGTTTCTAAATAGGTAAGTTAGAGAGGAAATGAAAAGTTGATAGACTAAAGAAAAAGGAAAGCAGAGTATGAGGTTTGGAAAGTGCTAGGGGTGGGTGGGCAGGCTGAAATATTAAATAGGAGGCTCTCTCTTCTCATGAGAGAAGGAGGCTGAGCAAAACTGGAAAGAGTGAAGTTCTGCTTAAGTGGATGTCTAGGGTAAAACTGGCAAAGAGGAAACTAGTACAAAGACCCCAAGGCAGAAATGTGTTTGATAAGTTCTCTGAGCAGGAGCCAAAAGTGGGTGGAGTAAAGTGAACATAGTAGTTAGGGCGTGGTATCAAAGAAGTTAGGGATCACTGGGCCAATCAATTCTCTTTGTTGTTTACTTCAGAAAAATGTGCAGACATCGCACAGCTTTGAGGAGAGAAGTGTCATGCCCTGACAAATTAAAATTTTCATTTCATTAGAATAGAGTCAAAGAGTGATCAAAATGAGAAGCTATATCATACAAAAATGGTACCAGTATATCTTTATTTATTCAGTAGTATAAAAATTTTCTGTAAATCAAAATTTTTCCCACTTAAATGAACTAGAATTCACCCAAAAATTTGTCCTTTAGAGGAAACTTATAGTCAACCTTTTGTAAAGCTTCCTTTAATTCCCTGCAAATAATCATATCATAGTTTATATAGTCAGTCCACGTACAGCACTATTTCTAATAAAATGGTAGTCAGAGTAAAAACAATCCTAGATAATCAAAGACAATCATGTCTGATTACAGATAGATTGATTAATTTTTTGTGTGTGCGGGGTGAAGTCTGAGATATTTGTGTTTTGGAAGTTCTGCAAGTCAATTTACATTTGCCATGGACTTCTAATATTCAATATTTGTCTGTGTGCACATGTGGGTTGTGTATATGTGTGTGTATTTCAGGAAGATAGAGAGAGAGAGGAAAAAGAGAGAGAGGAAGAGAGAGAGGAAGAGAGAGAGGAAAAGAGAGAGAGAGAGGCTGCTCATCTTTGCAATTAATTTATTTATGTGTCTATTCCATTCTGTCTCTCTCTCTCTCCCCCACATAACTCTCCATCTATCTATATGCAATTGTATGCTTTAAAATAGCAGTGTCTGATTTCATCCTGGAAAATCAACACGATAAAAATTACCTGTCATTACTTTTCAGCAGGGGGAAATTAGGATACTAAGATACTACAGTCAGTGGAATGTGTTCCTTACTCCAAGCAGCAGAAAAGATAAATCATTAAGGAAAATGCAGTAAGAAAGGCTGGGCTTCTCCTACCATGCCAGTAGGTGACCCTTTTGACTCCACCTTTTGCTCATCTCCTGCTTATAACAGTGGTCATGTAAATTACCTTGTGGTCAATGTTTCTTTAGAATTGTTAATCTCAATTCATATCACTTCAATGATTCACCTTTATTCTATATAAGTTGTTACCTTGATTTTGAATTATATCAGGGCAGCAATAGGTAGATAATCATATCGTGTAACAAGAGGATACAGAGGAAATATCTACGGATAAAGATAACTCTTAGAAAAGATGTGGCAGAGTGGAACTGACATCAAAAAAAGTATATATTTTTCTTCAGGATTAGCTGAGATCATGCCTTTTAAATCATCCTAAATGTCAGTTTTATAACATGCGATAAGCGGTTCATTTTAGTTATTTAGATATTTCTGACAGTTCTTGTATTTTTGATTTTCTAAAGTATAGCAGTCCTAAACTTTATTACAATGTTGAAGTTTATTATTTAGCAAGAGGAAATTTGATGGGAAAAACTTAAGGAAGCTTTTAAATTATTTTAGCTAACTTTCTCTACTTTATATATTTCAGTTTTAACACCCTTTTGATAGCTTGTTGAAGCCAAAGAGAAAAAATACCCTACACATTTCTTTTTTAAACCTAGAAAATTCTATAGAGAATGCACTTACATTGAAAATAGTTTATATTATGTTAAGTGCATTAACCATGTGTTGCTTGTAATAAGGAGACAAGTCTAGCATATTACACACAGTTCATGAATACATGTGACCTTCCAAAAAATGACAGGCAGCTATGTTGTGAAAAGAAGATCATACATGTATTTTATCAATATGAATATTTTCTGTCAACACACTTTCACCTTGTCATGCGGGCTTTTGTAATTGCTATCCCAAGAGCTTTAATTATCTCTTAAAATCATGAATACAGTTATGTGTAGCTTAATGATGAGGACACATTCTGATAAATGCATCATTAGGTGATTTCTTCATTGTGCAAACATCATAGAGTGTACTTTGACGAACCTAGATGGTATAGCCTACTACACACCTAGGTTATATGGTATATAGCCTATTGCTCCGAGGCTACAGACCTGTATAGCATATTACTATACTGAATGCCATAGGTGACTGTAGCACAATGGCAAGTATTTGTATACCTAAACAGAGAAAAGGCACAGTAAAAATACGGTATTATAATCTTCTTGGACTGGTATTGTATATGCAGTTCATCATTGACCAAAATATTCTGATATGGCACATGACTGTATTTATATTTGCTTTGTTTCAAAACTGTTTCCTACTAATATGTTGCATTATTTTCATGTGTGGAGACAACTGGTCACTCATCATTAATAAAATGACAAGTCTCTTATCCAAGCTGTAAACGCAGTAGGTTTTAAAAACAAACTTCAAAGGATTAAAGCTCCTCTGTGATTTCCTACAGAGTGTACACATCAATAGAGTTGACTGTGTGCTGTCACTTTCTTCTATTAAGGCTAACTGAATTATCTACTACACATTATGCACTTAAACTGACAACATTCTTTTAAGAATTAGAGTTGAAAGCAAGCAAGCAGTTAGAATATTTGCCTTTCTTTTGGGAATCCAGGGTCATTTATAAAATTGAACACAGAAAAGAGAAATATACTTTCAGTTGATCTTAAATCTCATTTGTATGTAATCATGTCTTAGTTAATGGTCTTATATTATTTATTGAAGCTTAGTAATAACAGAAAACATTTCTTTTTGAGAGTGACTTGTTACCTTAACATAGCCCATGTCTTGAGTGGATTATTTTAAATAAAATGTTGTTAAAATGGCTTGAATTACATGAGTTGGTCTAAGAATTTTATGTGTAAAATAGATTTAAGGATGTGATGATATTTGAGCCATTTTTGAGAATAATAGTTTGTAAAACTAAGTGATTTCCTGTCAAAAATTTGCATGAAAGGTTTACAGATTTTATGTTCTGTAGGTGAAAGATGTTTTAAGACACAGCAACAACTAAAGACAGAACAATAACACCTAAAGAAATGGCTTATGAGCATTTTAATATCTTCACCTTAAAATAGAATGTTTGTAATTTAGATCTTATTTGTAATATGACCTTACTGTATATTTAAGCAATAGAATAATTTACTGATTGATTTGACTTATAAAATCAGTTAAGTATTTACTATAATCAAGGGGAAGATAAAAAGACAAAGTACAGTCATCGTTTCCAAGAAATTTAAAATTAAATTAGTGATGGCAAAAAAATACTATAACAAATTCTGTAAATGTGGCAGGTAAACTAAGACAAAAACAATAGAAATAGAGACGAGAATGGTGTATTTCAGGAGATATTTTGATAGTAAGACTGACAAGATTCCGTGGCTAAATAAAATGAGAAAAGGGGAAAATTAACTGTTACTGAAGTTTCTTGCTGTTATGATTGAGTGGATTGACTACCATAAGCCAAGATAATTAGAGTAAATATCTTAGTCCATTTGCACTGATGTAACAGAATATCTGAGAATGGATAATTTATAAAGAACAGAAACTTATTTATCACAGTTGTGGAGCTGGGAAGTCCAAGATCAAGGTGCTGCTGGCATCTGGTGTTTAGTGAAGGCCTTCTTGCCTCATCCTTACATGGTGGAAGGAAGAAGTGCAAAAGTGACGGACTCTCTCTATTAATGTATTTTAAGGGCAGAACCCTAATGACTTAAACACCTCTGCAAAGGCCCTACCTTCTAACACTGATACATTGGAGATTAAGTTTCCAATACTTGAGTAGGGGAGAATTAGACCATAGCAATGGTGTAATTCCAAATTTCAGCAAATGTGTTCGGATGTAGTATTCGGTTTGAAGCATCTGGAATTTAAGGTTGCTGTCGTTCATTCAGGCAGAATGTCCAGTGTTCCAAACAGTCAGGAGAAATCTGCAAAAAGCGATTGGAAATGAGTTTGTTGTTCAAGAAGGATTTGGAAGTTATCAAGAAAGAAGTGGTAGTTGAGGCCATGATTGATGTGTTTTAACAAAGAAAAGAAAAATTAATCTTGACTTGAATAAATTTTAATAGAGAATATAGTCTGAGCTTTCCAACAGAAACCCAATATGAATTTCAGAAGTAGAGAAAGGAGACAACTGTTCTAATCTTCAAAAATACCAAGTATAAGAGAGTGATTATAGAGTTTTTGCAATGCAAAAGAGATAACTTTCAAACATGTAAAAAATCACATACATGTATAGACACAATCCTTTATACACATACATGCATGTATATATATAATATACTCCATTCTTGATGATTCTAAAATGTGATTTTTTAGATATAGAGATAATTTTGATGGGTCATAATGACCCATCTGTAATCAACTGATGGTATTTTCCTTTATTTTTGCTACCCTATTTCACACTTTTTTAAAAAAAAATTATCCTGTAAGTTCTGGGATACATGTGCAGAATGTGCAGGTTTGTTACACAGGTATACACATGCCATGGTGGTTTGCTGCATCCATCAACCCACCAGCTACATTAGGTATTTCTCCTAAAGCTATCCCTCCTCTATCCCCCAACCCCATGACAGGCCCGGTGTGTGATGTTTCCCTGCCTGTGTCCATGTGTTCTCATTGTTCAACTCCCACTTATGAGTGAGAACATGTGGTGTTTGGTTTTCTGTTCCTGTGTTATTTTGCTGAGAATGATGATTTCACGCTTCATCCATGTCCCTTCAAAGGACACGAACTCATCTTTTTGCATGGTTGCAGAGTATTCCATGGTGTATATGTGCCACATTTTCTTTATCCAGTCTATCATTGATAGGCATTTGGGTTGGTTCCAAGTCTTTGCTATTGTGAATAGTGCTGCAATAAACATACATGTGCATATATCTTTATAGTAGAATGATTTGTAATCCTTTGGGTATATATCCAGTAATGGGATTGCTGGGTCAAATGGTATTTCTAGTTCTAGATCCTTGAAGAATTGCCACACTGTCTTCCACAATGGTTGAACTAATTTATACTCCTACCAACAGTGTAAAAGTTTTCCTATTTCTCCACATCCTCTCCAGCATCTGTTGTTTCCTGACTTTCCAATGACAGAAATTTCAAAAATGAAATTTTATCAATAGGAAGAGGAAGTCAAATTGTCCCTGTTTGCAGATGACATGATTGTATATTTAGAAAACCCCATCGTCCCAGCCCAACATCTTTTTAAGCTGATAAGCAACTTCAGCAAAGTCTAGTAATAGTAGTTGCTTAATAAATGAGTAGTGCATCAAATATGAACAGGGAGTCAGTACACAGTCTCAAGAAAAAGTGTGAGATATAGTCATACCTGAAGAATTAATGATATGAAGTACCTTTCTTCCATAAGGTAAACAAAAATAACAACAAGAGCCAAAATGTAAATTTTGAGGGGAAAACCTTCACTTTCCTGAATGCAATTTTTACTTATGAGGTAAAAGATTAATGCATGGCCACAAAACTCTTCATAAGCAGTATTTTCTTCCTGAAATGTAATTCTTTTTTAAAAACTTGCATGATATATGATATAGAAAAATTAAGTACTAAATATTAATAATTTTTAAAAATAGATTCATTAACAGACATTTTAATTAACTTACAAAAATCATGACAATTTATAAACTTAATACAAGGTCACCTTTTAAAAATATATTGTCAACCTTGAAATTAAAATTGCTGGACAATGTTTGTATATGTAAATATGTGCATTATGTGTCCTTAGAATTTTTTAAATCAATTTAAAAAATTTAGCATTAAGAAAATACATTGTTGGGTTGACTACATAATTTAAGTAAATCAAATAATAACCAAATCATTCCTTTCTTATAAATTGTGTGAAACCAGTGTAATATAACCATCAATATAAATGTGAAATTTCATTTGCTTGACAAATTATCATAATGGAAAAAACAATTTACAGTACTGCATGATTTGTAGGTAAGAAAGAGGTAGTAGGCAGGATAAATTTCCCTTTGTAACAACATTTAGAAGTCAATAGTTAACACTCCCAATATTGAGCAAAATTACTGTTTAAAGATTCTAAGAAAGAGGCTTAACTCTTCCATGATAGCTTTTCCAAAAGAACTTGAAAGATCACCAGTCAGGTGTTCAATTAGTAGATTGAGTGCCATCTACTAAATTTCTATGTTGAATGCAAATCTTCATCAGGAGGAATTATAAAAATGTGTATTTTGTGGTGTGACCTGTTATTAGCAAGATAGAAGTACCCACATTCCTAGAGATGCAAAATGTGATATGAATTTCCTGCTTAAAATAAGCATTGTCATAGTGAATTGTTGAACACGAGGAATCTATTATTTGAGGCTGTTTTCTCCATCGCATATCTGTGTAGCTGTTTGACTTCTTTGAAGGAAAGAATTGATAAAAAATCTAACACAAGATACTAATAACTTTATTGACTTCTATCTCTTGAATCTTACTTTTCTTCAAAATGTCATTGAGAAGATTAAGAAAAGAAAACTTACCATTCATAAATTTGTAATGTATTGAATGGTTGTTATTCTAACTGGCATGAGATGGTCTCTCATTGTGGTTTTGACTTGCATTTCTCTAATGACCAGTGATGGTGAGTTTTTTTTTCATATGTTTGTTGGCCATACAAATGTCTTCTTTTGAGATGTGTCTGTTCATATCCTTCACCCACTTTTTGAGGGGGTTGTTTGTTTTTTTCTTGTAAAGTTGTTTAAGTTCCTTGTAGATTCTGGATATTAGCCCTTTGTCAGATGGATAGATTGCAAAAATTTTCTCCCATTCTCTAGGTTGCCTGTTCACTCTGATGATAGTTTCTTTTGCTGTGCAGAGCTCTTTAGTTTAATTAGATCCCATTTGTCAATTTTGGCTTTTGTTGCCATTGCTTTTGGTGTTTTAGTCATGAAGACTTTGCCCATGCCTATGTCCTAAATGATATTGTCTAGGTTTTCTTCTAGGGTTTTCATGGTTTTAGGTTTTTCATTTAAGTCTTTAATCCATCTTCAGTTAATTTTTGTATAAGGGATAAGGAAGGGCCCAGTTTCAGTTTTCTGCATATGGCTAGCCAGTTTTCCCAACACCACTTATTAAATAGGGGATCCTTTCCCCATTGCTTGTTTTTTTCAAGTTTGTCAGACATCCGATGATTGTAGATGTGTGACATTATTTCTGAGGACTCTTTTGTTCCCTTGGTCTATATATCTGTTTTGGTACCAGTACCATGCTGTTTTGGTTACTGTAGCCTTGTAGTATAGTTTGAAGTCAGGTAGTGTGATACCTCCAGCTTTGTGTTTTTTTTGTTTTTGTTTTGTTTGTTTAAGATTGTCTTGGCTACATGGGCTCTTTTTGGTTCCATATGAAATTTAAAGTAACTTTTTTTCTAGTGATAAAATCTCATTTTTTTGTGATATATAGATGTCCATTTTTTATCCTTTGTCCTTTAAAGGATATTTTTCTCTCATTGGGTGTAGAATTCTAGTTTAGCAGCTGTTTTTGTTTAGTACTTTAAATGTATTGTTTCACTGTCTTTTAATTTTCAGCATATTTGCTTAAGCATCAGTTATCAACATCTCTGTTACTCATTTGAAAGTATTTTATATTTTCTTCAGCTATTTTCAAGAACTTTCTCTTTGTCTTTGGTTTTCAACAGTTTAAGACATGCTGAGGTGTTGTTTTTATAACTATTAGTGTTCCCAGAACCTCTTCAATCTATGGTTTAATTCCTTTCTTAAATTTTGAATATTTTTTGGTTATTGCCACTTTAAATATTGCTTACGTTCCACTTTCCTAATTCTCTTCAGGCTCCAAGTATTACTGTTATATCTTTATATTCTGCCCTATATGCTTCCTATACTCTTTTCTATATTCGCTTTTTTTTATTTTTTATTTTTTGAGACAGAGCCTCACTCTGTCACCAGGCTGGAATACAGTGGGATGATCTCTGCTCACTAAAACCTCTGCCTCCTGGGTTCAAGCGATTCTCCTGCCTCAGCCTCCTGATTAGCTGGGATTACAGGTGTGTGCCACCATGCCCAACTAATATTTGTCTTTTTAGTAGAGATAGGGTTTCACCATGTTGGTCAGGCTGGTCTCGAACTCCTGACCTGGTGATCCACCCACCTAAGCCTCCTAAAGTGCTGGGATTGTAGGTGTGAGCCACTGGGTCTGGCCTTATTCTCCATTTTATCTGCATTTAGTTTACATGTTTTATGCTAGACTGTCTTCAGTTCACCAATCCTTTCTTCTCTGTCTAATCTGCATTTAAGTAGATTTTTTGACTAAATATTACTACTTTTTGTTCTTAATTTCATTTGATTTTTAAAATTTTATACCAAATCTCTGAATCATCTCTTCGTATTTTTAATCTATGCTCTTAGTAGTCTCTACTCTTTTAACGTATTATTCATAGTCTCTTCAGACCTCTTCCCTCTAACTGTGAAATCTGGTTCAGGTGTTTTTATCTTTTTTTTTTTTGTCTTATCCTATATTATAAATTGGTTATATATTTTTTATTTAATGCAGAACATTTTATACAAAAAGATTAAGTGTACTTCCTCCTATGAAGCCTTACCCTTTCTTCTGTTAGGCAAATTGAATTGGTACTAATCAATGTATTCCGGTAATGGACAGAATTTAGAAGGGACCAGGTTTGCTCTTGCTCCCAAAGCAGACCTTCCATTTTTTTCAGGCAGATCCTAGTGTGTTTGTGTGTTGCAGCACCTTTCCTGGGCAATTCTCTAACTCTAGTTTCTTATTTCCTTAGCAGAGACTACCATCAACTCTGCCTTCTGGTAAGCTCTTTAGGATTCTACCTAAATATCTTCTGAATTTAGTAAAATGATTTAAGGGGATAGCCAGAATTCATGAGGTTTAGTTCTCTGTCTTTCCCTGGGAGGTTTTCATCTCAAGCTTCTGCTCTTGATTTTCTAATCCTATCAGCCTGGACTTTCCAGCTGCTGGTAGTGGACATCTGCCCAGGTAAGATCTGAGTTCTTAGGCTCATGTTTTGAATCCAGTAAAGGCAGATACATTCAGAGTAGAGTGTCTCAAACTGTCAGCTTAATTCAACTGGTGTTTCTTCTCCCCATTCTGCAATACTGGTTCCTAAAGTCTTGGTTGCTTCGGCCTGCTCTCCAAATGATTTTATGTGTGCATATATTCAGCAGTGTTTCTTGGTGTTTTATGTGGCAATTTTGTTCTTCCACAAGCTATTCCATCATATTTAGGAGAAGACCCTCAAATGTTCATATGAAGTTCATTCGAGAACACCGGACAAATTACATGCAGATGATAAATGTTATGTTTCATAATTCCCAACTCACAAGATTGTTTGCATTTAAATGAGAAAGGTTTAGGAAATGACATAAAATTATACGTATATTTATTGTTTTCATCATTACTAAGAAATTACCAACTTCGATTTTATAATTTCTTAGTATTCTGTGTGACATTACTTGTGAAGTCATGTTAATAAATGATAGTTATTGATTATTAAAGAACAGAAAAATAAATAGGTTGCTATTTTTAAGATTAGCTTTGACCTCCTTTTCTATGGAACTTCTGAATATGATGAGCAATATAAAAAAGAAGTTAAGTGCTTTGGAAAAAATTTAGAGAATGAAAGTGGTAACCTGCTAATCATGAACCCCTTGCGTAGTAACAGGTAAGAAAATGGCTCAATTGCCTTAGATACCAGCTTTCTGGAGAAAAGGATAGTTAGTATTGTAAGTGCATGTTAAATTAGTATAGTATATAATTTTACTCCACTGAAATATATATGAGAAGCTAATTTTTGACTATAATCTGTGGGCTTCCTTTTTATTTGTAATGAAGAAATTCTGAATTACGTAGGGTATTATCAAATTTATAATTCACATTTATATGAACACCTCCATATGAGCACCATTTATAAAAAGTTGTTAAAATAATTGCAAAATTAGTTATATCACTTTTAAAAAAGAAGAAAATAATCAAGGCATGTTCTGTCTTTACCCAGAAACTAATATGCATGCCTGCGTGAAATTAGATATGAATGGTGATAATATCTAGACACAAAGTCTCCAACTAAAGGGACTACTTTGAACAAGATCAGCTATAAAATTTAACAAATGCTGCAGACATTTACAACTCTGCACACATATAATGGAACCTGTACCTAATACTTATATTAAACTGCAAATTTTATGTGGTAAAATGCTATGCCCAATGAATTAGAAATGCCTTTATCAATCTTATGGTGAAAATGAAGACAATCAACAAAAATATTCTATTTATTGTAAAGAATAAATAAAGTAAAACATTTATGCCCCACTGACAAAAGCTCATATATGACTTTAAATAACAGGATGGATGCTGCAGACCTGAAGAAGAACAGGGTTTTCCGATTTTAAAACAACCCCAAATTTCAGTAAGAACAATGGATTATGTTTAAAGTGGTATTAGATGCTAGCCTCATTCAATGGCAGTGCAATAAAAACTTTAAAAAAATTGTTGACACTAAAGGCTCATTTTTGAGGCAGATATAGTTATTATGGCTGTAACTCATTGATTCTGTGTGGATTTCATCATGTAGTAATTTTTCTTCCATTTTAATACGACACACCATCCAAAAAGAAATAGAGTAAGTTTCATATAGCTAATTGTAAGCACTTGAATAGAGCAAAAGTGTGTTTAAACTGAGAACTGAGATAGAAAAATAATTGAGGGTAAAGCATTTAAAAATTATAGAACTGATATGCAATCTTTGTGCGATATACAAGATCTGGATAAAGCATTTAAAAATTATAGAACTGATATGCAATCTTTGTGCGATATACAAGATCTGGATAAAAATCAGAGTCATACTACCTTAGGATGGTTATGGTTATTAGTAAGGTCTGGGTATAAATGCACTAGATCAGTGCCTCCTGACCTTTTGACATAAAGTGTGATGAATGGATTGATTGCCTGATCCCACGTGTTATTGGTCTACATGTTTCATTAAGAACACTCTTTGTTTCCACTGACATTACATTTGTATTAAGAAGTTATTACCTTGTTGAGCACTGGCACTTGAAGTAACTGCTAAATGTTAGCAGAGTCTCTCTCTTAATTATCTATCATCTATCTGCTTATCAGCAATCTACGTATATTCATAAAGGAATATAGTCTGTTATGAGAAAGATAAGATATATTGATATAATAATTTCTCCCTTTCTCCTGCCTGTAAAGCCTTTTCATCAACACCATATCACCCTCTTCCGTATGTCTCACTACTCATTTTTTGTATATATTGTACAATCTATGAAAAAGAGATTTAACTTCTAGTTAAGGCAGTGTTGAAAGAGTCACAAAGATTTCTGACAGATGGAGAAGAGAGGGAATATTTACTAGTTATAGGTAGGGCATAAGGCAGAGGTTTAGGGTTTGGCATGTGCTAGGTTTCAGAGTAGATTGGTGGTACTGGAGAATTGGGCACTGGAGATGGGGTTTTGACTGGTATCGCTATAGGATATGAATGAGATGCCATCTAATGCTTTCAGGAGATGAGAGTACAGTATTTTAATTTTTTAAACCGCTATATTGTTGAAAACCTGGATCTTAATATCACCCCTGTCTGTCAAAGAAGAACAAAATAAAGAGATGGAGAACCATTTGATGATCCAAAAAGGGTATCAGGTAAGAAGAAATACACATGTGATTAGAGAGATGGGGAAAGAGGGGAAATGATTTAATATTACTTGAAACCAAATTAAATAGCAACAGAAGAGTAGGATCTTGGAGATCACCTGGAGAAATATGAGTGTGTTGTAACTCCTGAGGAGCATCCAAATCCAACACCATCATTACCTTGCCCCTTTTTAACTGTCCACTTTTGTATCTTTCAAAAGCCATTTGAGCAACTAATTGGTATCTAAAATTTCACAGGTCTAAAATCAAATTCTTGATGTCTACTGTCACCATTTTTATTTCACATTCTCATGTTTTAACTATTTCGGTAAATAGTCATTTATTTTTACCAATCACCCAGACCAAAATATATGAAATCATCCTCGACTCTTTTTCACATGCCAGATGCAATTCATCAAAAAATCCAGTATACTCTATTTTTCTAATACACCTAGCATTTAGCCATTTCTTACTGCCTGCACACTTCTACTTCTCCCTGGAGCATTGCTGTAGTTACTCACCTAGTCCTTTAACTTCTGTGTTTGCCCTGACACAGCTGTCAGAAGGATTTGTTTAAAGTATAATCCAGTTCATATTCTACTCTGCTTAAATGCATCAATTAATTTTATTTTACCTCGAATTAAATCCAAAGTCCTATCAATAGCCTACATATCTTTCATGCGTCTACTCAGTTTTTTGATACCACCTGTTAGTTTTCACGTCTTTCTTCCCCTGCATTGCCTTTCAGTCTGTCCTCACTGTTCCCTTGCTATTTGTCAGTTACTTCAAACAAACTTCTCAAGCTTTGCAATTGCTATTTCCTTTGCTTGGAAAGATCTTCCTTAAGATATGTGCATATCTCGATCCCTCAGTTACCATAGGTGAAGTCTTAAAATTTATCCCCGTCTGACGCATTATTTACCTGTCTATTTTTCCATCCCCCAACTCTATTGTAAATCTATTGATGCCAGGCATTTTATTTGACTGCTGTACCCCAAGACTCAGAATTATGTTAGACTTACAGTGGGCCCTTATTTACTGTGATATTTGTAAATGACTGAATGATTTGTTCACTAGAGCAATATTTTTATTGTATTGCAATTTTTTGTTTGCAATACAATTTTTAAAAACCTCAAAATTTTGATTCTTAAGAATAGAGCTTGCTTTAGTTTGCGTTATCCAAGAAGTCCTAGAAGCATATGACAAGACGGAATTAAAAGTACATGAAAAGTATTTAGGGAAATGCCTGAGATGGATAAGGAGTGAACCAGAGCGGGTGCAGAAAGCCTTCAGACTGAACTGCATGTCTGATTCCTCCGCAGGAGACGGGAAGGAAGTAGAATCAGGTAAGAAAAATCACAGACTGCATTGTAGTTTCAAGAAAGTGTCAACTGGGCCAATGAGGAATCTTTATGACAGTGTTGCCATTTAAAGGAGCCTAGTGTCTCACAGCAGTGGGGCTGCCTTATAAGTTCATTGTACTTAGTAATTGGTGAGAGCAGCCTGGAAAACATGGAAAACGTGACCCAGGAACAAATGTGATGGTAGATCCGGAAGGGCAGCAGCTGGGGTCATCAGTCAGTTAGCTTCCCTGCAGCAGGAGATCTTAACAGCACATTGTCATAGACGCCACAGGGTCTAGTTTCTACACCTACAGATTCTACCTCACACATGACCAAATCAGAGAGCACATGAATAATAATATTGCCACTGCCAAGGATGCTGCTCCCTGCTCTTCGCCTGTGTTATCCTATTTTCCCAGACCAATTTCAAGTCATAGAATCAAATTCCATGAAAATTTCTGCAAGCTGACCCTGTTCGTAATAGCATCTCTTTTACTAGAAATGTTAAATATATTAGCTACATTAGCTCGTATTCATTTGGCATCAACATGAATATGAATATTTAACATATGAAGGCCTTGCTCTTCCATGAAATCATAAGTTCTCTGAGAGACAATCTACTTGTTATACTTCTAGACTTATTAAATATATAACAATAACACATATTTGTAGTAGTTGCTTAATAAATATTTCATCAAATATGAATAGGGAGTCCCTAGTCAGTACACAGTCTCAAGAAAAGGTGTGAGATATAGTTATACCTGAAGAATTAATGATATGAAGCACGTTTTTCCTGTAAGGTAAACAACAATAACAAGAGCCAAAAACATAAATTTTCTAAGGGGAAAGCCTCCACTTTCCTGAATGCAGTTTTCACTTATGATGTAAATGATTAATGCATAGTAACAAAATTCTTCATAAGCGATATTTTCTTCCTGAAATGTAATTGTTTACCATATATATATATACACACACACATATATATATACACACACACATATATATATATACACACACACATATATATATATATATATATTTTTTTTTTTTTTTGAGATGGAGACTCGCTCTGTTACCCAGGCTGGAGTGCAGTGGCGCGATCTTGGCTCACTGCAAGCTCCGCCTTCCAGGTTCACTTTATTCTCCTGCCTCAGCCTCCCAAGTAGCTGGGACTACAGGCGCCCGCCACCACACCTGGCTAATTTTTTGTATTTTTTAGTAGAGAGTGTGTTTCACCGTGTTAGCCAGAATGGTCTCGATCTCCTGACCTTGTGATCCACCCACCTTGGCCTCCCAAAGTGCTGGGATTACAGGCGTGAGCCATACCAAATATATTTTTAAAAACTTGCATGATATATGATAAAGAAAAATTAAGTACTAAATATTAATAATGCTTAAAAATAGATTCATTAATGGAGACATTTTAATTAACTTACAAAAATTATGACAATTTATAAACTTAATACAAGGCCACCTTTTTAAAATATATCGTTAACCTTGAAATTAAAATTGTTGGACAATGTTTGTATGTGTAAATATGTGCATTGTGTGTCCTTAGAATTTTTTAAATCAATTTAAATAATTTAGCATTAAGAAAATACGTTATTGGGTTGACTACATAATTTAAGTAAATCAAATAATAACCAAATTATTTCCTTCTTGTGAATTGTGTGAAACCGGTATAATAGAACCATCAATATAAATGTGAAATTTCATTTGCTTGACAAATTATCATAATGGAAAAAACAATTTACACTATTGCATGATTTGTAGGTAAGAAAGAGGTAGTAGGCAGGATAAATTTCCCTTTGTAACAACATTTAGAAGTCAATAGTTAACACTCCCAATATTGAGCAAAATTACTGTTTAAAGATTCTGAGAAAGAGGCTTAACTCTTCCATGCTAGTTTTTCCAAAAGAACTTGAAAGATCACCAGTCAGGTGTTCAATTAGTAGATTGAGTGCCATCTACTAAATTTCTATGTTGAATGCAAATCTTCATCAGGAGGAATTATAAAAACGTGTGTTTTGTGGTGTGACCTGTTATTAGCAAGATAGAAGTACCCACATTCCTAGAGATGCAAAATGTGATATGAATTTCCTGCTTAAAATAAGCATTGTCATAGTGAATTGTTGAACACGAGGAAGCTATTATTTGAGGCTGTTTTCTCCATCGCATATCTGTGTAGCTGTCTGACTTCTTTGAAGGAAAGAATTGTTAAAAATCTAACACAAGACACTAATAACTTTATTGACTTCTATCTCTTGAATCTTACTTTTCTTCAAAATGTCATTGAGAAGATTAAGAAAAGAAAACTTACCATTCATAGATTTATAATTTCTTGAGTGTTTGTTATTCTATTTTCCTGATTTATAATAATCATCTGGTTACACTGGTCTTCAAAATCTTTTTTGACATTGTTCAACTGATCACTTATACTTTGCTTGGAAAGCCTGACTGGCATGTATCAGTGTCATACACGATATCAAATGACATTTTCAGCAATTTCATGTTTGTCTTGGATCTTCAATATAGACTAGTGTACATATACAAAGACACTCAATGTTGTAAGATATCCATAATTTAATACTATCAGTGTGCAAGCAAAATATACTTTATTTTGTTCCTATAATATGTCATCCTTTTTACTAAGTCTCAGTCATAATAATTACAGAATAATTTTTTTTTTTGCTTTTGTGGCTTATTTACTTGTCATTTATTATAAAATTCAATGTAGTATTATATAGAGAAAATCATATAATTCACTATGAAACATGTAAAGTGATCATTTACAATGACTGAAATAAATTCCAGACCCCTGAGAAATATTTTAAAACTTCATACCTCCTTTGCCTAAGAACTGATAAAGTGGTTGAGAATTAAAGTGTAGGGTTCTGGATTATATTTATATGCAAAGCATTTCTACATGAAAGATCTTTTAATCTAAATATTTCATTTGTTTTATATTAGAAGAAATTCAAGTTGATGATTTTAAATTGTTAGTTCTGAAGTTCCTTGCTAAAAAGATCTCTCATACAGTTCTGAACATTTTTTTCCTGTAACTATATTAAAATCTGTGTCTTTATATTGGTAAAATCAAGATTATAAATATATTTTACAGTCATTTTTATATCAAAGGATAATAGGTGTGTTCCATATTCCTTTATTTCTTAAAATTTGTAGTAGATTTTTCAGTTTCCAGAGATTATTCTAACTCACATACATCATCTATATTTTCTTTCATCCTAACGATAATCCAAAGAATTAAAATTCTGACTTCTTTTTACAAATGATAGAACTGAGGTACGGAATGTGCACACAGCTGCTTTGTGAGAAATCTTCCAAATAAACCATGTAGTCTGACTGCAGGACCAACATTCAGAGGCTGCTTTTATAAGTGTTATTTGGTTAATTTTTGTGTTTTTCTAACAAAGAAAATAACATGTGATCATGTTAGAGTTCAAATCTTGTTAGTTTCACGCTCCGTCAATAATCAGTCCTATTCTTTAAAAGTGATTGTCTTTTTAAAATATTCTTCTTTTTTTTTTTTTTTTTTGAGACGGAGTCTCGCTCTGTCGCCCAGGCCGGACTGCGGACTGCAGTGGCGCAATCTCGGCTCACTGCAAACTCCGCTTCCCGGGTTCACGCCATTCTCCTGCCTCAGCCTCCCGAGTAGCTGGGACTACAGGCGCCCGCCACCGCGCCCGGCTAATTTTTTGTATTTTTAGTAGAGACGGGGTTTCACCTTGTTAGCCAGGATGGTCTCGATCTCCTGACCTCATGATCCACCCGCCTCGGCCTCCCAAAGTGCTGGGATTATAGGCGTGAGCCACCGCGCCCGGCCCTTTTTAAAATATTCTTATTGCCATTGTCTTATGTAAACATCTTAAGCCAACATCTTTGATCTGGATTTTGTCAAAAGCCTCTTCTAATTTCTCTTCCTCCCCATTTATTGTCGCTTTCCAAATTGTCCCCTATGTGATACTAGAGTAGTCTTTGTAAAATATAAAATTCATTACGTCATTCCCTGACTTAGAATACCCACTGCTTTCAATGCCAAGTTTCATTTTCTTAGACTGCTGTAGGAGACCTCACTTCGTCTTGTCCCTGACTACCTCTCATATCTCAGCCCTCCTGACTGAGTGGACCCCACATTCACTATACAGGACAATGAACAGTTCTCAGATTTACAGCAGTCTGTCTCTTTATTCCAGTGCTTTTTCACATCATTTTTATGTCATTCACTCTTTTCTCTTGCTACCTAGCACCTGCTCATCAATGATAGCACCACCATGTCACTTATGTCATCATTTTGTAATTGTTTACTAATTTATCCATCACTCTACCTATATTTGAGTTCCCCAGAATGGAATCTACCCTTCATTTCTGAAACTCTAGTAGCAAATATTTATAATAATCATGTGTTAAGCCATTTATCCATCACTCTACCATCACTAATTTATCCATCACTCCACCTATATTGTGAGTTCCCCAGAATGGAATCTACCCTTCATTTCTGAAACCCTAGTCACAAATATTTATAATAATCATGTGTTAAGCATTGTTTAAAGAAATTCTCTGGTACACATAAATAACCCTTTCAATGGGAAATCTTACTCAGGTATTTGTATGGAATAAAGCGGCCTGTAAAACACACACATAGAGATTACTATTAGAGGTAAGTAATTCCCTTGGGTCCTGGTAATCTAGAACTTGAAGCCAACAATTTTCCTCATATACCTACTCATATACCTAATTCCTGCTCACTTAACCCATTGTGGTCCTCATAATTTCAGTGTATATTATTTGCATGTAATCAGCATATAACAAGAAATGTTTCTCAAAGCATCTGTGGCTGTGAGCTAAAATAGATGGAAATCTACAGCTTATTTAAATTGCACTTACATCTAAAGCACTATGATCAATTTCAAAATTCAGTTTTCTAAATATTAGCTTAATAAGAATAGTGTTTTCTTGAAATAATTAATAGATAACACTCAAGTCATAATAAAATAATGAGGCAGAACTATGCACATTGGTTTATAGACTTTTGAACTACATTTTTCATGTATTCCTTTTTACCCTTATCATTCATGTAGTGGATTATCTGACTTCAACAGGGCTTCTTATTTCTCTCTTCCTTACCAACTTTTCTTTTCTTTTTTTGTTTTTTTGGTGCCTACCTCTGGCTTACTTTTTTCTTATGTTTATGATAACCAGATAACTTTTATTATTTTATTTTATTACATTTTACTTTATTTAGTCAATAGATTTTAGGAAACAGGTGGTTTTGGTTACATGCATACGTTCTTTAGTGGGGATTTCTGGTGCACCCATACCCCAGGCAGTGTACACTGTACCCAGTATGTAGTCTTTTATCCCTCATCCCCCCTCCCACCCTTTTCCCAGAGTCCCCAAAGTCCATTATATCATTCTTATGCCTTTGGTTCCTCATAGCTTATTTCCTACTTGTATGTGAGAACATACAATATTTGATTTTCCATTACTGAGTTACTTCACTTAGAATGATGGTCTCTAATTCCATCCAGTTTGCTGTGAATACTAGTATTTGTTTCCTTTTTATGGCTGAGTAGTGTTTCATGGTGTATATGTACCACATTTTTTAATCCCCTTTTGGTTGATGGACATGTTGATGGGCATTTAGGCTTCATTTTTGCAACTGTGAATCGTGCTGCTAAAAACATGTGTGTGTAAGTGTCTTTTTCATATAATGACTTCTTTTCCTTTGGGTAGATACCCAGTAAGTAGGATTGTTGGATGGAATAGTCGTTCTGCTTTTAGTTCTTTACAGAATCTCCAAACTGTTTTCCACAGTGGTTGTACTACTTTACATTCCCACCAGCAGTGTAAAAGTGTTTGCTTTTCACCTCATGCATGGCAATATCTATTTTTCTTAATTATGGCCATTCTTGTAGAATGGCAGTAAGGTGGTACCACATTGTGGTTTTAATTTGCATTTCCCTGGTGATTAGTGATGTTGAGCATTTATTCATATGCTTGTTGGACATTTATATATCTTCTTTTGAGAATTGTATATTCATGTCCTTTGACCACTTTTTTTTATCAGATTATTTGTTTTTTTCTTGCTGATTTGTTTGAGTTTCTTGTAGATTCTGGATACTAGTCCTTTGTCAGATGCATAGTTTGTGAATACTTTCTCCCTCTCTGTGGGTTGTCTGTGTTTTCTGATTATTTCTTTTGCTGTGCATAAAGTTTTTAGTTTAATTAGAACCCATATATTTATTTTTGTTTTTGTTGCATTGGTTTTTGGGTTCTTGGTGATGAACTCTGTTTAAGCCAGTGTCTAGAAGAGTTTTTCCAATGTTATCATCTAGAATTCTCATGGTCTCAGGTCTTAGATTTGAGTCATTTATCCATCTTGCATGGATTTTTCTATAAGAGATAGAGATCTAGTTTTATTCATCCACACGTGCTTGCCAATTATCAGCATTGTTTGTTGAATAAGGTTTCCTTTCCCCACTTTATGTTTTTGTTTGCTTTGCAGAAGATGAGTTGGCTGTAAGTATTTGACTTTATTTCTGGGTTCTGTATTTTGTTTCATTGGTCTACATGCCTATTTTTATACCAATACCATGCTGTTTTGGTAACTATAGCCTTATAGTATAGTTTATAGTTGGGTAATGTGATACCTCCAGATTTGTTCTTTTTGCTTAGTCTTGCTTTGGCTATGCAGGCTCTGTTTTTGGTTCCATAGCTTGTAGTATACTTTGAAGTTGGGTAATGTGATACCTCCAGATTTGTTCTTTTTGCTTAGTCTTGCTTTGGCTATACAGGCTCTGTTTCTGGTTCCATATGAATTTTAGGATTGTTTATTCTAGTTCTGTGAATGATGATGGTATTTTGGTGGGGATTTCATTGTAGATGGCTTTTGGCAGCATGGTCATTTTCACAATATTAATGTTACCCATCCATGAGCATGGGATGTGTTTCCATTCGTTTGTGTCAACAATGATTTCTTTCAGCAATGTTTTGTAGTTTTCCTTGTAGAGACCTTTCACCTCCTTGGTTAGGTATATTCATAAGTATTTTATTTTATTTTATTTTATTTTTGCAGCTCTTGTAAGAGGAATTGAGTTCTTGATTTGATTCTAAGTTTCGTCATTGTTGGTGTGTAGCAGTGATACTGATTTGTGTACATTGATAATCTGAAACTTTACTGAATTATTTATCCAATCTAGGGGCTTCTTGGGTGAGTCTTTAGGGTTTTCTAGGTATACAATCATATCATCAGGGAACAATGACAGTTGGACTTCGTTTTTACCAATTTGGATGCCCTTGATTTCTTTCTCATTTGATTGCTCTTTCTTTCCCCCCTGTATTATACACATTATTTCTACAATCCAGGTATCCTGGTTTTATTATTTATTTATTTATTATTTCATTCCACAGAATAAACAATTTTAAGCAAGATATAATGAAAGGCCTCATTGAAAAGAAGAGATTTTTAACATTATATATAGGTTTTATTTTACTGTTTTGTGTATGTGTTAACAATTACTTTGTATCTTATTTGCATATTATTTTCTTTCTTTAAATCTCCATTTGCAAATGTTGCTGATGACCCTGCTTCATACACACACAAAAGAAGTAATTTGAAGAGGGAACTTCTACAACTCTTGTGACCACATCTGCCCACTTCCCTGTATCTTGCTAACCTGCTCTATTCTTTACTATCGGTGAGTTATCTGTGCATTCCTTATGCAGCTTCAGGGAGAACACATTCTCATATTTGTGCCTCTACCTCATTGGCTGCTCCTTTCTCCTCTCTTTTATTGATCTGCTTCATATCCAGAGTGCCTCATATCTCAGTCTTCAGATTGCCTCTATCCTTCTAATACTTACCTCCAAGGAGATTTTATCTGGACTGGTGGCTTTAAATACCACTTATAGATTGATGAAACCCAAGTTTATGTTTCTTGTATGAAACTCTCACCTCAACTTGAGATTTGTTTATCTAAAACTTAATTCATTATTTTATTCCTCAAATCTATTCCATTTGTTTATTTCTTAAATTTGGTAAATGGCAACTTTATTGTTTCAGTTGCTCAGGCCAGTATTATTGGAGTTGTTTTTCTCTCTCTCAGTCAATAACCACATGAAATCTTTCCACAAAGCCCATTGGCTCTACATTCAAAATATGTTTAAAATCAGACCACTTATTAGTACTTCTGTTCTTATCTCCCTGCCTAAACCACCATCTGCTTTTGCGTGAATTACTAGAGTAAACCCCTGAATCACCTCCCTTCTTTTGCTCATGAGTCCTGTGTTTCCTCTGTTATAATTATCAAGTATTATGTACTATACATAATTGTATGACTGGAAATGCAGTAGGTTTGTTTACATGAGCATCGCCTCAGACACTTGAGCAATGTATCGCACTAAGACTTAACGACAGCTACAATGTCCGTTATGACAGGTACAATGTCACCAGGCAATAGAAATTTTTCAGCTCCATTTTAATCTTATGAGACCACTGTCATATATATGTTCCGTTGTTGAGTGAAATGTTAGTTGACACTTGACTATATAGGAATATGTAACTGTTACAGTTTTATGTCTATTGATCTATTCTTCAAAAGGAAAAATAAAAAATACAAATGTATGAATGAAATAAATGCCATATATTTTGGTACAAATTAGAAAATGTATAAAATAATTATTGTGGCCATGGATGTATTTCCCTGCCTATCCCTTTATTTTTCTTTTCTTGACAAGAGTACCTTGTCTCCAGCAATTACAGTTCGGGAGGAGACCCACTTAGAATTTTATCTTCTCCCTAATAAACAGTGTGCATGTTCTACGGAGCATGTCCTTTAATTCTGGATAAGAAGAGCCCTGAAGCTGTTCTTCCTCCTGTTCTTTCCTAAGTGTGGTTTTACAGTCTCCTTCAGTTTGATGAGCTATTCCACATCAATCCAATAAATTAATTTTTTCAAAATAGTAGGAATAATTTATTTTCAATACCTACTATCTAAAGTTTTCTAACTTATTAAACATTAGTTCATAAATAAATCACCTAGTAGAATATTGGCACCCACAGTATGCTAAAAATATGTTTTAACAGAAAGGTAAGTTTTGCTTCTGTACAGAATGTAGCAATCTTAATAAGAATGTCATTCCCAGTGAGAAAATGTGTGTAATCTATAAAATCAGTACCTTTCTTTTTTTGGAGAGTGAAGCCATCAGATAGCAGTAGTCACAAGGCAAATAGGTAAACTAGATCCCAAATGGCCACAAACTCCTTAGGAAATATAACTGGGTGAACCATTAGCTAAGCATGGGAGGAAGTGTTGGGAGCCATAAAAGCAGGTAAGAAGGACACAACTGAGATTAGAAAAAATTATTGAAAGCGAATGTGAGTTGGGTTGACCATTCAGAAGGCTTGAGAGCCCCAAACACATACACAACATTCCCATTTATTGGTCGGCTCTTTTAGGTAGATCTTTACAAGATTCTCATGACATAGATTGGAGTCAGGTCAAAAAACTTGAGGAAGCCCTTCTCATTGCACAGAGTCCTAAGAACTCATCTACTCATTGAACACTCATTTCATAGGGGGAAAATGCTGAATGAAAAGGTGGAATGTCCCTTGGGAAGGGGTAGAAGAAAATGTCATCTACCTATGGAAGAAGAGCAAAAATCCCCCAGTGCCAGGAATCCTGCCTTGATTCAGAACAGGGGTCTGCTACCATTGTGAAATGCATAGGAAATCTGCTCCCATCCAACACCTTCCACTGATACAAGTCTGAGTTTGCCCATGGCAAGGAGGGCCAGGAATTCTGAGAAAGATCAAACGATGAGGCTGAGGTCCAGTGGTCTTGGTTCAGATAAAGAGTGAAGCAGGCGCAATGAGAGACCCCATTTGCCCCTATCACTTGCCTTCTACCAAACAACAGGTAATAGTTCATTGATAAGGGAAAATCAGGAGTGAAGAATAAAACTCTTTGAGATACAGCCATGCCAAAAAAGCCAAAAACAACAACAACAAAGAACTTGAGAGTGGAGTAGATTAGAAAAACTCTTTGTATTGAAGAGCCAATACTGAGAACAAAGTCTCAGCAGTCTGTAACAAGACAAATTTCATCCCACCACTGTGAGACACTGAGGGCAAAAATAACATCAAAGTGGGCCATTATTGACTAGGTTGATTCATCCTCACACATGGTCATTCTGATAGAGAAGATGTAGGCCTATTTCTACCTCTGTTTTTACTATTCATCAGACACAATTTCTGGTTTTCGCTGATATATCTTGAAACAACAACAAAAAAGACTCTTTGTCAAGATATATATCAGTCAGCAGAACCAGATCTAGAGATGAACAAGATGTTAGAACTATCAGACAGGGTCTTTAAAATAGCTATGAATACTATGTTAAAGGATTTTGTGACAAAGGTGAAATGCCATATAAAGCTGGAAAACATCATTAGATATACAAACTATAAACAAGAGTAAAAAAGAAAAGGTATAATAAAAGCACATCAGAGGTGAAGAATACTTTGGATAGGGTTATTAGAGGACAGATCACAGCAAGGAAATTATTACTGATCTTGAAAATAGATCAAAAGAAGTAACCTAAAGTGAAACACAAAAAGAAAAAAAAAAACGTTTAGAGGGACAGAGTATTCAAGAGCTTTGTGAAAATACTACAACTGTTGTAGCTAAACATGCTAATGTGCTATACATGATCTTCAAAAAGGAGAAGGAGAGGAAAACAGAATGGAGAAGAAAAAATATTTGAGAGAGCTCGATTCCAGGGGAGGTGAGGGAGAACATATAATGAAAGAATGAGAGCAGACTTCTCATGAAAGAAACAAAGAAAAGAGAAGAGAAAATGAAAACACCCAAGGCGTAAGATAATGGAATAATGGAACATTAAAGTACTAAAAAATATTAATACAAAATTCTATACCAAGCCAAAACATATGCAAAAATGGAGGCCAACTTATAGCTCTGGCCAAGATGGAGTAGCTCCATTTCTCTCAGTTTCTACCTCTTAAAACTATAAACCCTGGACATAACACAAAAAGAAACACAGGAAAATTCTGAAAGTTGGAAAAGAGAAGATGAAGTGTCTAGGGACTTCAAGGATTAAGGAACAACATGTTGGTTTTCTGGATTTTTTTTTAATTTTAATTTTTATTTATTTATTTTTTATTACTTCCTGTATATTTTGGAGAGCAGGAGAGATGACTTCAGGAACTTTTAACCTGGAACTACCAAAACACAGACAAATTACACAATTTTAAAAAAAGAAAAAAAAACCTCCAGAAAAATTCTGTTCTGCCTAGTCAAATGACTAGGAAAAGAGCAGCCTAATAAAACAGAAAACCTCCCAGCTAATATGCGACTAATTCCAGTCAAATACCAAAAAAGAAACCACCTCTCCACACCCAGATTCAGAGGGGAATAAATAGCTTATCTTTCATCCTGTCTCTTTTACCCCACAATAGCAAAGCACTGTGATTCAGTACCCTCTCCAAGTTGTGTTCGTGGGCTGGGTAGGAAACTGATCTGCTATCCTCTGTTTGGCAAAAGTAGGAGGTGCTCAAACAATGGGATGATGTTGGAGAAACTCTGCAGGGAACTGAACTTCTATCCCCTACACGACAGTAGGAACACTTAACAAAGCCCACACAAGACAGGCCTAGTCAGCACTTTGGTCCCCCTCAACTTTGAAGTCAACAAAACTAAAAGAGATGATGGTCCTGTGCCCCCATCTGGCATCAATGAAACTGAGCAAGGTGATGTGAGCTGGGGCTAGTCAGTGCTCCAATTCTTTTTCCTTCCCTTTTGTGTAAGCAGGCACAACGTGGAGCTAAATTTCCACCTTAGCTGGCATCAACAAGGTGGGATGAGGTAGTGGAAGGTTGGGCTATTTCTAATTTCTTTAGAAGGCAGTTGACTAAAACAAAAAATAAAACCAATGCATTGTGGGGTTTTTAAGATACAAAGAAAAAAATCTATAAAAGTAATAACATAAAGACTGGAAAAAAGAAATTTATATTACATAGTTGTAGGGTTCCAACTATATACTATACTGTTGTATAATACATTAGAATGTTGATTCTGATAAACACAAATGTATATAATACACCCTAAATCAACCATTAAATAAAAAATGATAACACGTCAATAAGCCAATGGTAGAAAAATGTAATACTGTTTAATTCTACTAATACAAAAGTAGCAGGAAAATAAAGAAAAACAGATGGAACAAATAGAAAACAAATAGCAAGGTGGTAGATAAAAAAATCTTACTGATAATGATATGTTATATAAACTTTCCAATTAAAAGACAGACATTTTATTGATTGAATAAAATGGAAAGATCCAACTATATTCTAACTACAAACACCTGCTTTAAATGTAAGATAGAGACAGGTTAAAGTGAAAGCATAAAGAAGGTGTATAATATAAATGTAGATTTAAATAGCTTAAAAGGCTACATTAATATTGAAGGAGACATCAGAATAAGTAATATTTCCAGAGATAAAGAGGAACATTACATATGATAGATGGGTCAAATGATCAAGAAGAGATAATTATCACTTTAAACAAAGAAAAGTCCAGGACCACCTGGAATTCTACCCACATTTAAAGAATTAATGCCAGTGTTTCTCAAACTTGTCCAAACAATTGGAAACAGTACATATTCAAGAAGGAACCACAATGTTACTGTGGACTTTGGGTGATTATGATGTGTCAGTGTAATTTTACAAATTGTTACAAATGTACCACCCAGAATGCTGTTAATAATGGGAGGCTATCCGTGTTTTGGGGAAGGGAGTATATAGGAAATCTCTGACCTTCCTCTCAATTTTACTGTGAATCTGAAATTGCTCTTAAAAAAAGTCTTAAAATATACACCATGACCAAGTAGGGTTTATTCCTGGAATCCAAGAATGGTTTAACAAGTGAAAACCAGTTAATGTGATACATCATATTAACAGAAAAAAAGAATAACAATCACATAACTATCTCAATAGATGCAGAAAATTTACTTCACAAAATTTAACACCCTTTCATTGATAAAAACACTCAGCAAACTTGAAGTAGAAGAAAATTGTCTCAACATAATAGAGGTTATATATGAAGAATCACTGCTAACATTATACTCAACAGTGAAAAGCTGAAAGCTTTTTTACTAAGAATGAGGTGGAAGGGAACTTTTTCAATCTGATAAAGAACAAGTACCAAAAATTTACTTCTACTATCACACTAAAAAACATAACCAAAAATGGAGGCAGACCTCTGGCCATGATGGAGTATTTCTCCTAGTTCCTACCATTTTAAAACTATAAACCCTGGACATAATACAATAAAATAGCATAGGAAAACTTTGAAATTGGGAATATGTATCTGCATTTATCTAATATTTTATCTAATATTGTATTGGATGCTCTAGCCCATGCAAGAAGGTAAGAAAGTGAAAAAAGAAAAAAGAAACTCCATACAAATTAGAAAGGACAATATATTATTGCATAGAAATTCCCAAATTATTTATAAAGGAGTACTAGAACTAGGTGAGTTTAGCAATAATGAAAGCTATATCAGTGATGTGCTATACATGATTGTATATATCTGGATCTTTTATTAATATCCATACACACACAGATGTATATATACATATAAATACATATATAATGAGACACTTGGACTTTACAGTTTTTTGAAAAAATTAAAATATCCCAAACCTTAAAACACTTAGAGATGAATTTTACAGTATTTGCCCAACTTTTAAACTGAAAACTACAAAGCATTACAAAGATGCATTAACAAAGCCTTTAATACATGGAGAAGTATGCATGTTCATGGATCAGAAGACTAAATAGCAAAAACTGATAATTCTTTTCAACTCGATTTATAGGTGCAAAGTTAACCCAATAAAATTATTTAATTTTTGTAGAAATTGGCAAACTGCTAATCATGGAGCATTATGATTGGGAATGCAAAGGATCTAGAATAGTCAAAATAATTTTGAAAATAACACAGTTGGAGGATTAATGCTACGTAATTTCAAAGATTTATTATAAAAGTGTTGTATTCAAGTTAGTGAGGTATTGGTGTAAAGATGCACATATAGAACTATGAAACAGAATAGAGATTCCAGGAGTGGAACCATGCAGATATGGACAATTTATTTTCAACATAGGTGCCAAGAGAATGTAATTAGTAATAGATATAAAAAATTCTTTCAACCAATAGTGCTGGAAAAATTGAGCATCCATATGGTAGAAAATGAATTTAAAATGTTACCTCACTCCATATTTCAAAGTTAACTTGAAATAATCATAGAATTAGGATATCTAAAACTTTAAAAAATTATAGAATAAAATATAGAAGAAAATTTTTGTAACTTGGGTTCAGTAGAACTCTTAGAACAAAGTTAATCACAAATTATAAAATAAAACAATTAATAAGTTAGAATTTATTCAAAATTAAAACTGCTGTTCTTCCAGAGATGCTCTGAAAAAAATTAAAAACATAAAGTTTTATTTTACTAGAAATATTTGCAAAATACATTTAAGGACATACCCACAATATGTAAAGAAATCATACAATTAAATATTAATAGGACAAAGCATCCTTGAAAAATTGAATAAATGATATGGATAGCTTCTTTGCCAAGGAAGTTATATGGATGACAAAAATACATATGAAGATATGCTAAAATCATTAGCTATCAGGAAAATACAAATTAAAACCATAAGTGAGATACCACTAAACACTTACCTATCTGAAAAGTTACAATTTAAAAGACAACAACCCCAAGTGCTGGTGGGGGCATAGAACACCTGGAAATCTCACACACTGATAATAAGAATGCTAAACAGTACAGCCACTATTATGAATTGAATTGTGTGCCCTCAATTGGAAAAAGGATCATTGCAGATGTAATTAGCTAAGTTAAGATGAGGTCCTAAGGTTAGGACCTAATGCAACATGACTGGTGTCCTTATAAAAAGAAATTAGTAGACAAGTCAGGCATAGAGGAAAGATGATGTGAAGAGATATAAGGAGAACATGACCATCTACAATCCAAGTAGAGAGACTTTGTAAATTCTTCCTTCACAAGCATCAGAAATAACCAAAACTGCCAAGACACTGATTTCAAGCTTACGTCCTGAAGAACTGTAAGACAATACATTTTCTGTTTTTTAAGCAACTCGATATGTGGTACTTTGTTACAGTAGCACTACAGTAGCCACTTGGAATAAGTTTTGTGGATTTTGTAATAAAGTTAAACACATCCTTACTATACTAAAAATCTCAGTCTTAGATGGTCCCAACATAACTGATAATATACACTCACTAACTGATTCATAAGGGAATGTTCATAGCAGCTTTATTCATATTAGCCCCAAACTGGAAACAACCAGTGCATTAGCTGGTAAATATAAAAACTAATTGTAATATGTCTATACAATGGAATGCTACTCAGCAACAAAATGGAAGAAACTAGTGATACACACAAAAAGCATGGAGGGATCTCGATGATATGCTAAATGAAAGAATTATGTGATGCCATTTTATGATAGTCTGGGAAAGACAAATGTATGGGAATAGTCAGGAAACCAATTTTTAGCAGGTTCTGGATGAGGAAAGGGATTACTATACCCAGGCAAAAAAGCTTTTCAAGGTTATGGACATATTCTATATTTTGTTCGTGATGATTGTTACATACCTGTATAAGATTTTTAAAATTACATTAAATAGTATATTTAAAATGGTTAACTTTAGTTTACATACATTTTTACCTCCATAAACTTTTCCAAACGTACTCCATAAAGGACATAGGTTGTATTTTTGTGCCTTAGTTTCTTTCTGGATCTTTGTTTTCTTTACAAGTAAAAACAAAAAACCATGTTTTTGCTTTCTGAAAGTTGAGTATATGTAGTCTTATTGGATCTGCCACACCATACATGCTGCAGTGACTTGTAAATAAAATAGGTTTAATTGTTAAATTAACAAGTGCAACCAAAGCAGTAATAGAGTAAACCAGAAACAAGTGAGAAAAATCTATCAAAAATGGTAATGTTTTTGATAAGGAAAAAAGCACATATTCTTCATACTCATAATGCACATTAGGCAGAAAAAGTAAAAACAGTTACAGAAAATATATTATGAGGCTGGAGTTACTCTGCTAGTTCTACGAACAGTTAACTGTATTTGCTTATTCAAGTAATATTTTTCTGAGAGTTTAGGTTCCTCATTGGAATAACGAGAGGCTAGAGTAATAATGTCTAAATTTTTTACCAACCCTACACAGGCAGATAGACTTAGGATCTCAAAATTTAGATTGGCAGGACATATCAGTACAACCTCAATGATAAGAGAGTGACCTGTTAGGTCTTACAGTACACCTACCTACCTATTTACCTACCTACCTACCTAACTACCTATTTACCGTGAGATGTGGTAGAGATACAGAATTCTTAAAACAGATTTTGAGAATTTTAAGAACAATAAACTCAACTTCAACAGCACTGCCATAAAAAAGCTTAAAGAATTGGTGAAGTGAAAAAAAATTATTAAATAAAAGCATAAATAATTGGTGAAAGCGACTTATAAACAAAAGAAATGGCTGGACGTGGTGGCTCATGCCTGTAGTCCTAGCACTTTGGGAGGCCAGGCGGGGAGATCACCTGAGGTCAGCAGTCCGAGACCAGCCTGGCCAACATGGTGAAACCCCGTCTCTATTAAAAATACAAAATTAGCCAGACATGGTGCCGCATGACTGTAATCCCAGGTACCCAGCAGGCTGAGGCACAAGAATCACAGGAACCCAGGAGACAGAGGCTGGAATGAGCCGAGACCCTGCCACTGCACTCCAGCCTGGGCAACAGAGTGAGGCTTCGTCTCAATGTTTATTGTGGCACTATTCACAATAGCAAAGACTTGGAACAAACCCAAATGTCCAACAATGATAGACTGGATTAAGAAAATGTGGCACATATACACCATGGAATACTATGCAGCCATAAAAAATGATGAGTTCATGTCCTTTGTAGGGACATGGATGAAATTGGAAATCATCATTCTCAGTAAACTATCACAAGAACAAAAAACCAAACACCACATATTCTCACTCATAGGTGGGAATTGAACAATGAGAACACTTGGACACAGGAAGGGGAACATCACACTCTGGGTACTGTTGTGGGGTGGGGAGAGCGGGGAGGGATAGCATTAGGAGATATACCTAATGCTAAATGATGAGTTAATGGGTGCAGCACACCAGCATGGCACATGTATACATACGTAACTAACCTGCACATTGTGCATATGTACCCTAAAACTTAAAGTATAATAAAAATAAAATAAAAGAAAAAATGTTAAAAAAAAAAAAAAGAAATATAAATTCCAAACTAGGAAACAGAATACTTTAAAAGCATTCTTCCTTATACTAAAGACACCCTGCTGGAACTTTACCCTCCCTCTGAAGAATCACACCTTCCATATGCTGAAGACACACTATGGGGTGTTCAGAAGGGAATTAGTGCAATATTTATTGAAAAGATTCTAAGCTGTGACATGTAGGGAAAACCGGAAGAATGGAATCTTTCTATCCCCTAATTCCAAGGGGAGCATGCCATCTTTAAATAGTTAACAGCTTGCCATATGGAAGAGGGATTAGACTTATTTATTTAAATTGTGTGACTCAAAGTTCTAAAACTGGGGCCTATGTTTACAGACAAACACAGTTTTAGGCAAACTTTCATTTGTCAAAACTGTCTAAAAGTAAATACAGATGCTTGGAGAACTGGTTGAAAATCACATCACAGGAGTTATTCAAGCATGGGATGTATGGCTATGTTTTATGTGAATTTATAAGAATCAACTGGGTGGTTGGAAAAGATCAGATTCCAGGTTTTTTCCAATGCAAATGTTCTAAGAGTCCCTGATAATTATTTTCTGCTACGTAAGTAAGAGCACGTACTGAAATTAGAGAGAAGGCAAATTTCTGTTCAAGATAAGTAAGAACTTGCTAAGAATTATGCCTGTACAATGATCTAATGTGTTCTCTCAGTAGTAAACCTCATTCCCTGCTAGTAGAAATGTCAAGGTATATTCACTGTTTAAGATCATTTGTAAGTCCCCTGACTGCTATTAAAATAAAAATATTCTGCCTGGTATTCAGGCCCTTTCTGGAGGGCCCTGCTCTATCAATCTGTGTTTATTTCTATTTCCCAAGTCAGTCTCTACTGTAGATAAATTTCTATTTATATGATTGCTTACATATTGTTTCCATCATTACATCTCTGATTATGATGTACTCCTAAAGAAGAATAACCTCTCTTTTACTTCTTCTGTGCGAATCTCACAGATTTGTCAAAAAACAGTTCAACTCCAGTCTGTTTCTGGAAGCCTTCCCTGACTCATGCCATCATGCTGATTTTTCCACTGCAGAGTGCTGCCTATTTCATAAATCTGTTTCTCCAAAACAAAATCAATTGCTTTCTAATACTTTATTAGTGTATATTCTCTATTCTCAATTTAAAGTCAGTAACCAAATCATATCACTCCTGTATGATTTGACACAGACTTGGTATTTGGTAAACGCTTGCTGTTGCTTTTAACAGAATCCTGGAAATCTAATCATATCCATCCTCTGGCTAAAAATATTTTAAATATCATAGTTACTTAATATGTTACAGTCATCTTGCATTATTTACCTGTTGCTGGGTAACAGAATATCCTAAAACTTTGGCGTTAAAAACATAAATATTTATTCTCTTGTACAATTTCTGAAAGTTGGGTATCTGGAAATGGCTTCGCTGGATAGTTCTGGCTCAAGGTCTCCCACAAAGTTGCAGTCAAGTATCCACTAGGGCTGAAGTTGTCTGAAGGCTTTACAGGAGCAGAAGGATTTGCTTACAAAGTGGCTTACAACTGTACAGTCCTGAATTTCTTGCTGGCTGTTGATGGGTCTCAGGTTTTTGTCATGTGGATCTCTCCACAGAGCAACTTGAGTATCCTCATGGCATGGGCAGCTAATTTAAACCAGAGTAAGATGTCCAAGAGAGACAAACAGGAAGTTACCTTGCCTTTTATAGCCTAGTGTCAAAAGTCACATACTTGCTAGCATACCTCTCCTACTAAATGTTTGATATAATCGAACTTATGAAGTGTTTATGCACACTTCACATAATTATAAAATAATAACAGATCAAATTATTTTTGCTATTTTTTCTTGCAATTCTATGTATTTTCAATTTTCTTAGATGAATTGATTAATTTTTAAAATATTTTGACTTTTTAATGGATAATGAAAGAAACTGGAAAAATAAAGGAAGTTAAGTAAAGAAAAGGACAAAGAGCTTAATTTAGAGCTTTAAATTTGATTCTGTATTTTCATGTGAATTGTACTCTTATGGAATAAAGTGAAAATTTAAGAGCTTAAATTTAATTAAGACAGAGGAAGTGATCTTAATAGGTACTAGAGTACTTTCCTCATAATAGTTGCAAAAGTTAAATATATTTTCTAGAAACTCAAAACATATTTTTTCATATCAGTGAAAAAAACATTTTTAAACAATAAATGAGAAAAATAAATGATTATAACTATTAGTGTTGCTTTAAAATATGCAATCAAGTTTCAAAGTTTCCTGAACTGAAAATCATTTTTTCATGTAAATTAAAAATTAAATTATCTTAGTCTTAACAATTATTGACATTCAAGACTTTGTCCAATTTAGATCTCCTTGAATCTGAATTTCCTTTTGTTTTAAATCTTCTCCTATGAATACCCAAATATTTCCTTCTTCCTGTTAGCTGACCATTCCCTCTGAAGTTGATTACTTCATACTCCAAATTCTACTTCACTTATTGCCTGTACCACTTACATACTTTTCATTTACTAGACATTGTCCCCTTTTACATTTTTGGGTGTAACATTTCATCTTCCCAGCTAAAATGTTATTTCTAGCAGATAATAATTGTACTCCTGACACTTAAAACTGTGCCTAGTGCTCGTTAGGTTTCTGCAAATGTTTACGGAAATGAAATATCCTTGCCTTACTCCAGATTTTATCCTAAATTTAGAACTCCATGTATGTCCTTGTAAACCTATATATCACATTTTCTTTGTATAAAAGGTGTGTTTACTTATATTGTTGCTATTACACAATTAATCCTTTATTAAACTTTTAAATAACTATTAGGATATTTCTACACCCATCAGCTGTCCTCTACTGTGCAGTTATTTATGAAATGATATTATATATTCTAGTGGGAAGTGCTTTCTGAATTAAAAAAAAAAAACATAAATTAAGTTCACCTTTGCTGTAGTATTGTGTAATTGTATTTTATTATGTTTCAAATAGAAATTCTATGTATGATAATTCAGTATCCCTTTGTCCTTCTTCATGGAACCCTACCCTAGCTTTTTGGGGGAAGGATTTCTCTTCATTTCTTAGTCCTTGTGCTTCAGAAAGTGCTTCCCTCCTGGCTAGCAGAGAATGGTTCTAAGGCCTAAACCAAGGAGATCATCATAGAGTAATCAGTTAAGTGATAGTCACCACATAATCATTGTTTCAAAACCAATGAGAATCAAGATGTGGCTAGAAAAGATATTCCTATTTTTCCCTTATGAGATTGGAAGTGGAAAGAATATGAAATAATGTATCCCAGTATCTTTACAGCCATGAGAAATGACTGTCTTAGAAGCAAATCACTGTGGAAAAGAAACAATGAGGAGATAGAAAAAAACCAGTTCATTTTATGGTTTGAACCACTGGTCTATATATGACTCATACAGAAATCAAATACCAAATTTTTCTATTGTTCCAGATGCAGCTTGCTCACCATGCCTGTTCAATATATTAACTAACAGTTAAATAATTTTTTTACTTTTATTTTTTGGTGTTTGGAGACATGACAAATATTTTTTTCTCAGTGCTGTCAGTGACTTTTCTTATCTTTTATGAAGTCTATTAGCTAAGTAGATCAGACTTCATTACAATTAGTAATTTTTTCTATCTGCCTTATCAAGTAACTAATTACCAATATGCTCTGGCTGTGGTCACTTTTTAAACACATGTTTGTTTACAGCTTCAAAAGCTTAGCAAACATATAAAAACATTTTCTTCCTACATAACTATCTCTAAGCAATTTGAATGAAGTCTACAAATGAAGAGGTGGCTTTATTCTGGGATATAGCTAGGGAAAGCCCATGTTCAATACGGAATCAAGAAAGGTGACTTGGCTTTTGATGGAGAAGAACACTATGAACCTGGATCATTGCAGTGTATTGGAATCTATATTAAAGTCAGATACCAGCCCATGTCAATTCACTCTATAGTTATATATATTATATATATTTATACTAATTTTGTCATATTTACCTTGTATGAGGTCATCTCACCCAAATCAAATTGGTTGAGTTGCTTCAGATAGACATTATATTAGTCAGGATTCTCCAGAGAAATAGAAACAATAGGATGCCTGTGTGTATATAAAGAAGAGAGGTTTATTTTAAGGAATGGGCTCATGTAATTATGGAAGCTGACAAGTCCAAAACCTGCAGTGTGGATAGGGAAGAGCAAATGTCATTCAATTCCGAAGGCCATCTGCTGGCAGAAGTCTCTCTTGCTCAAGGGAAGTCACTCTTTGTTCTAGTAAGGCTTTCGATTGATTAGATGAGGGCCACCCACATTATGGAGGATAATATGCTCTTCTCAAGGTCCACTGATTTAATTGTCGGTCTCATCCAAAAAATACCCTCACAGAAACAACCAAAATAATGTTTGACCAAATATCTGGATACTGTGGCCCAGCTAAGTTGACACATAAAAGTAACCATCACAGACATGATAAAATAGCAAGACCATGAAACCCCTAACATGAAATTTATTTTGACATAGCTTGCTTCATATAAACTTTACCTTCCTTTTTTGTATTCTTAATATCTATTTATGTTTGCTTACATTTCCAATTATTTGCTTATTAAGTTTGCTTTTGACCCTTGACAGAAAACTGTCTTCCTGCGAAAATTGTGAAGGTCATGTTATGTTACCACTTTTATAAAATCAATTCTGGGTTTAGTAGTCAACATTTGTTTCTCTTGCCAAAGCAATTTCTCAAGAAACATCACAGAGATTGACACCAATCCACAGGAGTCTGCCCTAAAATTTCCACAAAGGGTTTGTGGTCTTAATAGGTCATTGGCTAAGTCCTGATGAAATTTAAAAAGGGCAAAATCTTATGTCTAAGGAATGCCTTATCTCAGTTTTTAAAGTCTACACATCTTAAAGGATTCAAAATCATTTGAATTGTTAACTTTTTTATAAGTCTAGCTTAGCTGTATTTCAACCTACTGTAAATACCATATTAAAAATAACTAGAGTGAATTTAACATTTTCCATGTAATGATTTCCTGGGTTCATTACCTTTTACTAGAGAAGTGCTTTGATGTAATAGATAGGTGTAAACATCTAAACATCTAATATCAAGATCTCCTGGAGAAATGATTGCTTTCCTCGTGATAAACAGGTTTATCAAACTTTTATGAAAGTTCAAGATAAAGTTCAAAACCTCAAAAAAGAACTGTAACTTCCAACCTGATGGAGGTGAATTTCTTGCTCTTTAACTATCTTTTAATTTGTCTTCCTTTAATGCAATCTTTATAATATCTTGAATTGCATGATCTAGCACTATAGAACACTTTGGAAAAAAGTTTCCAGGAAATAATTCTACCTGCTTCATTGAATTACAGTACTTCCTCAGTCATATCACATCTGTGATGCCACTAACACCTGCACCACACTTACATTGGTGAATTGCTGTTGCCTGTTCTGTGACTTAGTAGTACAGAATATACAGCATATGTTGGTAATTCTTTTATAATATGTTTGCAAATGTGCATACAAACGAATCCTCTTCAGGTGCAAGAGAATGAATCTATCGTGCAATTAACAGTTTGTGCTCACACCTGCTTTAAATACCACATAGGCTTGTATTTTAATTACAAAATATGCAGTGAGACCACCTAAAGCCTCTATTCCAATATGTAGTCTAAAGAACTGGGGCGGAATCCAATCCTAAGCTTTGAGCTTTCTTTTCAAGGCCCATACATTTTACATTTAAAAAAAAACAAACATTCTTCTAATATACAATTCAACAACCTAAGCATTAAAAATGAAATGGCATATATTTGAAAGAAAAATAGAGAAAAATAAAAACTATTGAATAATTGAATATCGGATAGTTAAAAATATGATAGAATTCCATAACTACGTATCTATCTCACCGGGAATATAAAACTAAATCTTGTACCTGGCTTTTTTCAATTCTATCATTTATATCCATCAGCAGTATGTAAAAGCTATTATTGCTCCATATCCTTGCCAATATTAAAGTCAACAGACTTAATTTTTTCTCAGTCTCATAGATATATTATTGTGGTTTTAATATGTGTTTCTTTAATACTGATATGACTTTTATATGATGTTTGGCCATTCTTATTTCTACCTCTGTGAAATGCCTACTGCAATTTGCCCAACTGTCTTTTCACAATCTTAAATGGTGTTGTTCATCTTATGGATTTGCAAAAATAGTTTATGCTCTGTATACTATTTCCTGATTATATTACTTGCAAGTTGCTTCTCCCAGGTTGTACCTAGTCATTTAATCATCTCTGTAGAATCTTTTTCTGAATAACAAAGCTTAACTGTAATGTAGTAAATTTATGAATATTTTCCTTTGTGATTTTTTTTATGTTTAGTACAAAATATTTTTAACCTAAAGTTCTAAAGTTAATATTTTATTTCCTTCCAATAGTTACAAAAATGTTTCTTCTCATCTTTCACTTCGTGATATACGTACAATTAATTTCATTGTTTGGTGTGAGGCAGTGAACCAATCTGATATTTTCCCTCTAATGAATCATTTTCCCAGCACTATTTATTGAGTAGTTGCTCTCTTCCTGACTAAACTGAAATGTCACTTCTGTTGTACCAAGAGAGCTCATATATAGGCTGATGAGGTTTTAATCACATTGTATTACTGAATTAATAGGGTTTAATTAAAAGTAATTTTGATATCTTGTATAGCAAGTATTTTCACCACATTATTCCTCAAGAGTTATTTGGATATTTTTGATACTTTGTTCTAAAGTAGCCATTTTACAGTCAGCTTGTCAAATTATTAAAGAGGTATATGTATGCTTTCTAAACTGAGGCTGAATTAAATCTGTGTATCAATTTGTGGATAATTGCATTTGTAAAGCAATTCGTTTTGTTGTTAATATCTTTTGATGATATTTTAAATTTTTATCTGTAAAAGTCTGGAATATCTTGCATAATATTTACTACTAGGTCTCTTATTTCACAGTTGATATTTTAAATGATATAATTTGCTATCATTTTTAATTTGGCAGAAGTATTATTGTTTGAAAATGCTTGTTATGCTCCTTGAGGAAGGGTTATATTTACCTACATCTTTGAGATCAGGCTTGATCATTTGGCATATCTATATATATAGATATATATGTGCATGTACATATATGTATATGTACACACATATGTATATACACACATATGTGTGTACATATATGTATATGTACACACATATGTATATACACACATATGTGTATACATGTATATACACACATATGTGTATACATGTATATATACACGTATGTACATATATACACATCGCATATATACACATATGTACACATATATACACATATGCACACATATACACATATGTACACATATACACATATATGCACACATATACACATATGTATACATATACACATATGTATATATACATATACGTACATACACATATGTACACATATACACATATGTACACATATACGCATATATACATATATGTACCTATATACATATATACCTATATACGCGTATATATGTACCTATATACGCATATATATGTACATATATACACACAAATACACATATTACATATATACACATATATACATATATGTGCATACATATATGTGTATATACACACATATGTACTTATGTGTGTATATATACATATATGTATATGTGTATATATGCACACATATGTATATATGTACATGTGTATATATATGTATATATGTTACTTCTGAGCAGAAATTTTTTAAGAGCCAGTACATGATGTGTTCTATTTCCTCTCCAGTGGTAAACTTTCACATAGATGCCGCTCTAGTATTCTGAGCTCCAGCACAAACACAATGGGGAACAGTGCCACAGCTGACCTGCAAGAACATGAAGCATGAGCAAAACAGTCATATGCTGAGTTCTAAGCTACTGAGAACTCATTAGTTACTCCATAATTTAAGCCTGTGTTTTTCCAATGTTTTTTCATTATAAGTGACTTCACTCCAAGAGCTTTTTAGACTTTTCTTTTCAAGTAGAATTGAGTTGAGTTGGAGGCCCCAGAACAATTTTAATACCTAAGAATTTCTTCAGCTCCTAGAGCCAATTTTCATCCCCTTGGAGGTGAAATCTGGTTATTTTAACCTGAAATATTTACTAACCCTTTGTCCTTTTAGGTCATTGAATTTTTTTTTTTTTTTTTTTTTGGTATAATGATATTATATAAAGCTGTCTTGCTTAAGTCTCCGACTCTATTTTCCTTTTAAAAAATAAATAAATTTGGGCCGGGCATGGTGGCTCACGCCTGTAATCCCAGCACTTTGGGAGGCCATGGAGGGCGGATCACAAGGTCAGGAGATTGAGAGCTAACATGGTGAAACCCCATCTCTACTAAAAATACAAAAAATAGCTGGGGGTGGTGGCTGGTGCCTGTAATCCCAGCTACTTGGGAGGCTGAGGCAGGAGAATGGCATGAACCCAGGAGGCGGAGCTTGCACTGAGCCAAGATCGTGCCACTGCACTCTAGCCTGGGCGACAGAGCAAGACTCCTTCTCAAAATAAATAAATAAGTAAGTAAATTTATGTAGACAAATAATGACAGTGTTGTTTATTTTTTCCAATATTTATATATTTAATTATTTACTTTTCTTGCTCACTGGAGTAGAATCCCTCTGAAATATTTAGCAGAAAAGATGATAGTGAGTTCAATAACTCGTCTTGATTTTAAAAGAAAATTTCTTCTATTTTTCTAATAGTACAGATATTTGCTTTATGCTTTTCCAGATACTTTATATCAAACTAATAAAATTTTCATCTGTAAGAGTTAAGTAAGTGCTAACTTTCTTTTCAATGGTGAGCTAAAATATATTGGTTTAAATAAGAGAGTTGTTTTAATCTCTCAAAGAACTATTCAATGAAAATTTGGCATCTTTAACACATCTCAGATCACTCAAATTATTTCTCATTCATTTTACTTATTTTATTCTCCCCAACCATTTTGTATTTAGAAAAACATTAAATTTACACAAAAGCTGAAGAAACAGTACAATGTATACCAATATGCCCATATACTCTTCACATATGGTCAACAGATGTGAATATTTTTCTACACTGACTTGGTTTCTCTGATATCTATCTATGCATCTATCTGTATGCCATATATATATATATATATATATATATATATATATATATATAGTTATAGTTATCTGCCATAACTACAGATATATATGTAGTTATAATGTATGATTACCTACTCTTATGTATATAGCCAGCTATCTATCTATCTATCTATCTATCATCTATCTATCCATTTATCTATGTATATTAGTCAGGGTTCTCTAAGAGAGACAGAACTAATAGGATATATGGTTTAGCAATTTTTAAAATGGTTCAGGAAAATAATTTTAACCAATAATACTTTTAACAGTGAATCATTTTCAAATTTTGTCAAAGTATCCGTTACCATTGAAATTAAATTTTTCTTTTGATTTGATAATGTAACAAATTATATTTATAATATTTCTAATGACTTTCAGTGTGCTAACAGTTAATAACTATCACCTGGAAAAATAAACCCAGGGAAAGCATCTTTGAAGAAAGACAACAAAGTAAATATAGTTTTAGACAAGTAATAACTACCAACACATTCTCAAAAGGAAAGGTGATTAAAAGATAAACTTCAAGAGGAAAGCATCCCAAATGAGAAAGCTTAAATGCAAGAAAGAATACTAGGCAAAAAGAATCATTTGGGTATATTTAAAAAGTGGTCTTAGGAAAATAATAGGTAATGTTTATATGTGAAATTAAAAATTAATGACGATAGAGGTACTTTTCAGGAAAATATTATATGACTTGTCAATTTTAAAATAGAGCAAGTCTATAGATTAACTTTAGATATTTAGTTTAAGCTAAATATGTATGTGAAAATTGCTACTATAATCATAAAAAATAAAAATGCCATGCACATCTTTACATTAATAGAAGAAAAACTAGAGAGAAAAAATAATAATAAACCCCCAGAAATTACAGAAAAAATACTAGAAAAAAATGAAAAAATAAGCAAAAATGAAGATATTTATATTAGTAATCATACTTGAAAATAAACGCATTTATTAATAGAAGTATTATTAATACAGAATATATATGGAATTATTTCATATGAATAAGAAAGCAAACTGTACAAAAATAAACAAAATCTCTAAAATTTCAAAAAATACATTAATAGGCATTTCATAGAAGTAGTTTTAATGGTTAAACAACAAATGAAAATATATCAAATATATTATTTTAATTATAAAAATACAAAATGAGACTAACATTCATTCCATATAATATCCATCAAGCGATCCAAGATAAAGCACTGGGAAGTCCCAAGTCCTAGTGAAGATGTGGAGCAACAGAAACTTGTATGTGAACACACATAGGATAACTATCAATTGAAAAAATCACTTTTAAAAACAATTTTCCACTTTCTAGTAGATTTGAATATGTGCACACCTAAAGACTCAGGCTCTCCACCCAAAGTAACTGTCCCTAGAGAAATACTTGCACATGTGTATAGGAGATATATTGAAGGATATTCAAAGAAGCATTGCTTTCGGAATAGCAAAAATAATTGCAAAATAAAGAAAAGCTCTAAAATCATTCAGCAGGCAAAAGGATAAAAATATAGTGGTATTAGAATATAATGAAATACCATATAACACTGAAAATGAATTAACTATAGCTGTATGCATCAACATAGATTATTTCTCTAAAATAATATGTTAAATAAGACAAAAGCATGACACCAAAGAATGTATTTATTATTCTTCCATCACATAAAACTTTCAAAAAAGTTTTTGAAAAAAAGATTGAAAAGATGGTATATACACACATGAAATACTATGCGGCCATAAAAATAATAAAATCATGTCCTTTGCAGCAACATGGGTGCAGCTGGAGACCATTATTCTAAGTGAAATTAAGGCAGAAAAAGAACCAAATACCACATATTCTCACTTGTAAGTGGGCGCTACACACTGGGTACTCATGGACATAAAGATGGGAATAGACACAGGGAGTATTAGAGGGGTGAGAGAGGGAGGGGGGCAGAGGCTAAAAAAACTACCTATTGGGTACTATGCACACTACCTGGGTGATGGGATCATTCGCACCCCGAACTACAGCATCACATAATATACCCATGTAACAAACCTGCACTTGTACTTCCAAATCTAAAATAAAAGTTGAAACTATAAAATAAATAAATAAATAAAATAACAGACACTTGAAATGCTATCCCTGCTAAAGGCAGATAATAATCGCTTATAAATTTCAACCATTCAATTAAAATTTATTTTTTACCTTTTGGACTACATGTTTTATTGAATAAATTATGACGTAATTTTTAGAGGAATAAGCAAATGCTAAATTGACAGAATTTTTATAATGAGGAAATACTATGCTTTAAAGTACAGCAAATTATTATTTTCTCATTACAAATATTATTTTTTCATGCAAAGTAGGATGACTATGGTTAACAATAATATATTATATAATTTCAAATAGCTAGAAGGAGGATGCTGAATGTTCCCAAAGCCAAGAAATGATATATATTTGAGATGACGGATATGCTAATTACTCTGACCTGGTTAGTATAAAGCATTACTATGTACCCCATGAATATGCACAATTATTTGTCAAAAACATAAAATAAAATCTAAAATGCAAAATAAAAAAAAGGGAGAAAAATTATTCACATGTACATAGAAAAACTCCTAAAAAGCAAAGAATGATTACAGTAAAATTCAGAATATTAATTACTTTGTAGGTAGGAAATGCAATCTGGAGCATCCTCAGAGCAGGTTTGAAAGTTTTTATCAATAGTCTACTTTTAAACAATATTTTATATATAGGTACATGTGTATACACATATATACTATACTATATATAATATGTATAATAATCTCACAATGTTATAAAATGATATATAATTTCTTCTCTTTCAGTTGAAATAAATCAAAATCTTTAAGAATATAAGTGTTTAATCTGAATCAAGTAAACTATTACACTGTATAATGCAATACAGTATAATATAATATATATCATCTAAAATATAGTATAATACAATTTGGCAAATAGTAATGGCTGATATATCAGTTAAGGATAAGTTTTGAGTATTTCAAGGCAATTCTGACAATAAGGAGACAACATGAAAGCTGAGAAAATCAAGAAATGATGTGGATGCAAATGCTTAGAAACAGCTTTAGCCTCTTCTCATTTTACATTCCTTGGAAGGACAACAGATGGATAGTTCTATATACAAAGTGAGAAGTGCAGGAGCTCCTGTAGGTCTGCAGGAGCCAGGGTTTGTGGTTCCACTTTAACAGTCATTGTTACATGACATACAATGTCACCTACCAGAATCTGGACAATATATTTTTACATTAATTACATAATTTAAGTTAAAGCATATTTGCAAGGTAAATATTATTCTCAATTTACAATCGGAAACACCAAAACTAAGAGAGATTAAGTTACCTGCTTAGTTATGTTGCAGTTAGTAAGGTCAGAACTGCAACCTCTGCTTCCCTATCTCGATCCAGTAGTCTGATATTGCTGGATTGTATTCAGGGACAGGATTGTTGAAGATGAACATCTGGAGAGAATTTCATCTTTGCTTCTTTAGTAATATCTATAATTTCTGCTTTTATAATTTTAGTATAAGTATTACTCTTTCCTCCTAAAGTTCATCATAATTGGCCCTTAAACTTTCCATTCCTTCAAACAATGGCCAAACTTTTAGTTTAAAATAACACAGGTTATGTAGTTAACTATCCTTAGCTAACCCGACTTTCTCATTGAGAGCTACGGAAAATCCAAAATGAGAAAAGAAAAGTAAAGAAATCCAAAATGAAAAAAAAAAAAAAGAGAAAAAAAAGACCACTTTTGGTCTTACCACCAAAAGTGATACTCACCATTAATATTTTGGAAGAATCTGAGAGAAGATTAGAAGACTGATTAACTTTAAAACTCTTTATCCCCATCTTCATATCTTCAAAATTTTAAAACAAAATGGATGTAACGAATCTTACAAGGATACATGTTTCACAGTTACATAAGGTTAAAAATTTGAGAATGAATTGTGGCAAAAGGAAACGAGGGTAGGAAAATAAGATAAATCCAACAGTGAGGGTAGAAACCATAATTTACATACTTCACTGAGTCCAACAATGTTTCTCCAAAATTCATGTCCACCTGTAACCTACAAATGTGACTCTTATTTGGAAATAGGGTCTGTGCAGATAGAATCAAATTAAGGTAAGTAAGATCATACTGACTGGGAATGGGAATGTGGGTAACTCCTGTATGACTAGCACTCTTATAAGGTGAAGAAAATTTAGATACAGAGACACAAACTCAGGAGAAGACTGTGAAGACAAAGGCAGAGATTGGAGTTACACAGCCAGTCAAAGAAAACCAAAAATTGCAAGCATCTAAGCTGTAAGAGGCAAAAAAGGATTCTTTCCTAGATCCTTCCACAGGAAGACCATCCTGCTGATACCTTGATTTCAAACTTCTAGCCTTCAGAACTGTGACAGAATAAATGTCTGTGTTAAGCCCTCCAGATTATGGTAATTCGTCATGGCATCCTAGAAAACTAACATATGGCATGTACAGTCATGTGCTGCGTAACATTTTTGGTCAGTGACAGACCGTACATATTATGGTGGTCGTAGAAGATTAAAATATCACATTTTTACAGTACCTTTTTCAAGTTTAGATATACAAATGCCATTATGTTACAATTACCTACAGCATTCAGTACAGTCACGTGTTATACATGTGTGTAGCCTAGGAACAGTTGGTCATATCCAGTGGCCTAGGTGTGTAGTAAGCTGCTTTTACCTCTTGGTTTGTAATATATAGTTATACAATTTATATAACTAATATAACAACCAAATTGTGTAATGATGCCTTTCTCAGAACATATCCCCATCATCAAGCAATATACTTATATATTATATTATATGTAATATATATATTATATAATACAGTCTTATGTTTTGTATATAATATATCTTTAAAATATATGAGAAATTTTCAAAAAATTAAAGGCAGATTAAACTGAATGGAGAAATTTATTTAGCAATACAACCTCGGCCAGGCATGGTGGCTCACGCCTGTAATCCCAGCTGTTTGGAAGGCTGAGGCGGGTGGATCATTTGAGGTAAGGAGTTCGAGACCACCCTGACCAACATGGCAAAACCTCATCTCTACTAAATACAAAAAAACAAAATAGCCGGGCATGGTGGCGCATGCCTGTAATCCCAGCTACTTGGGAGGCTGAGGCTGAGGCCAAAGAATCGTTCAAACCCAGGAGAGTTTGCGATGTAAGAGGTTGTATGTGTTGAGTGATATAGTTCCAAGCAAAGTGCTCAAGGGTAGGAAAGAGAAAATAAGAGTTCTTCAAATCAATGTGTCCTAGGAATTTTAATTTTTAATGTACTCCATCAGTTTGGTCTGTCAGAGGACCAGGAGGATGGGTGTGATAATATCTCAATCCTGCTCAACAAAGAGGAATAATGAAGAAACTGGGCAAATAGCTAGGCATGTCAATCTGACATCAGATTAAAAAATATCAAAAAAGAAATTCTACTAATACTCAAGCTTGTATTAAGTAAAGCCAAAGCAAATCCGCATGATTTGTTTGTTGGCAAAAATAGTGTCAGGACAGATTAATCTTTGTTCTGGTATGAGTAACAAACCTTTGATAATTATTAGTATTTATAACAAAAGAACCAATTTAACAAAAAAAGAAATATTTTTTAAAAATACGTAGTTCTTAGAATCTCCAAAAGAGCCAGTCAGGTTGATGGATTTTCACCCAGGAGCCAATTCCTGCCAGATCCTTGGACTGCTCCAGTGAAGACCCCACTGACCTGTAGCTGGCCATAAAGATTATATTTTGAATGACTGGTGCTGGACCCCAAACTCCATGGCTGCTGCCTAGAAGCCAGACACCTCTACTGGCACTCCCACCAGAAATAGATTCCGGGTAAAGCCTATGGCCTCATTTAGCCATTAGAGATTGTATTACACACCTGTGACAAGTCTGCCAGGCAGATTGGTGTTAACGCATTTCTGGTCAATTTTTTAAAAGATAAAGCTCACTGTGGGAAATTTCTTAAACCATAGAAGCGGTTTCTTTGTGTGTGTGCTTGTGTGTGTGGTTGTTCTTTGTGTTTTTTTTTGTTTTTTTTTGTTTTTTTTTTTTTTTTTTTGAGACGGAGTCTCCCTCTGTCGCCCAGGCTGGAGTGCAATGGCGCAATCTTGGCTCATTGCAGGCTCCTGGGTTCACGTCATTCTCCTGCCTCAGCCTCCCAAGTAGCTGGGACTACAGGCGCCCGCCACCACGCCCGGCTAATTTTTTGTATTTTTAGTAGAGACGGGGTTTCACCATGTTAGCCAGAATGGTCTCGATCTCCTGACCTCGTGATCCGCCCGCCTCGGCCTCCCAAAGTGCTGGGATTACATGCGTGAGCCACTGCACCCGGCCGTGTGTGTGTTTTGAGACAGAGTTTCACTCTTGTCACCCAGGCTGTAGTGCAATGGCGCGATCTCAACTCACTGCAACCTCCGCCTTCTGGGTTCAGGCGATTCTTCTGCCTCAGCCTCCCAAGTAGCTGGGATTACAGGCACCTGCACTACGCCCAGCTAATTTTTGTATTTTTAGTAGAGACAGGGTTTCGCCATGTTGACCAGGCTGGTCTTGAACTCCTGACCTCAGGTGATCTGCCCGCCTCGGCCACCCAAAGTGGTGGGATTACAGGCGTGAGCCACTGTACCCATATAGGTGACCAAAATCATGGCACACATACATCCATTAGGTCTGTCAAAATGTATGTCAATAGATTAAAAGAATATTATTCCCTGAGAATTCTGAGGAAGGGTCAAACAAAATCATGTATTATTTTATAAAAACTAGAAAACATTTTTAAAATTTTTAAAGAAAGATCTCAATAATATGGAAGAAAATATGGCCTCTTTGAAAGAGATTTAAGGAGCTTCAGGAAGAGAAGACATGGAGATGACAGTCAGTCTGGGATAAAGAAAAACTGCAAAAACCCTCAAACATGCAAAATCAAAATTTAAGTTACAATTAGTAGCAGTAAAAGCAAAACTGACTTTTAGAAAATTGAAAAAATAGGCCGGACACGGTGGCTTACGCCTGTAATCCCAACTCTTTGGGAGGCTGAGGTGGGCAGATCACGAGTTCAGGAGTTCAAGACCAGACTGGCCAGCATGGTGAAACCCCGTCTCTACTAAAAATACAAAAATTAGCTGGGCATGGTGGCATGGGCCTGTAATCCCAGCTACTCGGGAGGCTGAGGCAGGAGAATCGCTTGAGCCCGGGAGGCAGAGGTTGCAGTGAGCTGAGATAGTGCCACACTGCACCCTAGCCTGGGCAATAGAGTGAGACTCTGTCTCAAAAAAAAAAAAAAAAAAAAAAAAAAAAAAGAAAGAAAAGAAAATTGAAAAAATAATACCAGCGACAGTACTAGTCAGGGTCCCAGCAGTGAATGTAATGTCTACACAAATGGGTAATTTAGGAAAGTTTAGTGAAGCAAAACATATTCAAGTGTAAGGAAATCAACAGGAGAGGGCATAGTCATATATCAGGGCCATTGACATAGACAACTAAGACACCCTGTAGTCAAAGAGCCAAGAAAACAGAGTGACTATTAAGAAATTAATTATATGATAGAAGTCTGAGGTTAGAGGTTATCTTTATGTTGAGAATGTTCAGAGAGGAACTGTGAGTTTTTATAGATTGATTTGGTCAATTCATAGAAACTCAAAGGGGAGAAACTTGGGGAACAAATAGCCGAAGTTCTCTTTTCTGTCTTCCTCTGATCTCCTGTTAGTGCTAACTGAGCCAGAACTACAAGGCAAGGAAATTCTATGAGGTAGGTGATATGGGCCAAAATTCCCAGTTCCAGAGAAAGTTGGGCAAGGATGGAGGGTTAATCCTGGAGAAATTCAACACAGCTAAACAAAATGAAGTTTCCTTCAGAATGTTGAGGGAAAAGAACAAAAAAATGTAATAATTACTAACAGTGATTGAAGTTTCAGAATGCACCTGAATTGAGTGTTTTATATGCATCATTTCTTTTTATCAACACGGGAAACATAAGAAATGGGTAGTTATTGTCTCCATTTTATAATGATAACGTAATATTAACAATAACACTGAGATGATTTTAATAATTAGTCCAGGATTACACAGCATAGTGGATAATATTGGTTACCCCCTCAATATACCATCTCCACTCCTTTTATATCTTTCCAACAGAACTCCATTATGTGGGAAAAAAATCCATTTCTCTTCCACACCACCAGATATTTCAGAAAAAAAGATCACCATATCCCAAAGTTCCAGGAACTGAATGTTATTTAGTCTAAAACAAGTACTTAATGGAATTCCTTTGCTGATTCATTCTGGCCCAAGTGTGGGTGTGTGCCCAAAGATGGCTTGATCAGCCTGAAGAAATAAATATTTGGGGCTAAGATTTTATTTGGTTCTCTGTTTTTCTAATCATAGTTTATAGAACACTGTGTAGTACAGTTAAAGTGAAACAGAAGTGTTAAATAGACTTGGGTTTTGATTTCTGGATCTGCCACTTGAAATTTGTTGGTAGCAGTGTTAAGCTGCAAGACATAAGCACCCCGGACCTCCCACTGACTTGATCAATAAAGAAATTAACTATCTCATATAACCAGACGTATGGAGACAGAAAATTCTCTAGGCGCACTTAATGAACATCTCAATGGTGTCCTCGAGAAGCCAAGGTCTTCCTGTCACTTGTCTACACAGACTTCAGTGTTGGCCTGATGATAATCCTGGTTCCTTTGTGGGTATAAGAGGGCTGCCAGCCATAAGTGGAGCTCTATGTTTTCTTATCCTAAGGGACAGGCAGACTATTGGATCTTAGGGAAATCACTGAACTACTCAACAGACTGCAGGGATTTGTTAGGAAAATTTAACAGTATAGTTGAAGAGACATCAGAACCAGGGAATAGGGGCATCTCTGTGTCTGGAGATTAACCTAGCACTGGAATTCTAGTTACGTAAGATAATAGGTTTTTAAAATAATAACACTTTTTGAATCCGTAGTTTTGTTACTTGCAGCTAAAAGCATGATACAAGAACAATTAGTTTGCTACACACAACTTGTAAGTGCAAACCCAGAGATCTAAGTCCAAGACTATTTGACTCTTGTGGCTCACTTTTAATCACTATGCTGTCTTGACAAATGATTAAGAATACAGAGAAGAAAGTTGTCACCTTTCTTCTTAAATTCAACCTGTGAATTTAAGATACCCTCCCCCCAAATAATCCAAAACTATCAGAATGGATGCAGCATTAATGTTTAAATAGCTTTTTCCAAAGCTTCAGAAAACCTGAAATTCAAAAGGATGCATTAATTATACTCAGAATTCATTTAAAAATTAAAGCAGGCACATAAATTGGTAATTTCTCTTCAAATTATAAGAATAACTATTAAAATATTACAATTATCCACACAAGAAAATTAGCAAATATTTATATCCAACCATGGAATAATTGGAGTGTGCTGTCATTTAAATCCAAATGAATCATGCCAATTTTCCAACATAATTTAATCATTTAATCTAATTTACTTTTTTACATCTCTTCAGGTAAATTTACCACGGTCTGTTAAATAGAAGCTTAAATAATAACAGAAGCTCCCCAAAGATGTCAAAAAGCTAATCCTTGCTATAGAGAATCTTCTCAACTGGAACATGTAGTTGTGTGGCAACCAGCTAATGCCTAATGATGCTCAGGAAATTAGTAGATTGGCCAATATGTTTCACAACATAATTCTTTTTTTTATTTAACTGGGAGCTGATTTCCTCATTCAAGGAAATTAGTACATCAAATAGGTTTTGGGGGTTTTGTTGTTTTTTGGAGGGGACCTGACAAAGTACTAGTCACTATAAGACATTAACTGTTGCTGGTATGGAGAATTCTTCTTTCCACTAAAGATATGTAACCCAATTTGTTTTTCCAGTAATTCTGGTTGTCAAGGGAGAACTTTGAGAACCATCTGATATCCCTACTCTCTCAGAGCCTGCATAATCCAAACTGTTCTTGTGCTTATTTTATTTTATTTTTTTGGCGGGGAGGAGCGGGTTCTGACTGTACTTCTCTCTCACATTTGTCTCCTTTTCTTCCTCATTGTTTGCCTGTATTTAGATTGTCATCAAATTAAATCACATCAAACTAGTCTCAAAATATCCAGATTAACATGAATTTTCCCCTTCCTCTCTCTTCTGTATTTATAAAATGAATATCAGCTGTCATCCTTCTGTTAAAATGCTTTAATAGCTTTATATTATTTAATTTCATGGAAAAAATAAATCGAGGATTCTCTTTGCTGCATTCCTCATTAAATGAGTTGGAGACAAATCCTTTCACTGCCTCTTGCTGGGGCTATTGTTCCTTGTGGAAAATCTGATCTCTGGAAGCATCCCTATTCTGCCCACTAGTGCAAGGAGAAAAAGACTCACAGGTGGTTCACATATGACAGAGTCCTGAAGAGGATAAGTTAGATCACATTCACCTTGGGACTTAGTCTTAAGAAATTCTTAATTCTTATTCTCTTCATGTTCCTTGGTGGTGTTCTCTCTCTCTCTCTCTCTCTCTCTCTCTTTTAAACTCACTATCTTTATCACTAGTGTGGAAAGATACTAATTGTGGAATTCCAGTTAATACTTAAGTTGAGGGCTGCCAAGGAGCCCATCAAATCAGCGCTTATTATTATGGCTCTCTTGGACTGACAACTAACATAGAGCAAAAAAAGTTCTTCCAGAAGTCTAAACCAGTCAAAGAGGGTTAAGTCGGTGGCTGAGGTAAAGGTCTAATGGTAATTAAGGTGGGAATTTGCTTAGTGTGCCTGTTATATGGTAATTTTCTTCGGAGACATCCAATGAGTTGACAGTGGCAACACAGGATTCTAGGATTGAGAAATTTTTATCTCTGGCCAAAGAGTCTTATTTGCTATGCTTAATTGATTAATATTTGAAATAGGAGGGAGGGAGTCTTGGAATGTGACCATGCTTTGTCTTTCTTAAAGCCATCTCCCCATTCTCTCCACTTACCCTGGTCTTTGGCAATACCTAAATAGTTCACTCTCTCACTCTTTTAGTAATATCTTTGAAAATACCATTCCCCTTTTCATATATGCTGCAAACAGCCAGAAAACTCCTAATCTTTAAAGACTCAATATAAATATTATTTTTCTCTGTAATCCTGGGGAGACTTTATTATAAAACATCTAATAAACAATTATCATTGTTGTTTAATTCTTCAGTATGCTGCAAACTCCTGTGTGTAATTACTATGTTCTGTCTTTGTACTTCCAAAACATAAGACAGGCCCTTAAGCTTAGTGCACTTATTGTGTTTAAAAACACAGGATTTGGAACCAGAAAGATGAGATTAGAATATTAGCTCTGCTATTTTTATCTTTGAAAATATTATTAAAACATTCTAAGCTGAATATTATCGTATTTTTGTTCATTAATGTATTCATTCTTTAGTCTTTTCTTTATCCAAGAAATATATTGAAAACCTACCAGCATTCATTCCAGTTAGATACGTGTGTGTGTGTGTGTATATATATATATATGAACAAGATGAAATTATGTAGCATATTATAAGGTGGTAGATTAATTAGAAAAATAAAAATCAGGAAAAGGCAGTGGAAGTCTTGATAGGTAGCAGATGGTAATTGTAAATAAAGTGGTCAGATAAGTCTCAGTGACAAGCTGACATGTAAGCAATGATTTTTAAAAGGTAAAGGATATCTAGAGAAGTGTATTCCAGGAAGAAAGAACAACAGTGAAAAGTTCCAAAGGCAGGATTTTGACCGGCACATGGGCGGTAAACCAAGGACACCAGCGTAGCTACAGCAAGGGGAGCTTGATTGTGAAGGGCCTTGAAGGCCATTGGAAAAGTTTGGTTTTTCACTCCTGTCATGATGAGAGGCCAATGCAAGGGCTAAAACAGAAGAGAGAGAGATAATTTTACATTTCAATATAATCTTCTAGTTGTTGTGCAGGAGAGAGACCTGAAAGGATATGATTGCAGTGTTTCAAACAGATGATGTAAATTGGATTGGGTCACGTTATAGAGGTAGTGAAAATTAATTATATCCTAAAGACTTTATGAAGGTAGTCTTAGGAGATCTGTGAATATTAAATGTGAGATACCTATGACTGGAGATACTGAGAAAGTGTCAGATTTACAAGTCTTAAGTTCAGTAGATAGACCAAGGCTAAAACAGTTCATGAAGAAGTTGTCAGAAAGTGAGTGATAGCTAAAGCCAAGAACTTTGATGAGATTACTGAAAAAGGGAATGTCAATAGATGAGAAAAAGCTCATGGGATAATTATGGGTATATGTAAATATTCACATCCATGGAGATGAGAAAGAAACAGTAACTAATGAGAAAAAGAGATGAAGGTTATAGAATAACTATCAGTGTGGTGTATTAGAAGCTGAATAAAGCATTTCAAAGATCAGGTAGTCAACAGTACTCTGTGCTATTGATAAGTCACAAAAGATAAAGACTAATAATTGACAAACAGACATGGGAACGTGAAAGTTATTGTTGACCTTGATAAGAGCAAATTTTGTGAAATAGTGAAAGACAGATGCTGTGATTCTATGAAGGGTTAATCAGACATGGTTCAAAAGATAAGAAAAGTAGCCTGTCTTTTGTATATATGTATACACATATATGAGTATATACAAACACACACGTATATATGCTAAAAGTTTACATACATATAAATTCACATATAATAAGTATACATTTATTTACGTATATTACCTTTTAAAAATGTGTGCACTGTTATGAAGGGGAACAAGTAAATGGGTTTGTGGTAGAAAGGGAATATGGAATTTCAGATACACACACACATACACACACACACACACACAAAGGGTGCAATGTCCTTGAATAGCTAAAAGATATTGGTATGTAACATACTACCCTCAAGTATAGTCAGAAAAAGATTCATCCTGGCCGGGCGCAGTGGCTCACGCCTGTAATCCCAGCACTTTGGGAGGCCGAGGCAGGCGGATCACGAGGTCAGGAGATCGAGACCATCCCGGCTAAAACGGTGAAACCCCGTCTCTACTAAAAATACAAAAAATTAGCCGGGCGTAGTGGCGGGCGCCTGTAGTCCCAGCTACTTGGGAGGCTGAGGCAGGAGAATGGCGTGAACCCGGGAGGCGGAGCTTGCAGTGAGCCGAGATCGCGCCACTGCACTCCAGCCTGGGCGACAGAGCGAGACTCCGTCTCAAAAAAAAAAAAAAAAAAAAAAAAGATTCATCCTTATTTATAAGTGAAAAGGTAGGCCAAGCATGGTGGCTCAAGCCTGTAATCTCCCCTCTTTAGGAGGCCGAGGTGGGCAAATCACTTGAAACTAGGAGTTCAAGAACAGCCTGGCCAACATGGTGAAACCTCGTGTCTGCTAAAAATACAAAAATTACCTGGGTTTGGTGGTGCGCACCTGTAATCCCAGCTACTGGGCAGGCAGAGGCAGGAGAATCACTTGAACCGGGAGGCAGGAGGTTACAGTAAGCCAAGATCGCGCCACTGCACTCCAGCCTGGGTGACAAAGACAGACTCTGTCTCAAAAGAAAAATATAATAAAATAAGTGAAAGGCAAACTATATGGCTTCAGAATCAGGTAGATGTGTATATGGTATTTAATCTTGCAGAAGTAATCATCCATATTTATTTTCTATTGTTGCATAAAAAAATTACCACAAACTTAGTTGCTTAAAAACGACACATAAATGTTCATTATCTCACACTTCCAACAAGTCAGAAATAGCTGCATCCAGTGCCTGGAGTCTCACCAGCCTGCAATCAAAGTGTCAGTCATGGCCGTGTTTTTTTCTAGGTCTTGAGGTATGTGTCCCAGCTCACATGGTGGGTGGCAGAATGTATTTCCTTATGCTTGCGGAACTCCTGACGGCTTGCTTCTTCAAAGCTTACAGTGAAGAGACAGATTCTCTGCTGCTTTGAGTGTATCTTCAGAGAAGGCCTAGACCGCTTTTAAAAACATACCCCTGATTAAATCAGACCCACCCAGGTAAGCGCCTATTAGATTAACTAAAACAAGTGTTCTCTCCACAAAAATGATAAGTATTAGATTGATGCAAAAGTAATAATTGCCGTTAAAAGTAATGGCAGAAACCGCAACTACTTTTGCACCAACCTAATATATGCAATAATGCATACATAAATTAGCTTAATATAGCCATTCCATAATGTATGCATATTTCAAAACAAGTTATACTTGATAAATACTGTATATACATTTTTATTTGTCAGGTAAGGAAAATAAATAAATTGGGGGAAAATCCAGTGATTAGAGATCTTAATGACAGCTGCAAAATCCCTTCACCTTTTCCTTATAATGTGATTGACATCCCGTTCCCTTCCCATTATTTTCCTTATTAGAAGTAGATCACAGATTCTGCCTATAGTCAAAGGAGGGGCCTATACAAGAGTGGGATTCCTTGTCGTATTAACCATGTCTTCTAATTGACTCTTTTCTAATTGACTCCTATTTCTGAGACAAATAGGATGCAAAGTTGACAGCTATGACTGAGCATTGGAAGGGGATATTAAGGTATGAGGAAAAAGAAAAAGGTCAGAAATAGTCATATGAAGAAGGAGGAGAGAGAATGACTGATTTTGTGTGTTTCCTAGGCAATGTTGGGGCCCACTTGAGATTGGTCATAAATTTGATGTGAACATAGTTACCATTATTTTGTGTTTTCTCTTAGTCACGTTAGGCTTTGTAAGTTTTATAAAATGGAGTAGGCGGAGAGTTAAATGATAACTTATGAGAGTACAGAAAAGTGAGGAGTGGGGAGGTTGCTGATCATGGGGATTTAGATTGTTATCTGAAGGATAAACTAAATTGATTTTGTTTTCTCTGAATACCTAAAATTGTACTTTCACCTAGTATTCATTCAAAAAATAATTACTGAGTTTAAATTAATGAATTTGAACCAAGTACAGTACTGTAAGTCCAATGAGTATTTATTACTTATTTGATTATAATCATCAATTCCTTTACCTATTGAGAAAAATCTCAAATAGATTTGTCTAGAATGTTCATAATATGTAATAATTATCGGCATATTAAACATTCGAGTATTTAATGGCATCTTTTAATAATAAAAACAGTTTATGTCTTTCAGATCTTTTTCTTATCCCAGGGTACTTTTAAAATGCCAATATGATGAATATGAAATATAATTAAAATGTCTCAAAATATATTTAGTCACTTTTACAAACTTGGTGTTAAAAAAAATCTGTATTCAAATCAGATATTGTTAACGTATATGTTTTGAATAGTTTTCTCCTCTTAGTATCTAAAACATCATTGTCTGAATGCATCTTTCGTATAGCATCTGAAGATGATGGCCCATGCAGAGTGCTAATGGTGATCAGCTGTGGGAGCTGGATCCCTCTAGGCAAATATTTAAAATGAATCTACTAAGCAAAGCATAGTATGTCACAATGCAGTGGGACGAGTAGTAGGAGTTTATTTATTGAGAGAACAAGGACAATCAGCTGAAAGTGCAACAGAGACGGAATATGTTTAAGAGCAGAAAAGAAGCAAGCAGGTCAAAGAGGTTTTAAGGTATTCATATACCGTCAATAGAGTTACTGAAGTCAAGCGCCTCGTTTAATACTTATATTAATAGTTTAAACTGTTAGGTAATGTCAAAATTTTTGCATCTAGAAAAACAACTTTCTAAATAATGCTCTAGTAACCCAAAAGACTTATATTCCACAAAGTTAATTTAATGTCACTAATGTAGTCACTAAGGCTCAACAGAATAGACTATCCTATTGAAACGGCAAAGTCTTGGCTTCACCTAGATGTAAAATGCTATCCTAATCTAATGCTCACAATCTATAACAACTATTAATTTTTAGTCTAGTATATGTGAGACTATACATTGCTCCATAATAATGTGTTTGGTTCGCATAATACCTGTAATAATTGCAAACAAAATGATGAAAAACAAAGAAATTGATAATTATTAATATTAATATTTTTTAAGTTCCTGAACAATAGTCATAAAACCAACTGAAAAAAATGGCATGGATGACGAAGAAAATACCTTATTCAAAAATCATGACACTAATGGGAGGGAAGGAAAAATTTAGAGAAAGAGAAAGCAAAACCACAGTGATTGTCTCCTAAAAAGAGCATTTAAAAAATTATAGGCAAAGAACAGATTTCTTTTCTGTTTCAAGAATTATAATTTATATAACTTGATACTGTAATTTTTTAGATCAAGCACACTTGATCATTTTCCTCATTTGTACTTTTTCTGCATGCTTGCCTGATACTTTTTATCATTTAATTACCTTATCAATCACTTTTCCTCTTTTAGTTCTTAAGTACTACTAAAAATCATCTTCACAGTGTTGGAAAGCAAAATTGATGTGCTCTTCTTCCATCTCTTTTTTTTTAACTAGCAAGGACTGAGCCCAACATAGCTTAAATTTTCTATTAGATTTTAACAGGGTGGTTAAGTGTTTATTAAACTTTCACCTTTCTAGCTTGTAGTTGTAGAAATCTAGTTGAAGAAATATAATTAAAAGAACAAAAATGAAAATGATGTATTAGAGCAATCAGAAGAAACTGAGCATGCCTCTAGTGGTTTAGTTTCTTAATTGCAGCCAACCAAGGACAAGCTAATAAAGAAACTTAAGAGAAACAGACAGAGAGACATACACATGCAGATGCAATTAATAATTTCAGGAAATTATTAATTTCTGGTTGGTTTACTATGATGATTCACAGACATATTTATAAGAAGTATAAGCAAATGAACTTCAATGCTTAATATTGCCACCCACAGATTTGTTATTTTTTTCTGTGGCTATTCAGTTTTGAGAGATAATTCATTTTGATGTTTCAGGGTCAGAAAATATGCTGAAATCATTGTTTTGTCTGTGTGGTTTATTTCAACAAATATTTAATTATTTTAAAATACCAGACACTAGGTAGGGGCTAAAGATTCCAAATAAAAAAATAGTGCACTTTGGCCAGGCCTGGTGTCTCACATCTGTAATCCCAGCACTTTGGGAAGCCAAGGCGGGAGGATCACCTGAGGTCAGGAGTTCGAGACCAGCCTAACCAACATGGTGAAATCCCATCTCTACTAAAAATACAAAAATTAGCCAAGTGTGGTGGCGCATGCCTATCATCCCAGCTACTCCAGAGGCTGAGGCAGGAGAATCGCTCAAATGCAGGAGGTGGAGGTTGCAGTGAACTGAAATCACGCCATTGCACTCCAGCCTGGTGACAGAGTGACACTCCGTCTCAAAAATAATAATAAATAAATTAAATAAAACAAATAAAATTTAAAAAATTAAATTTAAAAAAAGTGCACTTTAGAAGACTTGCCTTCACAGGGTACTTCAGATATCCTGGAGAGTATCTTGGAACAGAAAAACAGACCAAGGGAAAACTAGTAAAATTCATATAAAATGTTATGTTTAGTTAATAGAAATATACTGATATTGGTTCTTTGGTTATAACAAATGTACCACAGTAATATAAGATATTAATTACAAGGGAGACTGGGTGAGAGATCTAGACAACTCTCTGTCTTTGTAACTTTTCTGTAAGTCTGACACTATTCTAAAACATAAAGTTTATTTATAAAAAGGTATTAAAAGGTGGAAAGAAAGCTGAGACTTTTTATATAGTGGCAGATTAGCAATACTGTCTTCTGCAATAACCTGGAAAATAGAAAGTGTACCTAATAAACTTGTGGATATGGCTGAGAAAGTTTCCACGCAGAATACTACTCTTTTCTTTAAGTAATCAAAGAGAATAGAAAATGTCTGAAGAAAGAAATGATTTCATTCTTAAGTAGAATTTAGAAAAAATAAATAAGGCCTAACAATTTTTTTTCAGATAGCAAAATGGTTCTTGAATTAAGAAATGATCACAGGGTGAAAATCAAATCCGTGGTAATAAAATATGGTCTTAGTGGGAGTTAAAATGGATTCAAGGTGAAATTTTTAAATCCTTTGCAAGTGTTGAGAAAGTGTCCATTCATAAACCATTTTAGCCAGACAAAAATTCTGTAAAAATCTTAAAGGAAAACCTAACAGAACCTCACCACTAAGATTCTGTTAATCTGTCTAAATATCTGTTAAGATTTTCAGAATCTTAAATCCATTTTTTAACAACAGACTCACACCAGGTTCAAGGTAGGACATAGCCCTATCTTGAAGAATTTTTTCAGGTGTGATTATGAAATGGATAAAAATTTAAAATAGAAGATGTGCACAATTCTTTTTTTTTTTTTTTTTTATCTGGAGACAGAGTCTCTCTGTGTCACCCAGGCTTGACTGTAGTGGTGTGATCTTGGCTCACTGCAACCTCTGCCTCCTGGGGTTCAAGAGATTCTCCTGCCTCAGCCTCCCAGCTGGGATTACAGGTGCTCACCACCATGCCTAGCTAATTTTTGTATTTTTAGTAGAGATGGGGATTTGCCATGTTGGCCAGCCTGGTCTTGAACTCCTGACCTCAGGTGATCCACCCACCTTGACCTCCCAAAGTGCTGGGATTACAGGCGTGAGCCACTGTGCCCAGCCCCCTAATTTTGTTTTAATGAATTATGCATCAACTTCGAAAGGGGCAGCAGTAATGCAAATTTTAAAAAGGGCTATTGACCCTCAGTCTACCATGGGCAGAAAGCAGAATGAGAGAATTACTCAGTGTAAAGCGGGTTATTTCTTATGGAAAAAGAAAGATATTTCAGAGGGAATAATCAAGAATATGGAGGACATAGCAAAGAGATATGGTAATTTTTTTCCCAGGAGGCCTCATAAGAGATTCCAAACAAAGAACTGACATCATGGGCCCAGGTGAATTTCAGAATTTCTATGAGTCAGTGACTGCAGTGAGCTTTTTCACTTTCCCTTTTTGAATGGGAGTGTATATTAAAATTATTTTATTTCTCTCACACCATTGTATGGTCTTAAGATTGAGAAAAACCATACCCAATGTACTTCATTAGCGTCAGGAATTTATTTAGATGACAAAATCTTGGACCATGAATCTGAATCTGATATCATAATAGAATAAGCCTTCTGGCATTTTAAGAGGATGTCCATGTATTGTTCATGAGGAAAAATTGTAAATAATATGTGATTAGAAGGCAAACGCTGGCATATTAAAATTTTTCAATTAGTCCGGCTAACTCACTTGGTAGAACATGAGACTGTAAAAAGTGTTCAAGTTTTTTAATGATTTTTTTTATTTCCATAGGTTATTGGGGAACTGGTTGTTTGGTTACATGAATAAGTTCTTTAGTAGTGATTTGTGAGATTTGGGTGCACCCATCACTTGAGCAGTATACACTGCACCCAATTTATGGTCTTTCATCCCTCACCCCCTTCCCACCCTTTCCTCCTGAGTCCCCAAAGTCTATTGTGTGATTCCTACATCTTTGCATCCTCATAGCTTATTAGCTCCCACTTATGAGTGAGATAATGTGATGTTCGTTTTTCCACTCTAAGTTACTTCACTTAGAATAATAGTCTTCAGTCTCATCCAGGTTGCTGAGAATGCCATTAATTCATTCCTTTTTATGGCCGAGTAGTATTCTATCATATGGATATATATATATATATACACACCACAGTTTCTTTATCCACTTGTTGATATATGGACATTTGGGTTGGTTCCACATTTTTTCAATTGCAAATTGTGCTGCTATACACATGTGTGTGCAAATATCTTTTTTGTGTAATGACTTATTTTCCTCTGAGTAGCCACCCAGCAGTGGGATTGCTGGATCAAATGGCAGTTCTATTTTTAGTTTTTTAAGGAATCTCCACACTGTTTGCCATAGTGGTTGTACTAGTTTACATTCCCACCAGCAGTGTAGAAGTGTTCCCTTTTCACTGCATCCATGCCAACATCTATTACTTTTTGACTTTTTGATTATGGCTAATACCAAAACCAGGAAAGAACATAACCAAAAAAGAAAACTACAGGCCAATATCCATGAAAAACATGACGCTAAAATCCTTAACAAAATACTAGCTAACCAAATCTGACAACATATCAAAAAATAATAATAATCCATCACGACCATGTGGATTTCATACCAGCGATGCAGGGATGTTTTAACATATACGAGTCAATAAATGTGATAACACCACATAAACAGAATTAAAAACAAAAATCACATGATTATCATAATAAATGCAGAAAAAGCATTCAACAAAATCCAGGCTCTCTTTATGATTAAAACTGTCATCAAAATCGGCATACAAGGGACATATCTCAATGTGGTAAAAGCCATCTATGAAAAACCCACAGCCGACATAACACTGAATGGGGAAAAGTTGAAAGCATTCCCTCTGAGAATTGGAAAAAGACAAAGATTCCCACTCTCTCCACTCCTCTTTAACATCATACTGGAAGTCCTAGCCAGAGCAATCAAACAAGAGAAAGAAATAAAGGGCATTCAAGTAAGTAAAGAGGAAGTCAAACTGTTGTTGTTTGCTGATGATGTGATTGTTTACCTAGAAAACCCTAAATACTCCTCCAAAAAGCTCCTAAAACTGGTAAATGAATTCAGCAAAGTTTCAGGATACAAAATCAATGTACGCAAATCAGTAGCTCTACTATACACCAACAGTGGCCAAGCTGAGAATCAAATCAAGAACCCAACCGCTCTCACAATAGCTGTAAAAAAATAATAGTAAAATACTTGGGAATATACCTAACTAAGGAGGTAAAATACCTCTACAAGAAAAACTACAAAACAATGCTAAAAGAAATCATAGGTGACACAAACAAATGGAACACATTCCATGCTTATGGATGGGTAGAATCAATATTGTGAAAATGACCATAGTGCCAAAAGCAATCTACAAATTCAATGCATTCCCATCAAAATATCACCAGCATTTTTCACAGAATTTGAAAAAACAATCCCAAAATTCATATGGAACCAAAAAAGAGCCCGCATAGTCAAAGCAAGACTAAGAAAAAAGAACAAATCTGGAAGCATCACATTACCTGATTTCAAACAATACTATAAGGCCATAGTCACCAAAACAGCATGGTGCTGTTGTAAAAGTAGGCACATAAACCAATGGAACCGTGCCGCTGAATCTGTTCTGCAGACTCTGGCCAAGCGACGGATGACAGGAGTATGCTGACACAGGTATTTTACCTGACAGCGCGGCTAGGGGACTGCTGCTTAGCACCACCAACAAGAGTGCAGCAGTAGCAGCAGCAGCCCTCATAAGCCAGAGACGCTCGCATATATTTAGTACAGATTTAATAACAAAGGCTTGGTGCAAACACAATTTGTGGGTCATTAACACTGTCGACCCCCCTAGTAGAGAGCAGTCCTGGGGGCCAACAATCAAAGGTTGGTTTCTGGAGCATAAGTAAACAGATTTATCTAGATAAGTTCCTTTACATTTCCTTGTTATCTGCCCTTTGCTCTCAGCCCCCAGAGAAGAGAATTTGGCTGCCTTCAGCCATAATCCTTGCCGGAAGCTTTTGCAAAACCTCCCAGCCTTCCAAGAAGGTTTGCATCTTTCCCTGTAACTTTTTTTCTTACAACTTTTCCCACCACTCTGACCAAACTCCTACAGAACAGCATAGAGCACCCAGAAATCAAATACTTTCAGCCAACTAATCTTCAACAAAGCAAACAAAAACATAAAGTGGTGAAAGGTCACCCTATTAAACAAATGGTCCTGGGATAATTGGCAAGCCACATGTAGGAGAATGAAACTAGATTCTCATCTCTCAACTTATAAAAAAATCAACTCAAGATGGATCAGGGATTTAAATCTAAGATCTAAAACTATGAAAATTCTGGAAGATAACATTGGAAAACCCCTTCTAGACATTGGCTTAGGCAAGGATTTCATGACCAAGAAACCAAAAGCAAATGCAACAAAAACAAAAATAAATAGCTGGGACTTAATTAAATTAAAGAGCTTTTGCATGGCAAAAGGAACAGTCAGTAGAGTAAACAGACAACCCAAGAGAGGGAGAAAATCTTCACAGTCTATACATCTGACAAAGGACTAATATCCAGAATCTACAACAAACTCAAACAAATTAGCAAGAAAAAAGCAAGCATGCTAAGGACATGAATTGACAATTCTCAAAAGAAGATATACAAATGGCCAATAAACATATGAAAAAAATGCTCAGCATCAATAATTATCAGGGAAATACAAATCAAAACCATAATGAGATTTTTTTGATGATTTTTCTATTGAGAAAGCTCTATTGTGTCTTCCCTTAAATATGGGTAGGATCTGTGACAATTCTGGTCAATGGAATATGGTGGAAGTTGAGGCTCTGGAGAGTTCTAGACCCAGACCTTTACAGACTGTTATTTAACACTTACCGTCTCTCAAATCACTCACTCTTTAGGAAGCAAGACACTAGATACAAATTCCAGCCTTGTTGAGATTGCCATACTATGAAAAATTCCAAACTAGTAATGTGGTGTGACTCCCTGGAGAAAGAACAATGCTGCTCAGTCCCCAGCTATTCCAGCAATTTCATTCCAGGTAGCAGACAAGTAAGTGAAGGAGATATATGGGGTATTTCAGCCTCAGGAGATGCATAGTGGAGAAAAAAGACCCACAATATATGTACCTAATTGGGCTATTGTATCCATTTTCACATCTCTGAGACACCCCAGGTGTCATGGAGCAGACATTATGAGCCATTTCTACTGTAGCATGCTGAAATTCTGAATCATGTACATAATAAAAATGTTATCTCTTTATTCCACTGATTTGTGGAGAATTTTGTTAGGCAGCAACAGATAAATGGAAGACTACCTCATGCTATATAAAGTCATTAGAAAATTGTCTGCAACATAGTAATTATTTCATAACTGTTATATAAAAATAAAATAAGAATAATTTTTGCCCTCCTCTTCAATCTATGCTTACATCCAAGGAAGGATTGAGATTTTAGATGGCTTTTGAATGTCCAAATATCTATAAACTGGACCTCCTGTAATAATTTAATTTTCAGTAGGTTGACTTAGAATTTCTTTGTTGAGCAAATTTGCAGCTGAAATTTGCACCTCTGTAATTACAGAACTAGGTGAGAAATGCGAAGAATATTCAGATAAACAAAAAGTTTCTTTAGTATTTATGGTAGATAATAAAGATTATCATTTTCTAAGAGCAAACATACAGTTGGATATGGAAAATCTAAACTATGTCATTCTTATAACACTCCTCAACACCCCCTTTTATGTCTCAGCTTTCCACTGACAGTCATATGGATATAAATATATACAAATATGTCAGGAATAAACTATAAAATTGATTGAAGAGGACTTATGATGTTATAGTAATCTTAGAAATATATAAAATACTTGTGGCAATCTCTCTTTCTGAGTTTATTTTAGTCAAGAACATTTTATTCAAGTAAAGATTTGGTATTATGCCATGAGAGAAATACATCATGTGCCAAATAAAATTGCCTATGGCTATCTTATACAAAATAACTCTATTTTCTTTCAGCAATTCTAAGATACCAATAATCTCAACAAAAGAGATGGTTGGTCTTGAAAACCATGCCAGTGTGAACCTGGGAGGTGGAGCTTGCTGTGAGCCAAGATTATGCCACTGCACTCCAGCCTGGGCAACAGAGCGAGACTGTCTCAAAAAAAAAGAAAAAAGAAAAAAAAGAAAACCATGCCAGATTAATAAGATTTATTGACTCAAAGAGGGACTTGAGTTTATTCTACAATGGTTGACTAGTTTCTGACTTGAAGCAAGTTTATTTATTTATTCAATAAATACATTTAGCACGGTTATATGCTAGACTCTCTTCTAGACAGAAAAGAAATATTAGTAAAAAAGACAACATTCTTACTCCCATGGAGCTTAAGTACCAGTGAGGAAGAAAAACAATATAACAAATAAATAGGCATATAATGTAATGAAAAATACAATAGGTTCTATTATAAAAGTGAAGAAATATTAAAAGAATGAAGCAAGATAGAGATTTTATGCCATTTTAGATATCATGGTCAAGAGATGTGCTGCCATTTTAGATATGATGGTCAAATTGAAAACTTTTAGAGCAGTTGACATTGAAACAGAACCTTGTATTAGACAGCATAATATATATATGATATATATTAAGATATATATTATGTATTAAGATATATATAATATATATTAAGATATGTATAATATATATTAAGATATATATTATATATTAAGATATATATACACATATATATCTTATCTATACATATATATATATATATCTTAATATATGAAGACAAACCTTTCAGACAAAACAGAAGGACTTGCTATTCTTGGAAAACTGCAAGGGGGCCAGTGGGTCAGGAGCATAGTGATTAAAGGGAAGAGATATTATATGACAGCTAGGAGAGGTAACAAAAGCCAAGTCTTGTAAAGGCTTGAAAATAAAGGAAAGAATTTTGATTTTATTCTAAGGGAGGTTATCAATCAGTTAGACATTGCTATGTAATGTTGTAATCCAAAACCCCATGGCTTAAAGCACCAGGCATACTTAGCTCATAAACCTGCTGTTCATCTGGATAGTTTACCTCATTTTGGCTGGACTTTCTCATGTATCAGTGCTCAGCTAGTAGATCAGTCTGGGTGCTGGCTTTTCTAGGGTGGCCTCACCTGAGATTACTAGGGTGCAGTCCGTATGGTCTCTCATCCTTATAAGACTAGGCCTGTTCTCATAGCAAGTAAGGTTTAACAGTAAATTCATGGATGGGCAGAATGAATATTGTTAAATGACCATACTCCCAAAGTGGTCTACAGATTTAATGCAATCTCTATTAAAATATCAATTACATTCTTCACAGAAATTAAGAGAAAAACAATCGTAATTCTTACATGGAACCACAAAAGATCCCAAATAGCCAAAAGCAATCCTCAGCAAAAGAAAACAAAGCTGGAAGCATAATAGTACCTGACTTTAAAACATACTACAAAGCTCTAATAACCAAAACAGCATGGTACTTGCATAAAAATAGACATGTAGACCAATAGAACAGTAAACTCAAAAATGAACCCACATATTTACAGCCAAACGATTTTTGACAAAGATGCCAAGTACATATTTTGGGAAAAGGACAGACTTTCAATAAATGATGCTGGGAAATTGAATATTCGTATGCATAAGAATGAAACTTGACTCTTCCCTTTCACCATCTATAGAAATCAACTCAAAACCGAATAAAAACTGAATGTAAGGCTGAGCATGGTGGCTCACACTTGTAATCCCAGCACTTTGGGAGGCTGAGGCAGGCAGATCACTTGAGGTCAGGAGTTCAAGACTAGCCTGGCCAACATGGTGAAATCCCATCTCTACTAAAAATACAAAAATTAGCTGGGTGTGGTTGTGCACACCTGTAATCCCAGTTACCTGGGAGGCTGAGGCAGAATTGCTTGAACCCAGGAAGTGGAGGTTGCAGTAAAATGAGATTGCACCACTGTACTGGTGCAACAGAGCGAGACTCCCACTTAAAACAGAAATAAAAACAAACAACAAAAACAAAAAAAAACTTAATGTAAGACCTGAAACCTTGAAACTACTAAAAGACAACATAGGGTAAATGCTTTAAGACATTGGTCCAAAGAAAGATTTTATAGATAAGACCTCAAAAGCAAACGTAACAGAAGCAAAAATAGACAAATGGGATTATATCAAACTAAAAAGCTTCTGCACAGCAAAGGAATCAACAGAGTGAAGAGATAATCAGCATAATGGGAGAAAATGTTTGCAAGCTATTCATCCGACAGAAGAAACTCAAACAATCCATAGCAAAACCAAAAAATATCCAAATAATCAAATTTAAAAGAGGGACAAATAATCTGAATGAACCCTTCTCAAAAGAAGATAAACTCTAGCCAATAAATATGTAAAAATGCTCGAAAGCATCAGAGAAATGCATTTCAAAACCACAGTGAGATATCAACTCATCCTAGGTATAATGTCAATTATCAAAAAATGAAAAATTAATAAGTGCTGGCAAGGATGCAGAGAAAAGGGAGCCCTTATACACCTCTGGTAGGAATTAAAATTAGTACAGTGGTTATAGAAAATAGTATGGAGATCTCTCAATAAACTAAAAATAGAGCTACCATATAATCAGCAATCACACTCCTCGGTATATATCCAAAGAAAAGGAAATCAATATGTTAAAGAGATATCCATACTCCCATGTTTATTGCAATATTATACAATAAGGTAAATATAGAATCAACATAGGTGTCCATCAATAGATGACTTGATAAAGAAAATGTGGTGTATATACCCAATAGAATACTATTTGGTCACAAAAAAGAATGAAATCCTGTCATTCATAGCAACATGGATGAACCTGGAGAACATTATATTAAGTAAAAATAAAGCCAGGAACAGAAAAATAAATACTGTATGTTCTCACTCATATGTGGGAATTAAAATTGCTCTCATAGAAATAAAGAGTAGAACTATGGGTGTTGGAGGCTGGAATGGGTCTCAGGAAGAGATGGGTAATGAAAGTTTGAGTTAGAGACAATTCCAGCTAGACAGGAAGAATAAGTTCTAGTGTTTTTTAGCACGGTGAGGTGACTTTAGGCAGCAATAATTTATTGTACATTTTCAAATAGCTAGAAGAGAAGATTTTGAAGTTCCTAACACAAATAAATGAAAATGTTTGAGGTGATGGATATGCTAATTACCCTGATTTGATCATTACACATTGTGCACCTATAAGGTAATATCACACTATACATAAATATGTACAAACAATTATTATGAGTCCTTTAAAATAATAAAAATTTTTAAAAGCCTGAATGCAGAAAGCCAGAAGGCCTTGATGTCGCTTCTGATTCAAAGAATGGGAAGACAGACTCCACTTTTTGATGGCAGCAGCTGCAAAGTTACATTATACAGTGTATGGAAAAATGAAGAATTTAGATAATTTTTGTATTCTGTTGACAACAGGATGCCATAGGAAATTGAGAAAGTGGCATTGGAAGAAATGGTAAGTTTCTGATGAGTTCCATTTTAAATGTGTTGAGTTTGTAATTCCTATAGTATTTCCAAGTCATGATATCTAGGAACTGGTTAGAAATATACATCTTGATTTAGGAGGAGGGTTCTGAGCTGGATATAAATATCTTAGAGTTATAGAAATATGTTTTGTAAATAGAGCCCAAGATGTAATTGAGATCTTCCAGAGAAGGGTATATAATTAGCAAAGAAAAATGAGAGGAGACAAAAAGATTTGATGAGAGGAAAGGCCAAAGATATAATCTAGGTATATGAATAATTCTTAAACCAAACTTAAGTATATTTCTGTTTTATCATCTGCTTAGTCGGCTATAACAAAATACTGTAGGCTGAATGGATTAGACAACAGACATTGATTTCTCACAGTTGTGGAGGCTGGAAAGTCCAAGATCAATGCACCAGTGTATTCTGTTCCGATGAGGGCCCTCTTTCTGCCTTACAGACAGTTGACTTCTTCCTGTATCCTCACATGGTAGAGAGAGAAGGTAGGGGCCTCTGGCCTTCTCTCCCTCTTCTTATAAGGACAATGATTAAATCACGGGGTCCTTGCTCTCCTGACATCATCTAAACCTAAATACATTCTATAAGCCCCACCTCCAAATACCATCACACTGGGAATTAGGGTTTCCACATATAAACTTGGGGTTTAAAGGATGTAACATTAAGTCTATAGTAACAATATTGGAGGAAGGCAGGGAAAAATAAGCTGACAAATACTTAGTATTTATATATTGGTTGTGTCTGCTATAATAGAATAAAGTAGGCTAAGGGTAGAGTGACTAGAAAGGGGGATTCTATTTATGATAGAAGTCAGGGAAGACTTGTCAATACATTGTCATTTGTCTTCCTAAGTGATTTATTCTAGTTAATTACTATGTTTATAGATGTATAATATATGCTATATGGTATATATATCTTTTTCCTGAACTACAGCAGCTAACCCTGTGTCCATTCCTATCTCACTGGCATCCATTACTCTCAAAAGACGAATCTCAAAAAATAGAAAAAAGTTTGTCATTGTCGTTTTCTGACCACACCTGTTTTTTTGTCCACTCTCTTCTGTTTTCAGGACTCTATGTTGAAGTTTTTTTTTTCTTTAAATTTCAAGGACATTACATTTAATGTTTAGTATTCCTAAAATAAATTTTTTTTTAAATCTTTAAATTTCTACCTTCCTACAATGTAGGACTCTGTTCAAATGTCAATTCCCTGATCATCCTAGTTAAAGAAATCTCCATTTACACCACAGTTATTTCTCCACACCATAATCCTATTTTCCTTTTATTATAGAATTTATATTTATTTGAAATTAGACTATACATTTTCTTACTTTTTTTTGGCCTGTTTCCTTCAAAATAACATACATTCCACAGGGACACAAATTTTATCAGTATTCTCTCCTTTTTCTGATATGTTCTAGAGTTGAGAAGATATCTAGACCCTTATAGGTACTTAGTAAACATACACTTAGCAAATAAATAAATGACTGAGTCAACTGAATGATTTGGAAATGTAAGCCCTAATCTCATATTCCAGTTTAACCATGTACTTCACTGTACACTGGTGGGCTAGAAATGAAGACTACTGACCCTATCGTGTGACTGCGAGAATAACAAAACAAGCAAAAGAAGCCCTAAAAATCCAATTTAAAAGCTTCAGTCTTCTTTGGAAATTTCTCATTCACTGAAAATCTACTATGGTCATTTCAAAAACAGGATACAAGCTTATAATGCACAATTTTACAACCATTGAATGAGACAATTGATTTCAGGATTTATTTACAATATTTTATCAGCCAGTGATAGATACCATACGTCCTTACAATGTGTATAAGAGAAATGTGTGACCTTGTCAGCTCTAAAGTGATTTTTGAGGGTAGCCATTTTTCTTCCATGTGTTCTTCAATGAAAACCAAAGACTTTAATTTATTAAGCCTTCAGTGTTTCCTCCTAGTTCCAGAACAATCTTCTTGTACCATGATTACTCTGTGTTTCCACTGATTCTTTAGGTGATTTTCTTTGTTGATGTTAGAATAGAAGTTTTAGGCAAAATTATCTCCCAAATCATTTCCATCTGCAACACAGTTTAAAAATATACTTTTTGATCCACCAAAAGATGTTTAATACGTACCTACTATGTACTCAGCAAATGGAAATCGCCAAAACAAGAATTCAAAGATGCCTTTTATCTTTGTATTTACTACAAGCCTAATTTAGTCCCTTCAGTTTTCTTTTTTCTTTCATTTTCTTCTTTTTCTCTTCTTTTGTTTTAAATTGAGAACTGTAATGAGAACCACCATGTTCTGTTCTCTGTATTACTTTTATTTTTATTTTATAGAGTTGCTATGTTTTTCCATGTCTTTTTTCATTAGACTAAACAGACATAAATCATTTAAACTTTAACCACACCAAGACAATATTTGTAACTTCTCAACATTATTTGGCTGGCATCCTTGAGGCTTCAATAGTATGGTCTCTTCATCAAAAATATAGAATATCAATTTCAATAGATGTAGAAATCTTTATAGATAGCACATTTTTACAAATAAAAGTATGTGGAGAAGGTGATATAAAATTTGCATTGCTGCATCCTACACATTTCTCTGTGTGTGGATTGTTTTCTAAAATAAGACAATTGGAAAGTTTTCCAATGCCTGAGGAAATATAATAGATAGATACGTGTGAGGAGGTGATGATAACATCTTGTCAGCGATTTGTAACTGGCAGCTATATGTTCTTCATACTGCACTAAAAATGCCTAATATGAATGAAGTATTTTGAAGGGAAAAATCCATCATATTATCAATATAATATATTGGCTAAACATATAAGGTGATTGTAGAAATGAGAGTAATTTTTTTTTTTTTTTTTGATACACAGTCTTGCTCTGTCGCCCAGGTTGGAGTGCAGTGGTGTGATCTCAGCTCACTGCAAGCTCTTCCTCCCAGGTTCACGCCATTCTCCTGCCTTAGCCTCCCGAGTAGCTGGGAGTACAGGTGCCTGCCACCAAGCCCAGCTAATTTTTTTTTTTTTTTTGTATTTTTTAGTAGAGACGAGGTTTCACCATGTTAGCCAGGATGGTCTCAATCTCCTGACCTCGTGATCTGCCCGCCTCGGCCTCCCAAAGTGCTGGGATTACATGTGTGAGCCACCGCGCCCAGCTGAGAGTAGCTTTTTGAGTTAAAAATGAGGCACATAAATCTACTTCCTGATATTCAGTATTTCAGTTGTCATCTATTTATATTTTTCTCTTCAGACAATTTGGAAAATGCAGGATAAATTACAGGGTGAAAACAAAAGCCACTTAAAAGAAACAATCCTATGTATTGTTTGATGCATTTATATACACATTCACACATATTTTTTTAAATTGAGATTATATTGTTCATAACACACTTACATTTATTTTTTAAATTAATATCCTATCAGTAAATGCTGTTCAAAGTCAACATTGAGAAAATTATCTTTATTATTTATTATCTTACAATAGTACTAACTTTTCATGGTTAAAAATATTGTTTTTTTCAGTTTGAGACCTTTCTCTTCCTTTTTATATTTTTCTATCAAATAATCTGTAATTGATTAAGTTTGCAGTATATATTTTACCATAACCAATCCACTCAACATTATAGACTGTATTAGTTCATGCTATAAATAACTGAGTAATTTAAAGAAAAGACGGTTTAAATGACTCACAATTTCGCATTGCTCAGGAGGCCTCAGAAAACTTACAATCATGGCAGAAGGTGAAGCAAACACATCCTTCTTCACATGGCAGCTGGAGAGAGAAGTGCAGAGTGAAGGGGGAAAAATCCCTTATAAACCCATCAGAGCTCATGAGATCTCGTTATAAAAATAGTAATAATCAATACAATATATTTTATGTAAAATGGGCTAATACAATTTCCGGTTTCCAGACTACCCATTATCCATTTTTGTTGTTTTTCCTCTTCATTCCCTCAACTTTGTACACTGGTGGTTTTAGATACTGCTGCAGAATCACTGACCAGGTTGACTGATCCCAACTTTTGTTGTTGTTTCTTTGTTTTAGATTTGCAGATACAAATGCAGGGTTGTTACATAGATACATTGCATGAAGCTGAGGTTTGGGCTTTTATTGATCTCACTCACTATTAGGAGAACAGCATGGGGGAAACACCCCCATGATCTAATCACTTCCCACAAGATTCCACCCTCAACATGTGGGGATTACAATTCGGATTACAATTCAGGATGAGATTTAGGATGGGGATACAGCTGAAGCATATAATAGAACTTGCAGATCGATATATCCAGTATAATGTGATATTTTGGAAAAAAAAATCTGATTATCCCAAGTGCCTTAAAGACAAATACATCCTTTCAACTAATGAGGACAAAAATCTTGGAGTAGTCTTTTTCCGTTTTTTATTCCATACCTTAGCTCAAATCTATCTTCCAATGCTGTTAATTTTATCTTCAAAAAGTGTTCAGAATCCAACCACTTCTCACAGCCATTCCACAGCTAACTAACATTCTCAACTGATTTGCCATCATCTTTTGTCTGGTATACTCAAAAGAACCCAACTTTTTTCAGTCTATGCTTTTCACAGAAACACTGAAGTAATACTTTAAAAAACAGGGGGCACTCCTCTGCACAAAATCTTTCCATAACTTTCTATCCTTCTTAGGGTTAAATTCAACCTAAAACTTCCTTCTTAAACATTTTCCATCTTCAACTATGTATCCAATTGAATACAAACAAATAATAATTATACTATAAATAGTAATAATCAATAAAATATTTTTCTTTAAAATAGGCTAATACAGCTTCTGGTTTCCAGGCTATTGTAATTTTTGCTGTCTATTCCCTCAACTTTGTACACTGGTGATTTTAGATACTGCCTCAGAATCACTGACTAGGTTGACTGATCCCAAGTTTTTTGTTTGTTTTAGATTTGGGGGTACAAATGCAGGATTGTTACATAGATCTAGTGCATGAAGTTGAAGTTTGGGCTTTTATTGATCCCATCACCCATATAGTGAGCGTAGTATCCAGTAGGTAGTTTTTTCAGCCCTTTCCTACCTCCTTCCCTACCCTCATTTGGAATCCCAATTGTGTATTTTTTACATATTTATGTCAATGCATACCCAGTGTTTAGTCCCCACTTGTGAGTGAAAACTTGCAGTATTTGATTTTCTGTTTTTATGTTAATTCACTTAGGATAATGGCCTCCAGCTGCATCCATATTCCTGCAAAGAACATGATTCTGTTCTTTTTTTATGGCTATTTAGCATTCTAGCATTCCATAATGTATATATACCACATTCTATTTATTCTGTTCAGCATTTGTGGGCATCTAGGTAGATTCCATGTTTTTGATATTCCATGTTTTTGATATTGTGGATACTGTTCTGATAAACATATTGGTGCAGATTTCTTTCTGGTAAATCATTTGTTTTCCTTTAGGGATATACCCAGTGATAGGATTGCTAGGTCAAATGGTAGTTCTACTTTCTGTTCTTTGAGAAATCTCCAAACTTCTTTCCACAGCGGCTGAACTAATTTACAGTCCCACCAAAGGTGTATGTGTTCCCTTTTCTACTCACCTTTGCCATCATCTGTTGTTATCGGACTTCGTTTTCTTTTCTTTTCTTTTCTTTTTTCTTTTTTTTTTTTGAGACGGAGTCTTGCTCTGTTGCCCAGGCTGGAGTGCAGTGGTGCAATCTCGGCTCACTGCAAGCTCTGCCTCCCGGGTTCACGCCATTCTCCTGTCTCAGCCTCCTGAGTAGCTGGGACTACAGGTGCCCGCCACCACGCCCGGCTAATTTTTTTGTATTTTTAGTAGAGACGGGGTTTCACCGTGTTAGCCAGGATGGTCTCAATCTCCTGACCTCGTGATCCGCCCGCCTCGGCCTCCCAAAGTGCTGGGATTACAGGCGTGAGCCACCATGCCTGGCCCTGACTTCTTAATAATAGTCATTCTGGCCCATGTGAGATAGTAGCTCATTGTGGTTTTGATATACATTTCTCTGATTATTAGAAATGGGGAGCATTTTTCCACGTATTTGTTGGCCACTTGTAAGTCTTCTTTTCAGAAGTGTCCGTTCATGTCCTTTGCCCTCTTTTAATGGGGTCATTTGTTTTCTTCTTGTTGATTTAAGTTCCTTATAGATTTTGTATATTAGTTCTTTGTCAGGTGCATAGTTTGAAATTATTTTTTCCATTATTTAGATTGTCTGTTTACCCTGTCAATAGTTTCTTTTGCTTTGCAGAAGTTCCTTATTAGGCTCCTATTATTATCAAGTTTTGTTCTTGTTGTATTTGTTTTTGAGGACTTAGTCATAAATTCTTTGTCTAGGCCAATGTCTGGAAGGATATTTTCTGGGTTTTCTTCTAGGATTTTTATGGTGTGCGGTCTTATATTTGTTTAGTTCATCATGAGTTAAATTTTGTATACAGTAAGAAGTAGAAGTCTAGTTACATTCTTCTGCATATGGCTAGCCAGTTTTCCCAGCACCATTTATTGCATAGGATGTCTTTCCTCATTGTTAATTTTTGTCAACTTTGTCAAAGAATAGTTGCTTATAGATGTGAGGCTTTATTTCTGGGTTCTCCAACCTGTTCCATTAGTCTAGGTGTCTATTTTTGTATCAGTATAATACTGTTTTAATTATTGTAGACTTGTGGTATAGTTTGAAGTCAGGTAATGTGATGCCTGTGACTTTGTTCTTTTTGCTTAGGACTGTTTTGGCTATTTGGGGTCTTTTTTGGTTTCATATGAATTTTAGAATTATTTTCTCTATTATGTGAAAATGACATTGGTAATTTGATAGGAATTGCATTGAATCTGTAGATTGCTTTGAGCAGTGTAAACATTTTAATGGTATTGACTCTTCCAATCATGAGCATGGAATGCTTTTTCACTTGTTCGTGTCATCTATTATTTCCTTCATCAGTGCTGTGTAATGCTCCTTGTAGTGATCTTTTACTTCCTTTGTTAGATGTATTCTTATGTATTTTTTGTGGCTATTTTAGTGGTATTACTTTTTTTGGAACTCAGTTTGAATCTTATTGGTGTATAGAAATCCTACTGATTTATGTATGCAAATTTTGTATCATGAAATGTCACTGAAGTTGTTTATCAGGTCTAGGAGTCTTGGCAGAATCTTTAGGTTTTTCCAGGAATAGAATCATATAGTCAGTGAAGAGAGATAATTTGACTCCATCTTTTCCTACTTGGATGTCTTTTATTTCTTTGTCTTGCCTAATTCCTCTGGCTATGACTTTCATTACCATGTCGACTAAGGGTGGTGAGAGTCGGGAGAGAGGCCATTTCTCTTATTGTCTCCTGTCTCTGAAGAGAAGGAGGAAGTAAAAGCTGAAAAACAACAGGAATGAAGTCAGTGGCAAGACCAACCAGCACCACTGACCAGGCCTGAGGTTAAAGATTAACCCCCAACTCTAACCACATGTGTTATCTATAGATCACAGACAATGGTATGGAGAAATACTTGCCCTGCTCACCACCACTGCTAACGTATGTGGACATAGTCATGTACCCCATGCTTGCTCAATCAATCACAACCCTTTCACATGGACCCCCTTAGAGTTGTAAGCGCTTGAAAGGGCCAGGAACTTTTTCTTCGGAGAGCTCGGTTCTTGAGACACAAGTCTGCCAATGCTCCCGGCCAGATAAAGCCTCTTCCTTCTTTAACCCTGTATCTGAGGGGTTTTGTCTGCAGCCCGTCCTGCTACATTTCTTGGTTCCCTGACTGGAAAGCGAAGTGATTGACTGACAATCGAGGCAGCCCCTTAGGTGGCTTAGGCCTGCCCTGTGGAGCATCCCTGCAGGGGACTCCAGCCAACTTGAGCGACGTGGATCCTGAGAGGGCTCCCAGGTAGGCATTTGCCCTGGTGGAAAGCCTTGTTAGAAGGGTGCATGGCGGACACCCATGGAGGATCAGCACAGCGGGTGAACACCAGGAAGGAACCAGAGCTTGGAGTCCGGACATCTGGAACACAGTAGGACCAGTCCTGGGAACTTGCCCACTCCATTTGAGTGGAAGTGTGGCCTCATCACACACGGTGTGCCCGTATCAGCACTTTGGTCTCAGTTTTGATTTTGATTTGGCTTGACTTGTTTGCAGAAAGGAAAGTGAAAGTGAGTGAGTGCTTGTGTTTGAGATGGGCGAGGTGAGTGAGTGACCCCTTTACCCTTTCCTTCTTGCAGTGTGAGTGTCATTTTGTCTCAGGAGGAAGATGGGTGGGACGCAAAGTAAGCCCACTCCATTAGGAACTATGTTAAAGAATTTCAAGGAAGGATTTCATGGAGACTATGGAGTTACTATGACTCCAGGAAAACTTAGAACTTTGTATGAAATAGACTGGCTGGCATTCGAGGTGGGGTGGCCATCAGAGGGAAACTAGACAGGTCCCTTGTTTCCAAAGTATGGCACAAGGTATCAGACAAGCTGGGGCACCCAGACAAGTTTCCATACATAGACACCTGGTTACAGCTGGTATTAGACCCACCACAGTGGTTAAGAGGACAGGCAGCAGCAGTACTAGTGGCAAAAGGACAGACAGCCAGGGAAGGATCCCGCTCCACCCACCAAGGGAAATCATCTCCTAAAGTTCTCTCCGACCCAGCATCAGAGGACTCATTGCAAGAAATGGCACTGGTGGTGCCCCTCCCCACCCACTGGGAAGAGAGACTCCCTGCTCCTGAGCCCACGGCGCCCGCGCTTCCACGATGCCCACACACCCCTAGGCCACCCAGAGTAGGAAAGAGAGGATGGGAGGCCTTGGGAGAGATTCCTCTCTTGGCAGCTTATTTGCGACCTAAGACCAGGATACAAACGCCCCTGAGAGAGCAGCAGTATACTGGGATAGATGAGGATGGGCATATGGTGGGAAGGTGTGTTTCTGTGTACTGGCCCTTCACCTCTGCCGATCTCCTCAACTGGAAAAGCAATACCCCATCCTATACCTAAAAGCCACAAGTTCTAATTGATTTACTCCAAACTGTTATCCAGACCCACAACCCTACCTGGGCTGATTGTCACCAGTTGCTCATGTACCTCTTTAACACAGATGAAAGGAGGAGAGTGCTCCAAGCAGCAACTAAGTGGCTGGAAGAATGTGTTCTGGCTGATTACCAAAACCCCCAAGAGTATGCGAGGGCCCAACTACCAGGAAGAGACCCCCAGTGGGATCCGAATGTGAGACAGGACATGCAAAGACTAAGTCGATACAGAGAAGCCCTTTTAGAGGGGCTAAATAAGGGAGCTCAGAAGGCCACAAACATTATCAAGGTCTCTGAGGTCATTCAGGGAAAAGAAGAAAGTCCAGCATGATTCTACGAGAGACTGTGTGAGGCCTATCATCTGTATACTCCCTTTGATCCTGATAGCCCCAAAAATCAGCACATGATTAACATGGCTTGAGTTATTCAAAGCACCAAAGACATTAGAAGAAAACTGCAGAAACAGTCTGGGTTTGCAGGCATGAATACTTCACAGTTATTAGAGATAGCCAACCAGGTGTTTGTGAACAGAGACGCAGAAAGCCGTAGAGAGAACCGCAAAAAAAAAAAAAAAAAAAAAAAAAAATGAGCGCCAAGCCCAGTGAAATGCCAACTTGCTAGCCACAGCTATTAGAGGGGTCCCCCTGAAGGGGCAAAATAAGGGGGGCCCCGGGGAAGATATGCAGTCTGACTGTCCATGTTTGCAGTGTAACCAGTGTGCTTATTGTAAAGAAATGGGACACTGGAAGAATAAGTGCCCTCACCAAAAAGGAAAACAAGGCTCAGAGCAAGAGGCCTCAGACAAGGATGAAGGGGCCCTGCTCAATCTGGCAGAAGGGTTACTGGACTGAGGGGGACTGGGCTCAAGTGTCCCCAGGGAGCCCATGGTCAGAATGACAGTTGGGGGCAAAGACATTGATTTCCTAGTCAATACTGGTGCTGAACATTTAGTGGTGACCACCCCAGTCACCCCCTTATCCAAAAAGACTATTGATATAATTAGAGCTATGGGGGTTTCAGCAAAGCAATCCTTCTGTTTGCCCTGGGCCTGTACTGTAGGGGGATACGAAGTGATTCACCAGTTCCTATACATGCCTGACTGCCCCTTGCTTTTTCTAGGAAGGGAGTTACTTAGCAAGCTGAGAGCCACCTTCTCTTTTACAAAGTACAGCTCTTTACAGCTAAAGTTACCTGGAACAAGGGTCATCATGGCCCTCATGGTTCCTCGGGAGGAGGAATGGAGACTCTTCTTAACAGAGTCAGGCCAAGAGATAGGACGAGCCCTGGCTGAGCGGTGGCCAAAGGTGTGGGCAGAAGACAACCCCCAGGGTTGACAGTCAACCAAGCCCCCGTACCCATAGAAGTTAAGCCTGGGGCCCAGCCGGTCAGGCAAAAACAGTCCCCAGTCCCCAGAGAAGCTCTTGAAGTTATCCAGCTCCATCTCATGCACCTGAGGGCCTTTGGAATTGTGGTCTCTTGTCAGTATCCCCTCCTGCCTGTTCCCAAGCCAGGGGCAAGGACACATTCCGGTACAGGATTTGCGCTTGGTCAACCAAACTACAGTGACTTTGTATGCAGCAGTACCTAACCTGTACACGTTGTTAGGATTGTTGCTAGCTGAGGATAGCTGATTCACCTGTCTGGACTTGAAAGATGCTTTCTTTAGCATCAGACTAGACCCTGAGAGCCAGAAACTGTTTGTCTTTCAGTGGGGTCAGGTGTCACCACTCAGTACACTTGGACCCGGCTCCCCCAAGGGTTCAAGAACTCCCCCACCATCTTTAGGGAGGCGCTGGCTCGAGACCTGCAGAAGTTTCCCGCCAGAGGCCTATGCTGCATGTTGCTTCAGTACGTTGACGACCTCCTGCTGGGACACCCCACAGCAGTCGAGTGAGCCAAGGGAATGGATACCCTGCTCTGGCACCTGGAGGACTTTGGGTATAAGGTGTCCAAGAAAAAAGCTCAGATCTGCTGACAGCAGGTACGTTACCTGGGATTTACTATCTGATAGGGAGAGTGCAGCCTAGGATCAGAAAGAAAGCAGGTCATTTGCAATCTACCAGAGCCTAAGACCAGAAGGCAGGTGAGAGAATTCTTAGGAGCTGTGGGATTCTGCAGGTTGTGGATCCCAAACTTTGCAATACTGGCCAAGCCCCTGTATGAAGTCACAAAGTGGGGCGACAAGGAACCTTTTGAATTGGGGTCCCAACAGCAACAAGCTTTTCATGAGTTAAAAAAAGAAACTCATGTCGGCCCCAGCCCTGGAGCTGCCTGACCTGACAAAGCCATTTACACTATATGTGTCATAGAGAGAAAAGATGGCGGTTGGAGTTTTAACCCAGACTGTGGGGCCTTGGCTGAGGCTGGTGGCCTACCTCTCTAAACAACAAGATGGGGTTTCTAAACATTGGCCCCCATGTTTGAGGGCCTTGGCAGCAACTTCCCTGCTAGCACAAAAAGCGGATAAGCTGACTCTTAGGCAAAAGCTGGACATAAAGGCCCCCCATGCTGTAGTGACTTTAATGAATACCAAAGGACATCATTGGCTAAGGAATGCTAGAGTAACTAGGTACAAAAGCTTGCTCTGTGAGAATCCCCGCATAACCATTGAAGTTTGCAATACCCTGAACGCTGCCACCTTGCTCCCGGTATCAGAGATCCCAGTTGAACATAACTGTGTAGAAGCATTAGACTCAGTTTATTCTAGCAGACCTGACCTGTGAGACCAGTCTTGGACATCGGTAGCCTGGGAGCTGTATGTGGACGGGAGCAGCTTCATCAACCTACAAAGAGAGAGGTGTGTGGGATAGGCAGTGGTAACCCTGCACGCTGTCATTGAAGCCAAACCATGGCTCCAGGGTACTTCAGCCCAGAAAGCCGAACTCATTGCTGTAATTCGGGTCTTAGAGTTAAGTGAAGGTAAGACTGTAAACATTTACACTGACTCTTGGTATGCCTTTTTAACCCTCCAAGTGCATGGGGCATTATACAAGGAAAAAGGCCTGTTAAACTCTGGGGGAAAGGACATAAAACATCAGCAAGAGATCCTGCAACTATTAGAGGCAGTGTGGAAGCCCCAAGGGGTGGCAGTCATGCACTGCGGAGGACACCAGTGAGCTTCTACCTCAGTTGCTTTAGGGAACTCCCGAGCTGGCTCAGAGCCTTGAAAAGCTGCATCCACCCCCTACCGGGCATCAGTCACAGCCCCCCTGCTCCCTCAGGTACCTGACCTTGTGCCTATTTATTATAAAGAAAAAAAGGAGTTTCTCCAGGCAGAGGGAGGACATGTGGTAGAGGAGGGATGGATCCAGTTGCCAGATGGAAGAATAGCTGTGCCACAGCTGCTAGGAGCCGCAGTTGTACTGGCTATACATGAGATTACCCATCTAGGCCAAGAGTCACTTGAAAAGTTGTTAGGTTGGTACTTCTACATCTCACATCTGTCAGCCCTTGCCAAGACAGGGGTGCAGCAGTGTGTCACCTGCCAGCAGCACAATGCTAGGCAGGGTCCAACCATCCCGCCTGGCATACAAGCTTATGGAACAGTAAGATCTCCAGGTAGACTTCACTGAGATCCCCAAATGTGGAGGTGATCGATGAGGATCAAGAACTGGAACGTAGCCCCTTGCGGCCACGGTGGAAAGGCTTGACCACTCCGACAGCTGTGAAGGTAGAGAGAATCCCAGCCTGGATCCACCACAGCCACGTGAAACCTGCAGCATCTGAGACCTGGGAGGTGAGACCAGACCCAGACAACCCTTGCAAAGTGACTCTGAAGAAGACGACAAGCCCTGCTCCAGTCACACCTGGAAGCTGTCTATACATGGCCAAAGCATGAGGAAACTCATCGTGGGACTCATTTTCCTTAAAATTTGGACTTGTACAATAAGGACTTCAACTGACCTTCCTCAGACTGAGGACTGTTCCCAATGCATACATCAAGTTACTGAGGTAGGGCAAGAGGTTAAAACAGTCTTTCTGTTTTATAGTTATTATGAATTTACTGGAACTCAAAAAGGGACTTGTTTGTATAATGCCACTCAGTACAAGGTATGTAGCCCAGGAAGTGACCAGCCTGATGTGTGCTATAAGCCATCTGAGCCCCCTATGACTACAGTTTTTGAAATAAGATTGAGGACTGGCAACTGGGGAAAAACTGACACAAGTAAAGTAATAACTAGAACAGAAGAAAAAGGAGTCCCCAAACAAATTATCTTAAAAGTTGATGCCTGTGCAGCAATCAACAGTGACCCGTATGGAAATGGAATAATATGTGGCTTTCTGGATTGGGAAAGGGACTATATAGTAGAAAATAAGTATGTTTGTCATGAATTAGGACTGTGTCATAATGAATGTAGTTACTGGTCCTGTGTCATTTGGGCCACCTGGAAAAAGGATGCAAACAACCCTGTCCACCTTCAGAAAGGGAAGGACAATCCCTCCTGCACCACTGGTCATTGTAACCCATTAGAACTAATAATTACTAACCCTTAAGACCCTCACTAGAGAACAGGAGAATATGTAACCCTAGGAATCGATGGGGTTGGGCTCGACCCCCGAGTTAGTATTTCAGTCCAAGGGGAGGTATACAGGTGCTCTCCCAAACCAGAGTTTCAGACCTTTTATGATGAGCTGAATCTGCCAGTGCCAGAGCTTCCAAAAAAGACAAAGAGCTTGTTTCTCCAGCTAGCTGAAAATTTAGCTCATTCCCTCAATGTTACTTCCTGATATGTATGTGGAGGAACCACTATGGGAGACTGATGGCCTTGGGAAGCCGGAGAACTGGTGCCTACTGATCCAGTTCCTGACCTAACTCTATTCCAGAAGGCCCAAACTAGCAACTTCTGGGTCTTAAAGAGTTCCATTATTGGGCAATATTGCATAGCTAGAGAAGGGAAAAACTTCACCGCCCCTGTGGGAAAGCTCAGTTGCCTAGGACAAGAGCTGTATAACAGCACAGCAAAGATAGTCACCTGGTGGGGCCTAAACCATACTGAAAAGAACCCATTCAGTAAGTTTACTAAGTTGCAAACTGTTTGGGCCCATCCAGAATTTCATCGGGACTGGACAACTCCCGCTGGACTGTATTGAATGTGTGGGCATAGAGCCTACACCAAATTACCTGACCAATAGGCAGGGAATTGTGTCATTGGCACCATTAAGCCATCCTTTTTCCTGCTACCCATAAGGACAGGTGAGCTTCTAGGTTTCCCTGTCTATACCTCCCAAGAGAAAAGAAGCATAACCATAGGTAATTGGAAAGATGATGAGTGGCCCCCTGAAAGAATTATGTAGTACTATAGGCCTGCCACATGGGCACCAGACAGCTTGTGGGGATACCAAAACCCCATCTAAATGCTCAACTGGATCATACGGTTACAGGTTGTTTTAGAAATAATGACTAATGAAACTGGCAGAGCTTTGACTCTTTTAGCCCGGCAGGAAACCCAAATGAGAAATGCCATCTGTCAGAATAGATTGGCCCTAGACTGTTTGGTGGTAGCTGAAGGAGGAGTCTGTGGAAAATTCAAATTGACCAATTGCTGTCTGCAAATATGTGATCAAGGACAAGTAGTTGAAAATATATTCAGAGACATGACAAAGTTGGCACATGTGCTTTTGCAGGTTTGGCCTGGGTTTGATCCTGCATCCCTGTTTGGTAAATGGTTTCCAGCTATAGGAGGATTCAAAACTCCTATCATAGGTGTATTATTAGTGCTAGGAACTTGCTTGCTGCTTCCCTGCTTGCTACCCTTGCTCCTTCAAACAATGGAAGGCTTTATTACCACCTTGTTCATCAAAAGACTTTGGCACAAGTGTATTACATGAATCACTATCGATCTGTTTGACAGGAAGACCTGGGTAGTGAAGACGAGAGTGAGAACTCTCACTAGTAAGTGAGGTTCTCAAAGTGGGGAATGAGGAGCGAGACCATTTCTCTTACTGTCTCCTGTTTCTGAAGAGAAGGAGGAAGTAAAAGCTGAAAAACAACAGGAATGAATTCAGTGGCAAGACAAACCAGCACCACTGACCAGGCCTGAGATTAAAGATTAACCCCCATCTCTAACCACATGTGTTATCTATAGATCGCAGACAATGGTATGGAGAAATACTTGCCCTGCTCACCACCACCACTAACGTATGTGGACATAGTCACATATCCCATGCTTGCTCAATCAATCACGACCCTTTCACGTGGACCCCCTTAGAGCTGTAAACCCTTAAAAGGGCCAGGAACTTTTTCTTCAGGGAGCTTGGTTCTTGAGATGGGGGGTTTTGTCTGCAGCCTGTCCTGCTGCAAGAGTGTGCATCCTTGTCTTGTTCCGGTTGTTAAGGGGAATGCCTACAACATTTCCCCATTCAGTATGATGTAGTTTTGTCATAGATGGCTCTTCTTATTTTGAGGTGTGCACCCTTAATGCCTAGGTTGTTGAGGGTTTTTATCATGAAGGGATTGTTGGATTTTCTTGAATTCCCTTTCTTTGTCTATTGAGATGATTCTGTGGTTTTTGTTTTTAATTCCACTTATGTGCTGACTCACATTTGTTGATTCACTTATGTTGAAACATCCTTGCATCCCAGGAATAAAGCCCATTTGATCATGGTGAGTCATTTTTGGTTGTGGTGCTGGAGTTGGTTTGCTAGTATTTTATCGAGATTTTTTGCATCTATATTCATCAGGAATATTGACCTGTAGTGTTCTTTTACTGTCATGCCTTTGCCAGTTTTTTGGTATCAGGCAATTATTCAATTGATAGAATCAGATAAGAAGTAATCCCTTCCCTTGAATTTTTTGAATAGCTTCAATAGAATTGGTACCAGCTCTTCTTTGTATGTCTGGTAGAATTTGGCTGTGAATCCACCTGGTACAGGGCTTACAAAAATTTTTTTAATATATTTTTTTGGTTGGTAATTTTTTTGTTTGTTTTTGTTTGTTGTTTGCTTTTTACTGATTTGATTTTGTGACCTGTTATTGGTATGTTCAGGCCTTCAATTTCTTCCTGATTCAATATTGTGAGGTTGTATCTTCTAAGAATGTATCAATTTCCTCTATATTTTCTAGTGTGTGTGCGTAGAGGCATTCACAGTAGTCTCTGACCATCTTTTATATTCTGTGGAATCAGTTGTAATGTCATATTTGTCATTTCTGATTGTGCTTATTTTGATCTTACCTCCTTTTTTTGTTAATCTAGCTAGCAGTCCATCAATCTTGTTTATCCTTTCAAAGATCCAACTTTTTGTTTTGTAGATTCTTTGTCTAGTTTTTATAGTCTCAATTTCATTGAATTCTGCTTTGATTTTAGTCATTTTTCTTCTGCTAGTTTGAGGTTTCTTTTTGCTTTTTCTAGTTCCTTTAGGTGTGCCATTAGGTTATTGAGATCTATCTTCTTAATGTTGGTGTTTAGTACTGTAAAATTTCCTCTCAAGACTGCTTTTGCTGCATTCCAGAGGTTTTGATATGTTGTGTCGCTGTTTTCATTTATTTCTGCCTTATTTTTTTTGTTCACCCAGAAGTCTTTCAGGATTAAATTGTTTAGTTTCCAGGTATTAGGGTTCCTCTTGGTATCGATTTCTATTTTTATCCCACTGTGGTCCAAGAAATTGCTTGGTATGGTTTTGATTTTTTTAATGCATTGAGAATTGCTTTATGACTAAGTGCACACTCAATCTTAGAAAATGTTCCATATGCAGACGGGAAGAATATTTATTCTGTAGTTGTTAGGTGGAATATTCTGTAAATGTCTCTTAGGTCCAATTGGTCAAGTCTTGAATTTATTTCCAGAATGCCTCTGTTGGTTTTCTGCCACATTGATCTGTTTCCTGCTGTCAGTGTGGTGTTCAAGTCCTCTGTTATTACTGCGTGGCCATCTAAGTCTTTTCATAGGTCTACAAGTAATGGTTTCATAAATCTGGGTACTCTAATGTTGAATGCATATATATTTTGGATAGTTAAATCTTCTTGCTAAATTGAATGTTTTATCATTATGCAACACCCTTCAGTGTCCTGTTTTACTGTTGTTGGCTTAGAGTCTTTTTTATCTGATACAAGCATAGCAACTCCTGCTCTTTTTATTTTCCACTTGCATAATAGATCTTTCTCCATACTTTTACTTTGAGCCTATGGGTGTCATGATATGCAAGATGGTTCTCTTGAAGACAACAGAAAAATGAATCTTGTTTTTTCATCTAATTTGCCACCATGTCTTTTAAGTTGAGCATTTAGGCTATTTACATTCAAGGTTAATATTGATGTGTAAGATTTTGTTCCCATCATAGTATTTTTTGCTAGTTGCTTTGCAGTCTCAATTGTGCAGTTGCTTTACAAAAGGGTCTGTGGGCTGTGCATTTATGTAGACTTTTGGGGTAGCAAGTATTATTCTTTCATTTTCATGTTTAGAACTTTCTTAAGCATTTCTTGTAGGACCATTTGGTGGTGGTAAATTCCCTTAGTGATTGCTTGTCTGGGAAAGACTTCATTTCTCCTCCCTTTATGAAGCTTAGTTTGGTGGCATATGACATTCTTAGATGGCATTTCTTTTCTTCAAGAATACTAAAAATGGACCCTAATCTTTTCTGGCTTGTAAGGTTTGTGGTAACAAGTTGGCTGTTAGTTCGATGAGTTTCCTTTTATAGGTAATATGGCCCTTTTCTCTATATGCCTTTAAGATTTTTTCTTTTGAGTCAACACTGGATAATCTGATGCCTATGATTTGGGGATGACCAGCTTGTATAGTATATGCAGGAATTCTCTGGATTTCTTATATCTTCATGATGACTTCTCTAGCAAGATTGGGGAAATTTTCCTGAATTATATACTCAGATATATTTTCCAAATTTCTTACTTTCTCTCTTAGGCATGCCAATAAATTATAGGTTTGGTTGCTTTACATAATCATATATTTATCAAGGATTTATTCAGTTTTTTGAAACCCTTTTTTCTTTACTTTTGTCTGACTGGATTGGTTCAAAGGACCAGTCTTCAAGCTCTGAAATTCTTTCTTACGTTTTGACTAGTGTGTTATTAAGGCTCCCAGTTGCTTTTTGAAATTCTTGCAGTGAATGTTTCAATTACAGAAGTTCTGTTTGCTTATTTCTTAATACAACTATGTCCTCTTTCAAATCTTGGATCATTTTTCTTGTTTTCATCAGGTTGGGTACCAACTTTCTCTTGGATCTCATTTAGTTTCCTTGCCACCCAGATTCTGAATTCTGTATCTGTCATTTCAGAAATTTATTCTTGTCAAGATCCATTGTTAGGAAGCTAATGCAATCCTTTGAAGGTGGTAAAATACTTTTTTTTTTTTTTTTTTTTTTTGTATTGCCAGAGTTCTTGCACTGGTTTCTTCTCATCTGAAGAAGCCGATACTTCTTTTTTGAACTTGCTATTGTTTGGATGGGAATTTTAAATTTTTATTCTTTTTACTCTTGAGGTTATAATTGTAGTATATGTAGTAATTGGATTCATTTCTGGGTGCTTTCAGAGGACCAAAACTCTGTATGGTTCCCTTGTTTGCAGAGTGGAACATCTGGCGGTTTCCTCAGATGTTGCTTTTTGTAGTGATATTTTTGTTGGGTGATGTAAGTCAGTCTTTGGTCCAGTAGATAAAGCTTGAGAGTAAGAGCCAGCAGCAGGTAGGCTCTTATTCTGCATGTCGTCACCCTCAGTGGGGGTGAAGGCAACTAAAACGCTTAAGAAGCACTCTATTCTAGCAGGCACTTACCTTTGGCAGGGGTGGAGCCACTGGACAAGACTGAGAAGTGGCCTCTTTCAGCCCATGCTTCCCAGGTCCCAGTGGGAAGAGCCACTGCCATGTCTGCAACATTGTGGGGAGGGCAAGGGACAAGAGATGACCCCTTCTCCACTTCTCTTCCCTGGCTTTGGTAATAGAGCAGCTGGTGTCATGCTCATGTTTCCTTTGATCCAAGAAAGACTTTGGTGGACTGTGCTTTCCTCTTCCTTAGGGGCAGTCAGAGCCAAGGGTTAGTTCTGCAGGGGATAAGTTTCCACCTCCTTCCTGCTCATTGGAACTGGGGGTCACTATTCTCAAGCTGATCAAGGGGGCAGCCTGGAGCACCCAGCAATGACACATGAAGACCAGTTGCAGGTCACAAAGCTGTCCCTGTGGCAAGTCTTATTGCCCAGGAGAAACCTCTGTTTCAGCGACTCTCCTACTGTTCCACTCATGAGACAGGAGAGAGCCTAATTCCAGCATCTACTGCTGGAGTACTCTCCATACTCACCACTCAATTCTGGCTGTGGAGGCCCTTTTCCCTCTCCAGAAAGAATGCTCCAATCTCTGGCCCAAAACTAAAATGCCTGCAGGGAACGCAACTTCCAGGTTACCAAACAATGACTAACTTTGTATGAACCTGGATTAAAAATGACATCCTAATTTCAGGAAGTGCCCGAAGCTTCCCTCTGTCTGCCTCTCAGCCTTTCCACAAATTAGCTCCCAGCCTTAGAAGAAGCAGGGTGCTGTCCCTTGGCCTGGGTTGCACAGATCGCTATTGGAAAGGTGAGTCAGGGAGGGAAACTTCTCATGTGCTGGAGCTTCACTCATTTTTGTCACCCAATTTTTAAGGGGAAATTGGATTAAAGCTACATTATTGGGCCAGGGAGAACTTTCTATTAAATTTATAAAATTTTTCTGCCAAATGTCTTCAACTGCTGTACAACAGTAAAATTAATAAAAACATTTAGCAACTAAGCAAAGTGAAGATGGAAAAGGCAAGGGAACAGTGAAGTCATAAGTATTAACTAGTCCTGAGACAAATTGTAGAGAGAAAAATAGGGACAAAGTGCTATTTTGTCCCTTGATTGTTATGTATATATTTACAAACACTGGCTAAGTTTTTTCCTTCCCTTCTCATTTCTCTATTATTTCATGTAAATATCATTGTTGGTAACTTTTTACTTGAGTCTGTGGGTTGTAGGATATTCACGTGGTTTTGTATTCAAATAGTGATAGATAGAATCACCAGCACTGCATTGAGGATACGTTGGACATAGTTTACTCCTAGAACTTTACATCTAACAATTTTCAAGAGAAGGTGAAGATGTCTTCATTTGCACCAAGAATTGTCATACTTTATTAGGAACAAGGATTGAGCTGTTATTGATACTCTATAGAGGTTTAATATGCATAGAAGTGTACAGATGCTGGACTGTGACAGTGATTTTTTTCTCAGCTCCATGCCTACCCTTCAATGTTTGTTTGTTTTAAACTGGAATCTCATGAGATTCTAGCAGAAGCGATCCACAGATCACTGCTCTGTTATGTAGGGACTGGAAGGGGGACACTCACTTGATATCTGGGTTATTTTTATATTTCTTTAGTAAGAAGTATTAGAGGGAGATTTGTTGGCAGGCAAAGCTGTTAAGAAACTCTCATTCTGTGTGCTGCTTCAGGAAGAGCAGATATCTGCAGTGCCAGGCTTTGGAAGGCATTACCATACACTCTGTGTCTCCTCGGAGGTCCGGATACTAACAATCCTTGGTGAACAAGTCACCAGGAGTTCTGGAATTCTCTCAGCTGTCTAAGTACCAGTTGTGTTGTGATGCCTTCTTTGAGCTGCTAAGTCCCAAGTCACACTTATTACCATTTTTAATTTTTATTTTTATTGATGCATAATAGCTGTACATATTTTTGTGGTACATGTAATATTTTGATACAAGCATACAATGGCTAGTGATCAAATCATGGTAATTAGGATATCCATAACCTCAAATACTTCTTTTTTATGTTGAGTCCATTCAAATTCTTCTAGCTATTTTGAAATCTATAATAAATTACTGTTAACTGCAGTTACCCTACTGTACTATTGGACAGTATGTCCTATTTCCTATATTCAACTGTATTTTTGTAGCCACTAATCAAACTCTCTTTATCCTTCCCTCTGTCTTATTTTTCCCAGCCTCTCATAACCACCAATCTATTCTCTAGCTTTATGAGATCCATTTTATTAGTTCCCATATATTAGTCAGAACATGTGATATTTGTGTTTCTGTGCCTGGCTTATTTCACTTAATATAATGACCTTAATTTTCATCTATGCTGCTGCAAATGACAGGATTGCATTCTTTTATGGCTAAATAATATTCCGTTGTGTATATATACCACATTTTCTGTATCCATTCATCATTCGTCCATTGATAGACACTTAGGTTGAGTATTATCTTTTATTTCCTTAGTCTTACAAAGGGTGCTGCTTCTATCACTCACTAGTTTCTGGCCTTCCTAATTATCCTGAAGGTTTCCAACATTTGGCTAAACAATTCCCTGTCTGTAACACCAAGTATGGCTTCTGCTTCATTGTACTAGGACTTTACTAATACAGAGGGGACAAGGTTTTCTAAAAAATTTCTCATTATATAATTTATTAAAGGTATGTGTGTGCATACCACTCCATGTAAACACACAAAACTATTCTTAAAATATTAAATCTGGATGATGAGATTCTGAGAGAATTATCATTATTTTATTTCTCAATACTTGCTGAATTTTCTACAGATGGCTACCTCACCAAATAATCAGGAAAAAATGAAAATGGTGATAAGTCATATTAGGTGTTAGAAATCAAAATGTATATTCTTTCTGGAGGCCTGGACATTCGAAGTCATTATTTACAAAATATGTTCTGTGGATCACTTCTGCTAGAATCACTTGGGATGTCAGTTAAAAAAAAAAAAATCTTGGGTTTCTCTACAGAGCCAGTGTCTTTGGATTAATGCCAATAATCTGAATTTAACAAGTGCTCTGAGTGATTCTTACAAATAAATATTGAATTTGAAATCTACCTCCCTAGGGTTGCCCAATTCTTGCTGGTAAGCAAATACTAAGTTATACTAAGAAAGCCCATCTAACTGTGGACCTGATATTTTAACCTACCTCCATTTAAGCCATCTTTTATTTTATCGGAAATTCTTTACTTTTGAAAAACCCACTGTATAATATACACATCAAATAGATTGCTGTCATATAGGACACTATTCTTTAGTAACACCCTGCATTTTCCTCCAACTTTTTTTGTTTGTTTGTTTTTCAGATGGGGTCTCTTTCCGTTACCCAGGCTGGAGTGCAGTGGCACATTCATGGCTCACTGCAGCCTCAAGAAATCTTCCCACCACAACCTTTTGAACAGCTGGCACCACAAGTGTGCACCAGCACACCTGGCTAATTTTTTATTGTCCTTTTTTGGTTTGTAGAGACAGGGTCTCACTATGTTGCCCAGGCTTGTCTGGAACTCCTGGGCTCAAGTGATCCTCCCACCTTGGCCTCCCAAAGTGCAGAGATTACAGATGTGAGCCACTGTGCGCATCCAGCTCCAGCAGTTAAATTACTTATGTATCAACATACAGTTGTGTCTATGTCCATTCGTTATTATGTCATTGTAAATACACAAGCAAGTAAAATGCAAGTGTAAATGAGTTATTTGTTGACAAAACTAAAGTTGAGTGTTTGAGGAAGTATACATAAAGTTGATAGCCTAAGAGGCTGCTATAAAATCAAGTGTGGGAAAGACATCTAAGAAGATTTAGAGGGGTATCATAAAATCTGGAATAATAATAATAAAGTTTGCTTTACAATTCCCTTTAAATTATTACTATACATTTAGAAATCTTGGTATTTTAGAAACTATATTATGATCATTGTTTATACAAAAAAAAAAAGAGAAAACAACATGATATGAAATTCAAATAGTGGATTACAATAAAATAAATGTTCTGGGTTCTTACCTCAAAATATCAGTGAACAAATGTACCTTTTTAAAGATTCTCTTTTTCAATTAATAGGCCAAATATGTACATAGACTTGAGAGCATCAGATAAGAAGTTTGGTAATATTTTTAGAGTGATTTTAGTATTGATCAGAGTCCCCTGGGCAGCTTTAGAGAATCTTTGTCTGATTTGGATATGGGATAGATTGATAAATCAATTTTGGCCTAGATTAGGCATATTGAGAGTAGTGACAGTATCATATTTTAAGAAATATTTTACTGTATTTTAGAAGTAAATTGCATGACTGTTGGGAGAACAGCAATCACTGTGAGACTTTTTCATAATTTCTCTAACCTATTCCAAGAATAGAAACCCAGCATCCTAAAAACGCAGGAGCTCTCTTTTTTTTTTTTTTTTTTTTTTTTTTGAGATGGAGTCTCACTCTGTAGCCCAGGCTGGAGTGCAGTGGTGCAATCTCGGCTCACTGCAAGCTCTGCCTCCCAGGTTCATGCCATTCAAATGCAGGAGTTCTTATAGATCAACATTCAACTCAATACAAATTGCTTCTTTTATTCCTTATGAGACAATACTGTTTAAAGATTTCATTGTCGGGCATTTCAATGCCTCATAATGCACATCATGCTAGATTTTTCAAAACATTAGAAACTGAAGGTTTAACTTTGATTTTTAATCTTTTACAAATTAGGCTCTGAATTTGAGTTAAAAGGCAAAAACATGGCCATTTAAACAATTTTCTTACTAACTCTGTCTCTTTCTCTTTATATATACTAATATTGTATAAAATATTTGTGTTTCAGAGTTTAAAATGAATAGAATATTGGCGACTTTGATTAATTTGTAGAAATTGTACACTTACTAGTGGGATTTTTGTATTAGAAAGCATCTGTTCAAAAGAAAGAAATAGATAGTTTCTAGTCAAGATTGACAGGATTCAATTTTTACTAATGGCAAGATGTCATTAAAACCTATATAAAGAACTATAATAAGAAGAAAATTCCAGTTGCATCAGGAATATTTTGGGAATGCAGTGAATTAGTTTTGATTTTTGTTTTGAGTGTGTTTTGCACAGTTCACCAAAATGGGACCTTCTAAATGTTTAGGCTAGAATATATGATCCTGTATGGATAGTGGCAGGAAGAATCCCAGGAACACAATGATAAGAGGGAAAAGAAAAATACATGAAAGCAAAGCCCTTATTGAAAGAAGCTGGAAAAGGAGGAGAGTGGACAGGGATGACGATATTTTGAAGACAGAAACATTGATGAAAAAGTGCCAACTTTACAATAAATTTTTAAGCTTTGAATAAAAGCAGGTTAAAAAAAGGAATGAAAATGGTGCTTCGATTAAACTATCTTAACATAACAACTTTACTAAGAAAGGCTACAGATGAAATAAGTCAAAAAATAGATCTTATATATATTTACGTATATTATATATTTATATATGTGTTTATATGTATGTATTGCAATATATAACATGAAATATTTTTATATTTAACATATACAAGATAACTGAGACCCAAATGTAATTCTTAAAAATTCTTTGTAATCTTGCTGAATAGGTATAATTACCAGCACCACTGAGGCTTACATTTTATTTCCAAAACAGCCTTAATTTAAATTGAACATACCATTCCTTCTTTCATATCAATTGAAAATATCTATTATGCCTTCCAGCTATGATAGGACAATGAAAATTAATGCATGCGGGAATAGCCTTGATGTCCTGTAAACCCCTATAGCATGCTTAGATTGAAAAAAATAATGGATAAATTTACATTTTGAATGTTTTGAATTGCCTTTGTGTTCAATATATTTTATTACACTCTGAGTATAAAATTGATAACCTGTGTATAATATGTACTAATTTTCTGTTGACTAAATTATATTGAGCAGAACATACGATTTCCCAAATATGCTTCTAAGCATCAGAGATTGCAGTATTTGTTTAATATCACCTGGGTTTTGTTCTATTCAATTGTATATAAAGGAAGGGAAAAGCAATTTTTCTTTAAAATGAAAGGGTATTATAGTTCAATTGTCAACAAATATAACCAAAATTATACATTCAAATAAGTATTGTCCTCTTCAAAACTTAGTGAGGAAGGCACAAAGAATGAGGTTGGGTATTATTATTTGCAGTTATTATATTAATCTAGCTAAGGCTTCAAATAGAAATATTTTTCTTCCTTTTTTTTTTTGAGGTAAAGCCTTTCTCTGTTGCACAGGCTGGAGTGCAATGATGTGATTAATGCTTACTGCAGCTTCATCCTCTCAAGCTCAAGAGATCCTACCACCTCAGCCTCCTAAGTAGCCAGGACTACAGGCATGCACCATCATGCCTGGCTAATTGTTTCTGGTAGATACGGAGTCTCACTATGTTGCCTAGGCTGTTCATGAACTCCTGGGCTTAAGCAATCCTCCTGCCTCAGTCTCCCAAAGTGCTGGGATTACAAGCATGAGCCACCATGCCTGGCCTGGAATTATTTATAAAGTTTAAATATATTTTAAGTATAAGCAATAGCAAACAATCTCTATGCCTTGGTATTGAACTTAATTTTCAAAAACTAAACATCATTATTTTCTAAACCTGATAAAAGAATGGTTACTCAAGGTGGTTTACAATTTGTCAAAATGAGGAATATTTATAAGATTATGAGATAAGAGTTTCTCATTAAGTTGTAAATTTTTCTAGAAACATAAAACTGTTTTGAGATATAGTTGCATACATTAAGATATGTTTATTAAAATCAATTTGCTATTTGATAGTCTTTATAAGGTATTAGAATGTGTTAATTGACTGATTTGTTATTAACTCAAAGGAAGATTATCTATTTAATATCTTAATTTTTTGTTTTCCTTTTTTTCTTTCACTGCCTTTGTAATTCAAAAATATTAATTGGACACCTATGATAGTTCAGGCACTCTTCTAGTGCTCAATTAATAATAGTTAATAGAAAGATAGTGCAGGAATGAGGTGAGAAGTTGGATTTTGAATATATTTTGATGGTAGTGACAACAGGATTTACCACCAGCTAGGATGTGGACTTAATAAAAGAAATGTTTACAATTACTGTTAGGTTATAAGTCTGAGCACCTTCAAGGAAGTTTGCAGCAGCCAAGATGGTAAAGACTGAGGAAGAGTGTGTTGTAGAGAAAGATTATAAGCTTTTTATTTTTTTGTATGAATGTCAAATATATTGTTCCTTGACCCCAAGGAGGTCAATCAACTGTTATGTGATGTTTCTTATTGTTCCTTTATTTCCCATTTCTAATCTTCATTCTGGTAACATTGTTTTATTGCTCATTTTAGGGGTTGAATTTATTCCCAGTAGTCTAATTTTTTTTTCTACTTGATACACGACTTCTCAGATTCACTGACTAATCTCACTGCATTTCTCTTTTGCAAAATCCTATTTTTGAGTCAGTGAGTGTAAAATCTTCTATGTGCTACAATCATGTAATAATTATCTGATAAAGAATGAAACTCTATTTCTAGATGACTAGTTTGAGAGTATGAGTTCTGTTGAGATCGTCTTACTTTTTTGTTGCGGAACTCAGTCAACTCTGAATCAAAGTTGCAAAAAGGATTTGGATCCCTACAGAGAATCAAAAAGTAACAATTTTCTTGGACTCTTACCCTTAGTTGTCAGTAAAATTCTTGTAATTCTAGACTGGTGTCTGAGAATAGGAATTAATGCGTGGTTGATTTCAAACTAGGAAGCTTTATAGCTTTACTTGTAAAATGGCTATGGCCACATGGATCAAAGCTTGGTTTATGAACCTCAAGGCAAACCATATAGAGAGTCTTTCTGCTGTTATTAACACTGCCATTGAAATAAAATGATATCACCCACTTTCGTGTATTAACTATAGCTACAGAAATGAGTGGAGGCATTTATTCCACTCACATATACAGGATGTGTATAGGATCTGCCTTTCACTAAATAGACTATGAAGGGTACTTTTGGTTTCATCGGCAGTGTCAACAACAACTGCAGAAACATCCAGTATTTAATGTGTTGTAATACTGTGCTAGGTGGTACACAGAATTGCATAAGCATGGTTGTTATCCTCTCAGAGCTTAAAGCAAAATTTACTAAAATGCTCAAGAAAGTTATCTGTAACAGTGACTACGATCAAATAAAGCTATAAGGAATTTCATGAAGAATATCAAAGGTGATATTCATTCATTATTTTTATAAAAATGCATTCATTGTGTTTATCATACAAGAGCAAAGTGAGCCAAGCTCAGTGGATAGAACAATGAAAAACACAGACCTGTTTCATCCCATCTTGGTAAGTCCAGATTAGTTAAGGGAAAAATAATATTGAGGAAACATTTGCAATAGAGTATATTAAGAGCCATGAGAGCAGGAAGAATGAGCATCCCCCTTATAGAACTATAGATTTTTTGAGTCCGTGAAGTTACAATGTTGCTTAGAGAAACAACACTGGAAATAATAATAAGTCAACTACTTTTATTTATTTATTTGTTGTATTTTTTAAATTTTTATTTCAATAGGTTTTTGGGGAACAGGTCATGTTTGGTTACATAAATAAGTGGTGATTTCTGAGATTTTGATGCACCCATCACCCAAGCAGTGTACACTATATCCAATGTGTAGTCTTTTTTCCTTCACCACCCCCTCACCCTTTCCCCTAAGGCCCCAAAGTCCATTGTATCATTCTTATGCATTTGGGTTCTCATAGCTTCGCCACCAATTATACGTGAGAACATACAATGATTGTTTTTTTATTCCCGAGTTGCTTCACTTAGAATAATAGTCTCCAATTCCATCCAGGTTGCTGCAAATGCCATTATATCATTACTTTTTATGGGTGAGTAGTATTCCATGATATAGGTGTGTGTGTGTGTATATATATATATATATATATATACACACACACACACACACGTGTGTGTATATATGTGTGTGTGTGTGTATGTGTGTATACACATATATATATGTCTCCCCTACATATTTTTATCCTCTCATTGGTTAATGAGCATTTGGGCTAGTTTCATATTTTTGCAATTGGAAATTGTGCTGCTATAAACATGCATATGGAAGTATCTTTTTCATAAAATGACTTATTTTTCTCTGGGTAGATACTAGTAGTGAGATTGCTGGATTAAATGGTAGATCTACTTTTAGTTCTTTAAGGAATCTCCACACTGTTTTCTGTAATGGTTGTACTAGTTTACATTTCCACTGACAGTGTATAAGTATTCCCTTTTCACCACATCCATCCACATCAACATCTATTATTTTTTGATTTTTTTATTATGGCCATTCTTGCAGGAATAAGGTAGTATTCCATTGTGGTTTTGATTTGCATTTCCCTGATAATTAGTGATGTTCAGCATTTTTTTATATGCTTCTTGGCCATTTGTACATCTTCTTATGAGAATTGTCTATTCATGTCCTTAGCCCACTTTTTGATGGGATTGTTTTTTTCTTGCTGATTTGTTTGAGCTCTTTGTAGATACTTCATATTAGTTCTTTGTTGGATGTACAGGTTGTGACGATTTTCTTCCACTCTATGGGTTGTCAACTCTGCTGATTATTATTATTATTATTATTATTATTATTATTATTATTATTTTTGCTGTGCAGAAGCCTTTTAGTTTAATTAAGCCCCATCTATTTATCTTTGTTTTTATTGCATTTGCTTTTCAGTTCTTGGTCATGAAGTCTTTGCCTCAGCCAATGTCTAGAAGGGTTTTTACAATGTTATCTTCTAGAATCTTTATGGTTTCAGGTCTTAGATTTAAATCCTTGATCCATCTTGAGTTGATTTTTGTATAAGGTGTTTGATTTTTGTGCAAGGTGAGAGATGAGAATCCAGTTTCATCCTTCTGCACGTGGCTTGCCAATTATCCCACCACCATTGTTAAATAGGGTGTTCTTCCTTCACTTTATGCTTTTGTTGTCTTCATCGAAGATCAGTTGGCTGAAAGTATTTGGGTTTATTTTTGGATTCTCTATTCTGTTCCATTGATCTATGAGCCTATTTTTATACCAATACCATGCTGTTTTGGTGACTATGGCCTTGTAGTGTAGTTTGAAGTCAGGTAATGTGATGTTTCCAGATTTGTTCTTTTTGCTTAGTCTTGCTTTGGCTATGTGGGCTCTTTTTTGGTTCCATATGAATTTTAGGATTGTTTTCTCTAGGTCTGTGAAGAATGATGGTAGTATTTTGATGGAAATTGCACTGAATTTGTAGATTGCTTTTGGCAGTATGGTCATTTTCACGATATTGGTCCTACTCATCCATGAGCATGGAATGTGTTTCCATTTGTTTCTGTCAAATACAATTTCTTTCAGTAGTGTTTTGTAGTTTTCCTTGTTTCCTTGTAGAGGTCTTTTTTCTCCTTGGTTAGGTATATTCCAAGTACTTTATTGTATTATTATTTTTACATCTATTGTGAAAGGGGTTGAGTTCTTGATTTGATTCTCAGCTTGGTTACTGTTGGTGTATAGCAGAGCTACTCATTTGTGTACATTATTTTGTATCCTGAAACTTTGCTGAATTCATTTACCAGTTTTAGGAGCTTTTTGGATGAACCTTTAGAGTTTTCTAGGTATACGATCATATCAACAGGAAACAGTGACACTTTTACTTCCTCTTTACCAATTTAGATACCCTTGATTTCTTTTTCTTGTCTGATTGGTATGGCTAGGACTTCCAATACTATGTTGAATAGAAGTGGTGAAAGTGGGCATTCTTGTCTTGTTCCAGTTGTCAGGGGTAAGGCTTTCAACTTTTCCCAATTCAGTTTAATGTTGGCTGTGTGTTTATCGTAAATGGCTTTTATTACCTCAAGTTATATCTCTTCTATGCCAATTTTGCTGGGTGTTTTAACCATAAAGCAATGCTGGATTTTGTCAAGTGCTTTTCCTGCATCTATTGAGATGATCATGTGATTTTTGTTTTTAATTCTGTTATGTGGTATATTACGTTTATTGACATGCATATGTTAAACCATCCATGCATCCTTGAGTGAAACCCACTTGATCATGGTGGATTATCATTTTGAAATGCTGTTGGATTTGGTTAGCTAGAATTATGTTCAGGATTTTTGCATGTATGTTCATTAGGGATATTGGTCTGTGGTTTTCTTTTTTTGTTATATACTTTCCTGGTTCTGGTATTAGGGTGATACTGGCTTCATAGAATGATTTAGGGAGTATTCACTCTTTTTTTATCTTTTGGAATAGTGTCAATAAGATTGGTACCAATTCTTCTTTGAATGTCTGATCTACTTCAGCTATGAATCCATCTGGTCCTGGGCTTTTTTTTGTTGTTGGCAATTTTTTTTTATTACCATTTCAATCTCACTGCTTGGTATTGCTCTGTTTAGAGTTTCTATATATTCCTGGTTAAATCTAGGAGGGTTGTATATTCCCAGTAACTTATCCATCTGCCCCAGGTTTTCTAGTTTATGTGCATAAATGTGTTTAGAGTAGCCTTGAATAATCTTTTATATTTCTGTGGTATCAGTAGTAATATTTCTCATTTTGTTTCTAACTGAGCTTATTTAGATCTTCTCTCATCTTTTCTTGGTTAATCTTGCTAGTGGTCTATCAATTTTATTTATTTTTCAAAGAGTCAGCTTTTGTTTTCATTTATCTTTTTTGTTTGTCTGTTTCAATTTCAGTAAGTTCTGCTCTGATCTTCATTATATATTTTCTTCTGCTGGGTTTGGGTTTGGATTGTTTTTGTTTCTCCAGTTCCTTGAGGTGTGACCTTAGATTGTCTATTTGTGCTCTTCCAGACTTTTTGATTTAGGTATTTATGCAATGAACTTTCTTCTTAATGCCACTTTTGCAGTATCACAGAGGTTTTGATAGGTTGTGTCACTAGGATCATTCAGTTTAAAGAATTTTTAAATTTCCATCTTGATTTCATTGTTGACCCAACAATCATTCAGAAGCGAGTTATTTAGTTTCCATGTATGTGCATGGTTTTTAAGAGTTCCTTTTGGTGTTGATTTCCTCCCCTACAGTCTAAGAGTACTTGATATAGTTTAGGTTTTCTTACATTTACTGAGACTTGTTTTGTGCTCTATTATATGGTCTGTCTTGGAGAATGTTCCATGTGCTGATGAATAGAATGTATATTCTGCAGTTGTTGAAGAGAATGTTCTATAAATATCTGTTAAGTCCATTTGTTCTAGGGTATAACTTAAGTCAATTGTTTCTTTGTTGGTTTTCTGTCTTGTCAACCTGCCTAGTACTGTCAGTGGAGAATTAACATCCCCTGCAATTATTGTGTTGCCATCTATCTCATTTCTTAGGTCTTGTATTAATTGTTTCATACATTTGGGAGCTCCAGTGTTAGGTGAATACATATTTAAGATTGTGATATTGTCCTGTTGGACTAGTCCATTTATTGTTACACAGTGTTCCTCTTTGTCTTCATTAACTGCTGTTGCTTTTAAGTTTGTTTTGTCTGATATAGTAATAGCTACTCCTGCTCACTTTAGCTGTCTATTTGCATGGAATATCTTTTTCTACCCCTTTACCTTGAATGTATGTTAGTCCTCATGTTTTAGGTGAGTCTCCTGAAGACAGCAGAAACTTGGTTGGTGAATTCTTAATCAATTCTGCCATTCTGTATCTTTTAAGTGAAGCATTTAGGTCATTTACATTCAATGTTGGTATTGAGATGTGAGGTACTATTCAATTCATTGTGCTATTTGTTGCCTAAATACCTCTTTTTTAAATTGTGTTATTGTTATATAGGTCCCGTGAGATTCATGCTTTAAGGAGGTTCTATTTTGGTGTATTTCAATGATTTGTTTCAAGGTGTAGTGCTCCTTTTAGCAGTTCTTGTAGTGCTGGCTTGGTAGTGGCCAATTTTCTCAGCATTTGTTTCTCTGGAAAAGACTATATCTTTCCTTCATTTATGATGCTTAGTTTCGCTGGATACAAAATTCTTGGCTGATAATTGTTTTCCTTAAGGAGGCTAAAAATAGGACCCCAATCTCTTCCAGCTTGTAGGGTTTCTGCTGAGATATCTGCTATTACTTTGATAGATTTTCCTTCATAACCTACCTGATACTTTTGACTCACAGCTCTTAATATTCTTCCCTTTGTCTTGAGTTTAAATAATCTGATGACTAGGTGTTAATTTTTTTGCAATGGATTTATCATGTGCTCTTTGAGTTTCTTGTATTTGGATGTATAGATCTCTAGCAAGGCTGAGGAAGTTTTCTTTGATTGTCCCCTTAAATATGTTTTCCAAACTTTTAGATTTCTCTTATTTTGCAGGAACATTAATTATTGTTAGGTTTGGGCACTTATAAGAGTCCCAAACTTCTTAGAGACTTTGTTCATTTTTTAAATTCTTTTTTCTTTGTTTTTGACTGATTAAGTTAATTCAAAAGCCTTGTCTTCAAGCTCTGAAATTCTTTCTTCGGCTTGTTTGATTCTATTGCTGAGACTTTCCAGTGCATTTGGCATTGCTGTAAGTGTGTCCTTGATATCCAGAAGTTGTAATTTTTTTTTCATGCCCTCTATTTCACTGAAGAACTTTCCTTTCACATTCTGTATCATGGTTTCAATTTCTTTAAGTTGGACCTCACCTGCTTCCTTGATTAGCTAATATCAACCTTCTGAATTCTTTTTCTGGCAATTCAGAGATTTCCTCTCAGTTTGGATCCATTGCTGGTGAGCTAGTGTGATCTTTCGAGGGTGTTAAAGAACTTTGTTTTGTCATTTTACCAGAATTATTTTTCTGGTTCCTTCTCATTTGGGTAGACTTGTCAGATGGAAAATCTGGGGCTCAAGGGCTGCTTTTCAGATTCTTTTGTCCCATAGGGTGCTCCCCTGATGAGATGTTTTCCTCCTTCCCATAGGAATGGGGCTTCCTCAGAGCTAAGCTGCAGTGACTATTTTTGCTCTTCTGTGGCTAACCACCCAGTGGAGCTACTGGGCTCTGGTACTAGAGAGTATCAGCAGAGTCCTGTGATGTTATTCGTCTTCAGGTCTTTCAGCTATGGATACCAGCACTTGCTCTGGCGGAGGTAGCAGGGGAGTGAAGTGGACTGTGTTAGGGTCCTTGGTTGTATTTTTCTTTAGTGTGCTGGTTTTGTGTTGGTTGGCCTCCAGTGAGGAGGTGGTGCTTTCAAGAGTGTATCAGCTGCAGTACTGTAGGGAGGAAGCAAACTTGCCCTAGGGTTGCCTGGTGAAGTGTTCAGATTTCTCAGGTGGTGGGCAGAGCTATAGAACTCCCAAGAGATTATGTCATTTGTCTTTGGCAACCAGGGCAGGTAACAAAAGACCACCAAATTGGGAATAGGTGTGTCTGAGCTCTGACTCTCCTTGGGCAGGGCTTACTGCAGCTGCTATGGGGAGTGGGGGTGTAGGTATCAGGCCAATGGAGTAGGGGTGTAGTTCTCAGGCCAATGGGGATTATAACTGCCTCTGCTGAGTCGTACAGGTCACCAGAAAGTTGGAGAAAGCTGGCAGTCACAGGCCTTATCCTGCTCCCATGCAGCCAGCAGTCCTAGAGGCTGGTCTTGCTCCCACTGTGCCCCCTGCCAACAGCACAGAGTCTATTTCCAGGCAGCCAGTGACCAGGGCTGAGGACTTGCCCCAGACCACCAGCCTCCACACTGAGAAAGCAAGCAGACTCACAGTTTTCCACTATCTCAGGGAGTCAGCAGAAAGCTGAGTCTGTGAACTCTCTCAGCTTTCTTAGTATGTTGCTGTGGTAGTTCTTGGAGCGAAAGTTCATGACGTGAGTCTCCACATGCTGCTCTGTCTGTCTGAAAGGGAGCTGCTGCTAGTCCAACCTGCTATCTGCCATCTTGCCCAAATCAACTACTTTTAAAAAATGATCTTAATTCAAATATCCTGTTCTCTTGAACTTCTATCCTACCATAGTAAGGTCATAGACAGAAAGAATGTCAGCTTATGCCCTGGCTCCACCAAGAATTTCTATTCTAATGATCGCATTATGAGAAAGTTTGGAAAGCTCAGAATCAAATTAGGGCAGTGAGGGCAGCAGCACCTGACATTCACTGGGCTTCAAGATAATGGTTTTATTTCAAAGTATGAATGTATCTCAATAATTTAACAACTAATATGACCACAACAGTGCCTACTGGCTAAATATTAGCTCCATGATGCCAAGCATCTTGCCCATTGAAACGAGGTCTTTATTCCTCTGTTAATCTTTCACTGGTTATTAGCTTTTGTAAACATCTAAAAACAATGTAGGCACAATGGCATGCGATTGCAAAGCAAAACTGCAAATCTTATAACAAAAGTGTAGGATTTCTTAAAATTGTTGAAAATTATGTTGAAGAGCTACATCAATCCCTGACAATAATTAAATACATCAATCACCAGTTACTAATAATAAATGCAGTTAAATGAAGTTAGCATATATTAATGTAATTACGTACTAAAAAACACTACTGCACTTTTCATTGGTAACTAAGTAAATAAATAAATAAGCAAGAATTAAATTTGGGTTCATCAAAGAGCTTATTTGACAAACAAAGGATAAGACAGGTGTTAGGGAAAACTGACAAGCACTTGATTTCTCTTTATGATCATGCTGTAAATATTAGAGTATCTTTATAATTATGATATCTTTATAATTATGCTTCAAAATTATATTATCTTTATTATATTAAATATATAATTTTAGATATAAAGTCAAAGCTAATTTCCTTATTTATTTCATTGTTCATTTTAATAAAAGGATTTTAGTTACACATATAAGCTAAATTTTAAGTATCAGACAAAATAGATATACATGCATGGTTTTAAGCTTCATTTTTCAAGATAAATTTCTGGTGAAAACATTTGTCAATATTTCCTATAATTTTAAAAATTTCAAGTACATTTAAATGGTCATAGAGTTTATTATTAGACTCTGCAAAGGGAACCAAACCAGGCTTGGGAATGGTTGGGGAACACTTCCCAGAAGTTGTAGGGTCTGGAAGCTGAAGAATGAATTTCGGAATTAGTCACATATAAGGCAAATGCCGCATTTCTTCTTTTATTGGCTATCTTCTTTTAATATATTTGTGTATATTCTCTGCAACTCTTTGTTGGTTGTTTCCCTCACCTATCAACTATGGACCTCACACATATTCACTGTTCAGCAGGTCTGAAACTCCAAGATTAAAACTCTCTTCTCTGTCATGGTATTACCTCTGTAAGTCACTAATAGTAGGTGCTAAATTTGTGGTAGGCTGCAACTCCATTTGCATTCTTGCATTTAACTTTCTTTAAGCATACCAACGAGATCATACTGGTATATTAGTGTTACAGGAATCCACGCATGTGGTAGATGGGGACATGAGAAACACTTCCACTATCTCAGGCTACGTAGGATCTCTTCTTATAACCAGAGAGAAAGATCGGGCATGCTAATCAGTTACTGGCAGGCAAAGATGACAGTTAAATGTTAACTCATCTTAGCTGCAGTGGAATATATGACACTATTTTGAGAAACAATGTGGGGGATAATATGTTGTTTCTTTAGTACTATAGATTCAATTACACTTTTAGTCCATCTGAATTTGTGAGCTTCCAGTGTATTTTGTAGAGGCGATGAAGGTTACTAATGTTGTCTTTGGTTCCAGACTGCTTGAGTTCGAATCCTGGTTTGCCTGAAATATATCACTGTAGCTTTAAGCAATATACTTAATCTCTCTGTGCCTTTGTTTCTTCATCTTTAAAATGGGGATAATATGAGAATCTACATCATAGGACTGTTGCGGATTTAAATTATTTAACATACATTAATAGAGCTTTGAAGTATCTGTCAAATGACATGCACTCGATATAGATTAACGATTATTAGGTAAGTAAATATTTAACCTTTCTGAGACTCTGTTCTCTTACCAGCAACGTGGAAATTCTAATATCTACTTTGTTGTATTAAATTGAATGCATTAATGTAGGTGAAAACACTTGGCACATATGCCAGCTGGGCAAAGACTCATGGTTGCTTGTCTCTCTCTCAATATCCTAACATTAAGCAAACTCTCCTTTGAACCTAGTTGCCTCTTAAGGGAATAGGTGGAGAGTAACAAAAAGACAGTCTTGATGGGGGTTAAAATTTGAACCGACTCAATACTCAAAGGGATATATAATTTGAAAAACGTATTTTTTAATTGGATATGAGAAGACACCTTTAATCAGCAAATTTAGTTCCTTCTCTCTAGGCAGGCAGTTGTAAAGATGTGTAAACCAAAGATAGTAATAATCCTAAAGTTTTGTTCATCTTAATTAAACTTTGACTTCCCTTTTAAAACAATACTTACAGACCTGATAAATTTCTAAAAGTAAACATTCCTCGTGCTTTTTATTTTTCCTTGTGCAGCATATAATACAATATTCTTTAACAATTCAACAATCTAACTTGGTTTACATCTTTGGAAGTGTGAATTTCTGTGAGCATATTCCTTGAGAACATGAACAAAAAGATGTGTAACAGTTGTAGGCTAGTAGAATTTTGATTTGTTTTTATTCCTCTCTGTCTTCACGTTGCCATATGAGTCGCATCTACAATTATGCAGACTCTTGGTAGGGTTAAGGCTGCATGCTTGACACTTAGCAAAGTGTTTTTTCCTCCCCCAATCATTTTTGTTGTTGTTTGGTTAAATGCTCCAGGTTTACGTGTACTTTCACATTCTGCAAGAGGCGTAGTAATCTATGTGTGATAACTACCCAGCTGAAACGCACAGAGAGAATTAATACAAGGATGTTATGTCATCTGTGAATTAAACCACAATTGGCCTTAACTATTACTCCTTAAAGTGTAGCATTTTGTCATTCTCTTTGATACTAAAAGATGTTCACATACTTGTAATTGGCAGATAGGCTTAATTTGTGCTGGTTATAGTGCAATGAGCGAGGCAATTAAATAGGTTCTGATTTTTTTAATTGGACAAAACACTTTGCTTAGTCACAAATATAGGGACTTTTAGAGGGTATAAAATTCCTTCTGATAGAAGATAATTATTTCTTTGATCTCAATTAAATTTCTTACAGTATTTATTGAGGAGAAATCATTCTTCATTTGAATATAGCAATCTTTCTAAACAAATAACACATTCATTTATCTCACACTCAACAGTAAAAATTACCAAGACTATGTTATTATAAAAAGAATCTTTTTTTTGTTTGTTTTTATTTTTCTTTCCACCAAATTTACAACTGAAATTTAGGGATTAACAACAAAGTGTAATTTCTGGAACACTGCTTTGTGTATAAACCTTAATGGGTGATTTGAAATGTATCTTTGAAAAGCAGGGGTCCTTCCTTTACTCTCATCAAGCTTGAGTGAAAAAGGTCAAGGCTCAGTAAAGTTACTAGTCTTATCCTGGGTATTAAAGTTGCTAAGGCTGTAGTTTTTAACTGCAGGAAAGAATGTAGTCTAGTGGAAAAAGCATTTGAATACTCAGAGATAAGAGGGTCCAGGTATCTCTGGGAAGACATTCCCTAGCCATGTGACGTTTGTTTAGTTAATCAAACTCAATTCCAGTTTCCTTATCTGTTAGATAACATGTTAGATAACAGGGTGAGTCCTGTCCAACTTCTAAACATCCTCTGATTCTTTAACACAATACATTAAAATAAAATCGAAATGTTACATGTTTAATTGTCTATGTTCAATGATTAAAATGCAATACTTCCCATATAGGATTAGCAGTGTTCTTTTTCTGTCCAGTATTATCCCTCCCCCACTTTTTTTTCATTCTTGAGCTGCCAGGAGACAGTTACAGAAGAGATCAGATTGGATAAATTCTAAAATCAAGTATTATAATTATTATATTTATAACATTTACTTTTATAATTTTGTAAATTTATAAAATAATTTAATCAATATATTTTATAAATATAATAATTATAATTATAATTATAATAAAGTATAAATAATTTATACATTTAAGTAATTTCAGAAATACTCATCAAACTAAGGCCTGAAAATATATGAAAACATTAAAATTCCAAAATAAATTTGATATTTCACCCGAAAGTTGGCAAAGGAGTTAGCCTTTGAGTTTGAAGACCTTCTGTGCATCACTAGATTACAAAGAAAGCATATGTTGTAACACAGTACTAAGACTATAGCAATATCTCTTATTACAAATTGATGGGAAGCTAGAAATAAATTCATAAGAAATGCCCTAAAGTACATTCCGTATGTAACTCTAGTAGAAGAAGAATCACATAATGAACTGTACTGAAAAAATATTTATATACTCCTTACATTTGTCTGGAAAGTTAAACTACTGCATACAAAATAGTCTTTAAAAATAATAATCATGATCTAAATCACCTCCTACTAAACCAGAATTCAAATAAGTAGATTTATGATAGAATATGATTACTTTAAGATTATTTCATAAAATTTATTCTCAAGAGAAAACAACCTGATAGAAAGGCAGATGAATTAAAGATTCATATTTTGGTGAACTATATTTTTTATACATTTATGGAATTTGAATATGTATTTTTTGTAATGAATACTAGCACCTACTTAAAATTAATGTTTAGTATTTTTTCATAAGACGTTATAAAGTCTTTAACCGTCAAATTGCATTTATTGTCCTATACACATGAAGTAAGGGGAGACAAAAAATATTTCATTAAAAATTTTCAATAATGAAAATATTCTTAATAAAATCTCCAATTAACCATAACACTTAAATTCATAAGGAACTCTAATAACAAGTCAAAATAATACACGGGGGAGAAAATTTAGTTCTGGCCTTCATTGTAGAGATTTTTTGTATCTTCTTCCTCATGCTATCCCATTTCTATCACAGTTCCTACCGTATATTATCTGTTTAATTAATGCTGATTATGAATATTATTAATAATAATATTACTGTTATATCTATGACTTCATAAATACTTGTTGAGGGAATGAGTAAATGGAAATCAAAATTAACTTTATAAAATAAAATAAAAATACAATTAATTTTATATACTTTACCTATGTATAGTTCAATTTTGTTTCATAATTGCCAATATAAAACCCTGAAGTGACCCATATTTGGTATTCTCTGGTTCTTACATTTGAAGCCTTAAAGGTTCGCTTTCAAAAAGGTATATCGTTGTAACTATTGATATTTTCAGTGTATGAAGACAAATCCTTGAGTAGTTAATTATACATTATTTAAAATGCTTGCTCCTTCTTCATGTAAATTACAGTCATATTATCATCATTATTTTTAACGTTGGGTCTTTTGGTTCATCTACTAAAGTGTAATTTTTCTAGTGGAAAACAAAGTAACAGTGTGTTTGGCATCTATTTTTGTTGTAGAAGTACATGTGTATGTTTGTCCGGTCTATGTGTGTGTTTGGGTTAAACAGTAAATCAATAAACAACACATGCTTTACAAAGCAGTCAATGAACAAAGGTTGAGCAAAGCTGTGCACATTAGTAAACTTGTTTTACTGTAATAAATCCTGATCATCAGTATACAAGAAATCATATTCTTTTAATGACTTATTTGCAAGTACAGGGCAAATTAGAAGCTTTTGAAAAATTCATTAACCATTTGACCTATTTGATAACTTTTAGTTCACTAAAGAAATTATTACCGTAGAAGTTGAGAAGAGTTTTGTTTATATTAACACACACACACACACACACACACAGACACAGACATACACATATTTTTATATGTATGTATGTGTATTTGTATGTGTGTGTGTATATATATGTAAAATAAGGTGAAAAACAGATCTATAGAACTTATATCTTGATTGTTTTAACTAACTCAAGTAGTTTTCCTAAAAGGCAAGACTTCAGCCACATTAAGTCCACAGAAGGGAGTTGTCTCAGTTCTAATTCAGGCTCACAATAGATTTAGAGCCTGAACTTGACATGGAATATTCAATCTTCTGAGAATTTCCTTCCCTTCCTTTCTTATTCTTAGAATCCCACATTATCTTCCTTGTAGCCTCCCTCAATCCTCTCAAGCAAATAATCCAATTGACATAATGCAATCAGAAAGACTTGGATTTTATTTTTTATTCTCCACTTACTAGCCATATGACTTTGTAAAATTATTCAACTTCTCTAATCTCAATTTCTTCATCAAAAATTAGACTAATGATGTTTATCTCTAGTACAGTTAAGAAACTTAATAGTTAAACTCTATAAAGTAATGACACATAATAGATACTGCATAAATGCTGAGGACCTTGCGACCAAGCCACAACGTTTTATATTTACCTTCTTTATGGCATTTACTGTCCTGTGTTATTATATAGTTTATATAAATGTGTTCTTTTTTGGAACACTATTATTTTACTTAAAAATCTTTGTGTGTAGTCCCAAAGCCTCATAAATGCCTAGTATGACAGTCACACACATAGATGAACATGTGTTGTTCTTGTTGAAGGAGTAAGTGGCAACAATTGATTGAAAACTATAGAAATTAAGCATGTTATCGGAGCAATAAAAAACAAATAAAATAGCACACTTAATGCACTTATAACTGTGGCTGGCATTATAAGTATTCAATAAATCTTAGCTCTATTATTATTATAAAATAATCTGTGATAAATAGATATTCATAAAGTTCTAAGGGAATCTGAGGTAGGAAAGATTACTTTTGTGAATCGGAGAAGAAATGAGAAAAGGATTAAAATATAATCTGAGTCCTTAAAGATGAGTAGAACTTCACCAGGTTCTATTTCATGTAGCTGAATAGAAACATCACATTTTAAACATGAATATTGAGAAGTGACACTTGGTAGGCATCTATCTGTACACTGAAGATTCAACATATTGAAAATCACAAAATATAGATGGGAGAAAACTAACTCGGAGATAATTTACCACTAGATGATATGCATATTTCTTATTATTGCAAGAAGGATATACTAAATTAACATGAGATAGTGAGAATTTAGTTAATAGGATGTTTTCAAAGTCAATCTTCATTTTCATTTCTTTACTCAAATCATTTCTTAATTCTGGTTTAATTTTTAAAATCATATCAAGTCACCATTCCAATTCGGTATCACTAATTTTCTGCAATATGCAAACTATCAGAACTGATGAGGTAACATAAAAAAACTATTATGATAGCAAAACACAAATGTGTACTATGTGGGATGTGAAACAAAGCCCATCTTTGTTATATCCTGAAACAGATTGGAAAAGATTCACCCTACATTCGATTAATGAGAAATGGCAAAGGTTATTAAAATGTGTGGATAAGTAAGAAATTATGCTTCATTTGTTTCTGTGAAATTGTGATAAAATAGAAAATCAACAAAGTAACTCTATCAAATGGGTTGCAATTTAATCTTTACTCATTAAAAATAGCAACAGCAACCAGCAATCCAACAACAAGAAAAACAACAAGCAAAATGGCTCTGGCATATTCATTGGAAGATTTTTAAATGGGATATTTTATCCAAAATTTAAGTATTAAAAACTCAGAAACACTCTTCTCTAAAACCATATCCCCATGCCAGAAAGAATTTTTTTTTAAAGAGTTCAAAAGGCACTTTCTGAGATTCTGATACTCACTTGTAAATTCTGTGCTCAAGGAAAATGATATCTAAGGTTCCTTTAAATTAAAAAAATCTATGATATTAGGTTAAAAAAAAGAAAAATGAAATGGCAGTTGGCCATGCCTTAATGATTTAACTTGGCATCTGGTCAAATGACCTGGTCAAATGTTCTTTTGAAAAATGTCATGGAATTTTTATTAATGATGAATATTTAAGGTCTCAAGCCATACTCATCTTAAAGAAGACTACTTTAGCTATCTAGGTTATGTCAAAACTGGGTTTTGAATGACTTGACCCTCATAATAATTGAACTAGTTCTGCATGTAAATGCAGTCTAAATCACCTTTCTCTCAAGCATCTAAATTCTTTTGTTGGATGTGAGCAAACTATGCTCCAAAAATTAAAGAGATCTACAAACATTTATTGATTCGGGGAACTGGGAGTTATCATTCAGTTGCTTATTTCAATGCTGAATTTTGTGAAGTTAAATTTTGCAAACTTAGTTTTATGGACTGTGTATTTCTTAGAAATTACTAATTCCCAATATAACCTTATTCCAAATGTCCTAATATAAAGGAAATATGTTAATGTAAAATATTGGTAGTGAGAAAATCTAAACAGATTTTCAAGTGAATAAGCAACTTTGAGTAATGACAAAAATAAATATAGTTCTTGACATTTTAATTTTACTTACAGCTAACATGTACCATGTGACAGGTATTTTCTTAATGCTTTTTATAAATTTTCTTATCTATAGTCGCTGTGTGAAACTTTAGGATGAAGGCACAAGGTTATACAGCTAGTAAATGCTGTTACCATAATTGAGGAGAGTGGTTTTAAAAACAAAGCTTTCAAACTTCTTATTGGAGTGCAAGTGCAAAGACGTGGGCTGAAATCCCAGTGCCACCACTTATGGGTACAGTGAAGTTTCCTACAACTTAAGTTGTTTTACTGTACCTCAATTTTCTTATGTATAAAATGGGAATAATAATATCTGCCCCATAGAGTTCCATCAGAAATAGCTAAGAGGATACATCTGATGATCTTAGAAGACTATTTCTGGCTCATATAACAATGATGTACTGTTATTGATATTATTATTTTTGTCAAGATTTTTTCTATTTATTTCCATTTGGCAATAATTTTTTTTTTTTTTTTTTTTTGGAGACGGAATCTCACTCTGTCATCCATGCTGGAGTGCAGTGGCCTGATCTTGGCTCACTGCAACCTCCACTTCCAGGGTTCAAACAATTCTCCTGCCTCAGCCTCCCGAGTAGCTGGGACTACAGGCACACACTGCCAAGCTCAGCTTATTTTTTGTATTTTAGTACACCGTGTTGCTCAGGCTGGCCTCGAACTCCTGAGCTCAGGCAATCCACCCGCCTCAGCCTCCCAAAGTGCTGGGATTACAGGCGTGAGCCACCGCACCTGGCACCAATATTTTTTAATTAGAGTTGTTGCATCTTATATACTACAGGGATATAATAAATAATTTGAGATTACCATAGTGTGCCATTAACTTCAGAAGACAAGATTTCTGGTATGTCAGAAATTAGGAGATTACTGTTTCAATACATTATTAGGAAATATCTTAACTAGAATATATTCCTGGCTATATTAAAACACTTAGTCTAAATAATAATAATAATAATAATAATAATATTTGTAACACAAAAGTTTACAACTTAAAAATAAAACAAATATGTGTATCCAAAAATTGAGTCCATTCTACATGTACTATAAAAAAGCAGGGGTGTCAGGGAGGGAAAGGAAAAAAGGAAAATCAAAAACTATTGAGTGCCTGTGATATGTCAGATTCTAGACTCGTTTTTTGTTTGTTTGTTTGTTTTTGAGATAGTCTTGCTCTGTCACCCAGGCTGGAGTGCAGCAGTGTGATCTCAGCTCACTGCAACCTCGGCCTCCCAGGTTCAAGCGATTCTCCTGCCTCAGCCACCCAAGTAGCTGGGATTACAGGTGCCTAACACCAAGTCACGCTGATTTTTGTATTTTCAGTAGATATGGGGTTTCACCCTGTTGGCCAGGCTGGTCCCAAGCTCCTGACCTCAAGTAATCTGCCTGCCTCAGCCTCCCAAAGTGCTGGGATTACAGGCGTCAGCCATCGCACTTGGCCAAGATTAGTTTTTAAAATATACGTGCTTGAAAATTACTCCTCATTTTTTATTAACCTCATAAACCTCATAAACCACCCATTGCCAAAGCTTGTCGATTCATTCAAAAATTCATTCATTTCTGCACATCTACCTTGTTGATTTAGTCCAAACTACCATTATCTCTCACTTTCATTAACATAATTACCTTCCAACCAGTCCACCTTCATCTTCACTGAGCCACCTTCTAACTTATTCTCCATATACATAGAGAATAACTTTTTGATGAATCAATCTGATTATGTCACCATATAATCTTCCTTGATTTTTCCCACTCTTCAAACTTTTCAATAGATTTCCATTAAGACAAAAATAAATATGTGATCATACTCCGCCTACCTCCCCAGGTTCATCTGAGACAACTCCCCCTTGCGTGTTTTTTCTCTTCAACGAAGTGACTCTCTTTTAGTCACTTCCCTATACTGGCAATTGTTCCCCTGACACAGACCTTTGGACAGAATTTTCTTCCCCCAGAATGTTCTTGAAATTCTTCACCTGGTTAACTCTGACTCATTGTTCAGATCTCAAATGAATCATCAATCACTTTTCAAAAGTCTTTCTCTGACTTTTGTGACATAGTAAGATTCATACTGTAGACTCTGAAATCAACAAATGCCTCTTCTTCAAACTGATTATAACAGTTTCAACTTTATATGTTCCTATGTTTATTTGATTTGTCTGTCTCTGCTCTAGATTGGGTTAATAATAGCTAATTTGTATTAGATATTTACTAGGTTCCATGCATTGTTTTAATGTACTTTATACATTAATTAATTATAATTCTTATAGCAACCTAAAAAAGTAAGTTCTATTATTAATAATACTACTGTATGAATGAAAAACATCTAAAGCACAGAAAAACTTAAATACATTGTTCAAGGTCACAAAATAGCAGAGACAGAATTCAAATTCAGGCATTACACTGAGAGTACATTCTCTTAATCACTTCATTTGTTGCCTTTTAGGAGCTGCAAAAGGATAGCTATTACTTCTATTGTATCCTAAGAAATAAGCATAGTGATTGAATGTAAGTTGGTAAAAAAATCATTGAAAGATTCATTTGCATTGTATGCCTAAATGTAAAATGTACTTTTGTTTTAAACCAACAATTTATTTCTAGGGTTATCTTGCAGTTCTAATGGTACATGTGCTCAGTGTATGTAGGACGTATATTGCTTTGCCGTGTATAGTAGCAATATGCCAGGAACAATGACAAAGTAAGCCTGTAGAAGACTAAATAAATAAATCACACTGTATTCATATGAATGAATACTCTATGGCCATATCAAACATTAGAGCTCTATTATTTATATGAAATGATACTGAAAATATAAGGCTAAGCAAAAAAAAAAAGTGAAGGAAAACACTATGTAAAGCTTATTAAAAATTTTAGATGATGTTGTAAATAAATGTATATATCCAGAATATCTAGACATGTACAAGAAATTGATAATAGTAGCTGTCTTTGAGAATGATGATAAAAGCAATAGCTATCACTATCAGAGTGACTTATTTCTTATTTCTGTTTTTGTTGTATGTTTTCTTCTTCCAATAACATGTATTGCTTTTCTAATTTTTTAAAAAACAAGTTTAATTTGTGGACTAGAAAATACGATAACTCAATGGGGATTTTTTTTTTTTTAATTGTAAGGCAAATACAAAAGTCTCTTTTTCAAAAGTATATGTCATTCCTCCAGAAGGATTAATTAATTAGAAGTGAAGGAAAAGACATTAAAACTTTAAATTAAGGTTATCTGCCCTTATAATGGGAAAGGGGAAAAACAACTCTTTAATATATATTTAAAAAACAATTGTTAGCCACTTAGATGAGTCTTAATTCATCTTGGGAGAGAGAGTTGCTCCTTTAGCAAAGCACTTTAAAGGTCATTGAGTATATAACAATGAGCACCGCCACTCCCACACCTTTAGCCTCAGGGCAAACATAGACAAAGTAAAGTTAGAGCTGAATTTGTATGCAGAATAAGTAAAAGATAAGTTTCTTTGGATAGCTTTGTAGCAAGGGGTTCTTTGAGTCTGAAGACTGTCCAAGGCTTAGGAGAGCCAGGGTAACGTATCAAAGACTGTACAATGAATATCACAAGAACAGTGATAGTCAGTATTTAAGTTTTAGTCGTCTCCTTTTCTGCAGTGTGCTCCAAATCTTAAATAAAAGATGATCGCGTGAACAGATCTCTATTAAAGATGCTATGGAGTATGACAAATAAAATGAAGTGGTGGTCAAGATGAGATGACAAATATCAACTGCGGGACCAAGAAGGGTGGTCAAGAACATAGGCTGTAGGTTGGAAAAGTAGGCTGCAGGGCAGATGAAGAGAAATATAACTTTTTATTTTTCTCATGCAACTACATTTTTTTAAACATATTAAAAGTCTTCTAGAATTTCCAGAGTGCACAAATAGGGCATTGAGGGGTTTTGTTGTTGTTTTCTTGAGACGGAGTCTTGCTCTATCTCCTAGGCCTTGAGGTATTTTAAAATAAGAGACGTCTTATAAGGCTGAAGAATTAGGACTTTTACTTGGATATCTTGGATTTATGTGTCTTAAGGAAAAAGTGCAAACTGAATAAAATAATATCTACTTCAAATTCTATGATAAGGTTTAAAACAAAATGCCTACATTGCATTTCCTAAAATTTAGAGCTATCATAAACTCATTAAATCATGTGCAATGAATTTGATAATACTGAGATAGAAATAAAAACATTTTCAATATTTCTCTTAAGACTGTGAAATATAAATTATGGACAGACCCAGTTTACATTCAAATGTTTTCCTCAGTATTTTCCTCACTTGGCCATCCTCAAGGTGATGCGTGAGGTGATTTGAGTACCATTCTAAAGTACGGTCCAAGGCTAAGCATTCATCCAATTTTCAGTTTAATTGAAATAATAATTTTTATATCATCTACATTTTTATTCTAACCAAATTTTTATTTGCTGAATCTTTGAAATGCACTTTAGTGATGGAGCACTGTAAGAGGGTAAATTTGGATGTAATTAGACAAAAGTAAGATATTAAATGTAAACATTCTTCCTTTGTTAACATTGGAAACTTTCCAGCATAGGTAACTCTAGAGTACTATCTTCTGGACATTATTTATAGCAAAATTCATATGGAAAATAACATAAGCATACACACAACATAGGAACAACTATAAAACCATGATTATTACACTATATTAAATAATATTAACTAATACGAAAACGTCTTTCTCACCGATTTTTGTTAAAGAATTATCCGATTTTCTGAATTCTTTCCCTTTTAATTACTTAGTGCTTTTTAAAATAGGCTTTTTTTTTAGTTTTTGTTTTCTCTCCTCCTGTCAAATTATTGTTTCTTATGTATGTGTTCATGAAGTTTTTACTTAAAAATATTTTCAATGCTTTTGGCATTTTGATCAAAGAATGTAAATTTGGATAAAAGTTTATATGATTTATGCCAGAATATTAATATATATACATATTTTACATGCAACTGAAAAAATATAGTATACCAAATTTGATATAGATGCTAGTGAATCATATTTTATGGGACTCAAATTTTTAATTTTATATTTCATAAATTTACCTTTTAAAGATAAAATTTCTCCCAACACTTTTTTGTGGTAAAGTTTGCATAATATTCACCATCTTAATCTGAAACATTTAGTGCAGACACAATATTATGCGACCATCACCGCTAAATAGGTCCAGAACATTCTCATCACCCACAAAGGAGAGTGAATATCCGTTAAGCTTGTGTTTTTGGTCTTTATGGATTGCCCTGTTATATATATTTCACATTACATTACACGTGTGTGACCTTTTTTTTAAACCTTCTTTCACTAAGCATAATATTTTCAGTGTTCATCCATACTGTAGCAGGAATCAGTATTTCATTTCTTTTCATGGCTGAATAGCATTACATTGTATGGATGTACCATATTCTGTTTATCTGTTCCTCAGGTGATGAACCTCTTGGTTGTTTCCACTTTGCTGCCATTGTGAAAAGTGCCGTTATAAGCATTTGTGTACACATTTTTTATCTGAACAGCTGTTGTGATGGTTTATTTTCAGTGGCAACCTGACTGAGTTAAAAGATATCCAGATAGCTGGTAAAGGACTATTTCTCAATATGTCTATGGGGGTGTTTCTGGAAGAGATTGGCATTTGAATCAATGGACTGGAAAGGAAGATCCACCCTCATCAATGGGAATGGGCGTCATTTAATCCATTCAGGGCGTGTATAGAACAAAAAGGAAGAAGAAAGAGGAATTTGCTCTTTCTTCTGGAGCTTGGGCACTCGTCTTCTGTCTCAGACACTAGAACTCCAATTCTTGGACCTTTAAACTCCAGAGACATATACCATTGGCTTCCCTGCTTCTCAGGCCCCAATCCTATTGAATAACAACACTCACCTTCCTGGTTCTTCAGCTTGCAGACATCATAATATGAAACATCTTAGCCTCTATGATCATGTGAACCAATTACCATGATAAATTATTTTTTATATAACTCACTATATATCCTGTTGGTTCTGTTTCTCTTCAGAATTCTGACTGATACACCAGTTTTTAATTCTTTGGGTTATATGGGTTATATATCCAGGAGAGGAAATGCTGGGTCGCATATTGATTTGATGTTTAACTTCTTATGGAACCATGGGACTATTTTCTACAGCACCTTTACCATTTTACATTCTCACCAGCAATGCATTAGGGTTCAAATTTCTCCATGTCTTTGCCAGCCCTTGTTATTTTCCATTTTAAAAACAATATCAATATGCCATAATATTATATGACCTGTCCCAAAATACGTTTCATGTGCACTTGAGAACAATGTTTATCCTGCTGTTCTTGTGTGGAATATTGTTCAGTCTTCTATTTCCATATTGATCCCTGTCTAGTTTTTTCTAGTTATAATTGAAAGTAGAACATTGAGTCATCCAACTATTGTTATTGAACAACCTATTTCTCTCTTTAATTCTTTCAGTTTTGACTGCATATGATTTAGGACTCTGTTGTTACATGCATATATGTTTACAATTGTTAAGTCTTCTATATATATTGCCTCTTTTACCAACATACAATGTCCTTCTTTACTTTTTGTAAACATGTTTATTTTTTCTGACATTATTATGGCTACCTTAGCTTACTCTTGGTTACAATGAGCATGAAATTTCTTTTTTTTTTTAATTATTTCACTTTTAGGCTACTTTCATTGTTGGAGTTAATGTGAGTCCTATGTCGATTTACTTATAAAAAATATATATTTGGATTTTTAAAAATAAATTCTGACAGTCTGCTTTTTAATTGGTTAATCAATTCACATTTAATTACTGATATAAAAAAACTTACTATTTCTATTTTGCTACTTAAAGAAATTCTCATACCTTTTTTGTTTCTTAGTACTTTCATTACTGCCTTCTTTTATGTTTAATTGATTTTGTTTAGTATCCCATTTTTGATTCCCTTATCATTTTACGTTCCAATAGTCTTATTATTTTCTTAGTTCTTATCCTGTGAATTATAATTAATATCCTAAATTTATCACAATGTAGTTTGAATTAATATAAATTCAACTTCAAAATTATAAAAAAATTCTAATTATTGCTTTATGTACTTTACTTTTAAATTATGAAGAAAAAAGCCACAAATAAAAAATACAATAGTATGTATTTTAGTTGTACTACAAAGTAAATACTTATATTTATCTATTTAGTTATCTTTAATAGTATTATTATTTCTTTGTGTAGGTAAAAGTTACTGTATAGCATCCTTTTATTTTAGCTGGAAGCCCTCATAAAGGTGAAAGTCATGTTTTCGTAGAGTGGATTTTCTAGTAGTGAACTTTCTCAGCTTTTGTTTATCTGGGAACATTTAAATTTTCCCTTCATCTTTTTAAAGAAAGTTTGGCACATACAGAATTCTTGGTTGACAGGACTTTTTCTTTTAGCACTTTAAAAATATCATTCCACTTTTTCCATGGTTTCTAATGAAAAATCACAGTTAATCTTATTAAGAATGCCTTTTTTAATTGAGGTAAAGAACATACACAATTTGCTATCTTAGTCATTTTAAGCGTACAATTCAGTAGTGTTAACTATATACAAACTGTTGCACAACAGATCTCTATAATTTTTTATCTTTCAAAACTGAAACTCCATGGTCGTTGAACAACAACTCCACTCTTCCTCTCTTCTTTCCCCGGAAATGACTGTTCCTCTTTCTGATTCTAGGAGTTTGATTACTTTAGTTAACTCATGTAGTTAGAATCAAACAGTATTTCTCTTTTTTGTGACAGGCTTATTTCACTTTGCATAATGTCCTTGAGGGTTATCCATGTTGTAGCATATGACAGAATTCCATTATTTTTAAAGCTGGATAACATTCCATTGTATGTAAATATCACATTTTTGTATTCATTCATTGATTGACATTTAGGTTGCTTTCAGTTTATGGCTTTTATGAATAATGCTGCAGTGAACATTTGTATACAAATCATCCCTCAAGCTTTTTTTATCGATTCTTTTGGATACATACACAGAAATGGAATTGCAGGATTATATAATAATTTTATTTTGATTTTTTGAGGAATATCCATGTTGTTATCCGTAATGGCTGTGCCATTTTACATTCTCACCAACAGTGCACAAAGTTTCCAATTTCTCCATATCCTCACCATGACTTATATTTTTTAATAAAAAGATATGTGGGATCATATCTCATTATGGTTTCAATTTGCATTTTCCTGATGATTAGTGATGTTGAACATCTTTCCATAAGCTTAATGGACACTTATATATTTTCTCTGGGGAAATGACAATTCAAATCATTTGATAATTTTTTTAGATATTTGATTTTTGTTATTGTTGGGACTTGTAGGAGTTCTTTACACATTAACTCCTTATTAGGTATTTGGTTTGTAAATATTTTCTCCCATTCCATAGGTTACCTTTTAACTCCTTTGATTATTACATTTGCTATAAAAGAGTTTTTAAGTTTGATGTAGTCCCGTTTGCTTATTTTTGCCTTTGTTGCCTGTGTTTTTGGTGTCATATCCAAGACATCATTGCAAAATCCAGCATCATGAAGGTTTTCTTCTATGCTTTCTCCTAGGAGATTTACAGTCTCATGTCTTACAGATATAACTTTAATCTGATAGTAAAGATGTATCAGATTTGAGATACCTTTTTGATATATTTGAGATAACTTTTGTATTAATATATGGTGTAAGGTAAAGGTTCAACTTTACTCTTTTACATGTGGGTATGCAAAACACCATAGTGTTTTGATTATTATCACTTTATGATATGTTTTCAAATCAGAGAGTATGAGCCCTCCAGCATTGTATTAAATTGTTCTAGCTATTGGAGGCCCTTTGAGATTTCATAGGAATTTTAGAATTTTTTCTCCATTTCTCTAAAACATGCTGTTGGGATTTTGATAGGGATTGCATTGAATCTGCGGATTGCTTTGGGTACCATGAACATTTTAGCAATATTAAGTCTTGCAATCCATGAACATGAAATATCTTATAGCATTTTTTGTATTGATTTGCAGCATTACTCTCTTCTTATTTATTTCAGCAATATTTTTTTGCTTTTAGTGTGCAAGTCTTTTGCTTCTTTGGTTAAGTTTATACCTAAGTAATTTATTATTTTCGATGCTATTGTAAATTGAATTGTTTTCTTAATTTTCTTTTCAGATTATTATTTTGCAGTGTATAGAAACGCAACCGATTTTTTGTCTATTGATTTTGTGTCCTGCAGCTTTGCTGAAATTGTTTATTAGTTCTAACGATATTTTTGTTGAGTCTTTAGTGTTTTCTATATATGAGATTATATCTGTAAACAAAGATAATTTTACTTCTCCCTTTTAGATGCAGGTCTTTTTTTCCCCTTTGCTTAATTGCTGAGGCTAGGACTTTCATTTCTGAGTTTAATAGAACAGAGGTGAGAGTGAATATTCTTGTTTTATTCCTGATCTTAGAGAAAAAGCTTTCAGTTTTCACCATTGAGTGTGACGCTTAGGGATGCATTTTTCACATATGGCCTTTATTATGTTAAGGTAGTTTACTCCTCATCCTAATTGGTTGAGTGTGATTTTTTTTCTCTTTTATTGTGGTAAAATATACATAACATAAAATGTATTCTTTTAACCATTTTTAAGTACAGTTCAAGAATATTAAGTGCATTCATATTGTTGTGCCTTCATTATCAAACAGTTATCTCCAGATCTCATTTCATATTGCAAAACTGAAACTCTATAGCCCGTCAAAAATTACTCTTCGTTACTCCCTTCCTATAGCCCTTGGCAACCACCATTCTACTTTCTTTCCTTATGATTTTAACTACACTAAGTACTACATACAACTAGAATCATACAGTATTTTTTTCGGGAGTGGCTTATTTTATTTAGCCTAATGTCCTCAAGATTTATCATGTTGTAGCATATGTCAAAATTTTCTTTTTTTCTAAGTCTGTCTATAAAAGATAAACTTAATTCTGTCATTTTAAAGTGCGTTTTCTGTAAGACTTAGAGCTTTCTTGTCTGAATTTCCTGCAATACTCTTTTCCTTTGTTTTTATTTAATTTTTTTTTGTAGTGAAACAGTCAAATTTCTTTCTCATTTTCTTTTGTGTATATTCTGTAACTATCTTTTGTGTGGTTAACATAGGAATTAGATTTTAAATTCTAAAGCTAAAACACACTAGTTTGGATTTATACCTGCTTAACTTCAGTATATACAGAATCTTTGCCCCTTTACATCCCTTTCACCACTTCTTACAGTTGCTGATGTCACAAAATTACATTGTGTGTCCAAAACATAAACCAACAATTTTTAAAATGCATTAGTCTCTTAAATTATGTACAAAATAAAATGTGGAGTTATAAACCAAAGTTGCAGTAATACTGCTTTCAAGAATAATTGTTTTTCTAAAAAATGCATTAATCTCTTTAATTATGTAGAAAATATAAAATAGATTTACAAACTCTTATTGCAAAACTACTAGCTTTTATAATTTCTCATATATTTACTTTTACTGCGATCTTTGTTTCTTTATATCACTTCAAGTATTCTCTAGAGTCTTTTAATTTCAACTTGCAGGAATCCTTTCAGCATTGAATGTAAGTTTGGTTCTTCTTTTTTCCTTCCCAAGGTCGAAGTCATGTATTAGAAGTTTTCACCCAATTTTGCTGAGCTATGTCAGCTTGCAGGAGGGACAATTGTGGATAAAATAAAATAGCTTTTCTTACTTGTTAATTTAATGTGGCTATTGTTTGCTTTGTGCTTGTCTGGATATATTAGTCAGGGTTCTCTAAAGGGACAGAACTAATAGGGTAAATAAATATATGAAGAGGAGTTTATTAGGAGAATTGACTCACACAATCACAAGGTGAACTCCCACAATAGGCAGTCTGCAAGCTGAGGAGCCAGGAAGCCAGTCTGAGTTCCAAAGCCTCAAAAACAGGGAAGCCAATAGTGCAGCCTTCAGTCTCTGGCCAAAGGTCTGCAAGCCCCTGGCAAATCACTGGTGTAAGTCCAAGAGTTCAAAAGCTGAATAACTTAGAGTCTGATGTTCGAGGACAGGAAGCATCCAGCATGGGAGAAAGGGAAGCCAGAAGACAGCCAGTCTAGCCCTTCCACATTCTTCTGCCTGCTTTTCATTCCAGCCATGCTGGCAGCTGATTAGATTGTGCCCACCCAGACTGAGGGTGGGTCTGCCTCTCCTAGTCCATTGACTCAAATGTTAATCTCTTTTGGCAACACCCTCACAGACACACTCAGGAACATTACTTTGCATCCTTTGAATTCTTTAATCCAATCAAGTTGACACTCAGTATTAACCATTACACTGGGGTATTGCAACTTCTTAATTGGTGTCTGGAATTCTCATGAAGGCTTTGGATTGCATATTGTTTTTAAGTCGTTGTCTCTGTGGAGGACACCAAGATCTGTGGCTTTCCATTCTACCTCTTGCATGAAACAGAGGATGCCTTTTATATGACTTACTTTGCTTTCTGCTCTCAAATTTCTTTCTTTGTCTTTCAATAATTTGATTGTAATGTGTTTCAGTGTGGATCCCTTTGAGTTTATTTTAGAGTTAGTGGGCCTATTTATATGTGTAGATGTACGTCTTCCATCAAATTCAGGAAGTTTTAGGTCATTAGTTCTTCAAATGTTCTTTCTGTCTTTTTCTTTCCTCTTCTCTGGGACTGCTATTATAAATTTGTTGGTATTTGTTGTTACTAGTTGGACTATTTGTAGGTGTAGACATATGTCTTCCATCAAATTTGGGAAGTTTTAGGTTATTATTTCTTCAAATGTTCTTTTTGTCTTTTCCCATCTCTCCTCTTCTCTGGGACTGCTATTATAAATATGTTGGTACACTTGATGGTGTCCCACAAGTCTCATAGGCTTTTATTTTTCTTCATTCTTCTTTTATTTTTACTCCTCAAGACAGATAGTCTCAATTGACCTATCATCATGTTCTCTGATTTTTTTTCTTATTACTGTTCAAATTTGTTGTTGATATCTGTTAGTGATTTTTTTCACATCAGTTATTATACATTCCTGCTCCAGAATTTTTGTTTCCTTTTTATAATTTCTATCTCTATTGTTTTTCTTCATTTGCTAAGACATCATTCTTCTTATTTCATTTAGTTCTTTGTTCATGGTTTCATTTAGCTCTCTGGGCTTATTTAAGAAAATTAATCTAATGGTTTTCTCTACTACATCCAATATCTGAGTTTTCTCTGAGGCATTTTGTATTAATTTCCTTTTTTCCTGTGAGTAAGCCACATATTTTTATTTAATTACATGTCTCATATATTTCTTAAATCAGACATTTGGAATATTACTATGTAATAAATCTTGAAAGAAGATTCTCCCCACCCTCAGGGTTTACTCTTGCTGCTTATTATGGTTTGTTGTTTGTTTAGCAACTTTTCTAAATTACCTTTGAGAAGACTGCATTCTTTGTGAGTGGCCACAAAGTCTCTCTTTCTTAGAGTAATGGCTCAGCTAGTGATTTGACAGAAATGCCCTTAAGTTCTTGGAGTTTTTCTTTTCTTAATCTCTCCCTGTCATTTCAGATTTTCTCCATGTTGGGACACTCCTTCAATGCTTAGCCAGGATGTTTACAACTCTAACTTAGCCATCATTTCCTGTTTACATGTAGTCTAATTGTCAACCAGTGGTAAAAATTTTTGGTCTTAGTAGTTCTTTACTGACCTTATACTGTGTGTGCACATGAATTTTTAGATTCCCTGGTACGTGTGGGAGTTTTTTGTTTTTGTTTTTGTTTTTGTTTTTGATGGAGTCTGCACTGTCACCCAGGTTGGTGTGCAATGGTGTGAGCTTGGCTCACTGCAACCTCTACCTCCCGGGTTCACGTGATTCTCCTGCCTCAGCCTCCCAAGTAGGTGGGATTACAGGCACACAGAATCACACCTGCCTAATTTTTTGTATTTTTAGTACAGATGGGGTTTCACTATGTTGGCCAGACTGGTCTCGAACTCCTGACCTCGTGATCTGCCCACCTCGGCCTCCCCATGTGTTTTTAGGCATGAGCTACCGCACCCGGCCTATGTGGGAGCTTTTCAAAGCCCTTATTCAGTCCTTATTCCTCCATGTATCTCCTTTCCCACCCTTTTCCTTCCCGGGCTATTCATTTTGTATACTACTTGCTCCAATGGTTATTGTTTGTCACAGGCAGCTGCACCTCATTTGTTTCTTCTTATGCCTTTGACAAATGTCACCTGAGAAGCCTGTTCATCCCTGAAAAATTCCAAAGTAGGCAAAACAAAAGCAAGCCCTTGAGCTTAGCTTTCAGGGAGCCACCAGGCATATCAAAGCACACTATTTCAACACTTTGAGGATAAGGTCCTCTATTGCTTCCTTCACTACCAACAAGTTTTATGAGAAATTTGACAGCTATGTTTGCAGCCACTGATGTGCTGGGGAATGATTTGATTCCAGAGTTTTGAAAAAGGTTATTCAGGCAGTTTTTTTTTTTTTTTAACCAATAATAGTTGTTTTAGTGGAGGGATAGAGTTTTGGAGTTCCCTACTCTGCCATTTTAAGTAACATCATATCATACCACCATCATTTTATTTTCTGATAATTTTTATAAAAATTCTAATTTTATAAATTAATAAACTTATAATTTAAAAACTTCACATGTTTAAATAAAACTCATTGAAATATACAAACATTTTTCTAGATTGCTTTGAAAATAATTTGTAAATTATCTCTGGACTCTTGAAAAAAGAGCATAGGGTTGTATTTATAAATATTCAAATTTTTTTATTTGTGATGTGAACCAAATTCTCTATAGGTTTACTATTAGTTTTTGTTTATTTGTTAGTTTGGTGATGGTTGACCCTGTTGATTTTTGAAAGACTGAAAAAATTTATAAAATGTTTTAATACATTTTTGTTGTTTGTAATGTTTCCATGTATTTTTAAAATATACATTTTCTATATTTTGAAGTAATTTTATCAGACAAGCAAAAGTTAATGACTTTTATATAATTACATTTTAATTGTGACTAGAACTTTTTATAATTATTAAATTTATTCCTCTATCTTACTTAATGTATTTTTTCTTTAAATTCTACTTTGTGTGATATCAATTTTGTCTGAGCACTTTATTTTTATTGTTTGCATTTGCCTAATACATTTTAACCCATCCTTTATATTTTACCATTCTAGGGTCACTTTATTTGAGATGTATCGCTGATTTAAAAAATGATATTTTAAATCAAATTAATATTTTTTGCCTTTATGTAGACTAGGTGCTTGAAGCATTGGCATTCAATTTTACAATTTATATTTTCTCTGGTATTGTAGAATAGTGCTTCCTATTTTTTTTTTTCTACACATCAGGAATCATAGAAAATATGATTGCCATTGGTCATGCTGTATTGAATGTGCAAGACCATTTCCAGCCAGAGTAAACTTGCTATTCTTTCCTGGCCCTACTAAGGATAGAGGGGCTCTATAAGTTAGCATAACTTAACCCATAACCCATAACCTATTAAGAATAAATTAATGAGCCAGGTGCAGTGGCTCATGCCTGTAAAACCAGCACTTTGGAAGGCCGAGGCGGGTGGATCACGAGGTCAGGAGATCGAAACCATCCTGGCTAACAAGGTGAGACCCCGTCTCTACTAAAAATACAAAAAAAAAAAAAAAAAAAAAAAAGAGCCGGGCGTAGTGGCCGGTGCCTGTAATCCCAGCTACTCGGGAGGCTGAGGCAGGAGAATCGTTCGAACCCAGGAGGCAGAAGTTGCAGTGAGCCGAGATAGCGCCACTGCACTCCAGCCTGGGCGACAGAGCGAGACTCTGTCTCAAGAAAAAATAATAATACTTAATTAATTAAAAAAATAAAATAAATTAATGTGCAAACAGTGCATTCTCAGTTTGGGAGTTCTGCTAAATTGGCCATTGTTGTTTCATTGCCCAGAATCCACTTACCATTCTTATGGCAGAAGCATCCCAATGATATTATGAGAAATACGACTTTTTTCCCACTTTCAGTAAATGTTTGAATAGGATTCTCACATTCTTCCCTGGGATTTTAACATATGACTTAGGCCAAAGCAATCAGGGTAATTATATTACTTTGGTCATAGAGGTTGTATCAGGACGAGACATTAATCCAATCAAAGACAATAAAAGGCAGTGAGTTAATGACTTTTGTAGTGGCCACCAAAAATATATTTTTCTTGTGGATTTCATGGGGTGAGAGTATAAGATGTGGGGCTTGTGCAGCCATCTTGCTGGCATCTTTCTGTGTGGCGTGCTTGCTGACGTGCACAAGAATAATGGCTAGCATGTGGATCCTAGGGATGTTGTTTTATGTCTCAGTAGAACCATTCCTCAGCCACCCAATTTTATGGGCCAGTCAGTTCCCTAGCCTATTTGTAAGATAGGCAAGCAGTTTTTAGCCTTAATAGTGGTTGTTTTTTTTCTTAAAAATTTTAATGTGTTCATTGTTAATATCAGAAATTAAATACTAATATACATTTTGTGTAAGAAATATCACATGATTAAATAGAAAAATGAGGCATTCTAAATTCAAAATTAGTACGTTAATCGGTCATTTTGGGGTTGTAGCATTATAATTGTTAAATATTTATATTACTTTGTAATTTCCAACTTTTCTCTAATAAACATTAAATGTTATATAATTGAAAATAGAACAACAAATGACCTATATTGTAATGCTGAGAGTGAAACAGACAATTTTAGGCTCAATTACCATACTTGATAGTATAGTTCCCCACTGCCACTCCCAGAAATCTTGCCTCCTTCATCCATGTAATCCGTAATTTCCAACAGCCACATGATATGTAACCTTACCTATTGTCACTTTGTACATATCGACATTGGCCATACTTCTAGGATAAGCCACTTTCAACCAAACTACTTCTTTCATTTTTTCTCTTAGAGTTATTTTTCTTGTTTACTTGATTGAAATTCTTAAGATTTGAATTACATACCCCACTCTCTCATCACCTAATCACAATGCTCCACTCAACGTGGGAACTCCAAAATATTCTGACTTGATTAACTTCTTTGCTTCTCCACCATGACAATTCTAATTTTGAAAAAAATCATATTTATCCCGGACTACTGAAGTAGCCATAGAACTAGAAAACCTTGTCTTTCTATTACTCCACATATGTTAGAGATGCAAAAATTCCTTTAACGTATCTGGTTAAAATTATCCAATGTTTTTCTATAGCACTTGAAATAAACTCCTAATTCTAGCTTATAAAGCCCCCTATGTAATCTGCTTTTTTCCTACTCTTCATATTACCCTTGGACTACCATCCCCTTCTCTCTGGCTCTACTCTAGCCAAATTAGCCTCTTCCCTTTCTTCCTTAAGCCTTTGGACAAGTTGCATCCTTTGCCCAGAAGACTCTTCCTTCTGGTATTTAAAAAGGTTTGCTTCTTGTCAATTAGTGCACAACTCAACACTTATGTCTTCAGAGAAGCTTTCAATTGACAATTCAATATAATATATCTCTGAAACAGAAATTTATTCTCCAGAATAGCATGCTTTGTCATTGGATGGTTTCTTAGTTATTTGTTTAGTTAGCTGTTTATTGTATTATCTCTCAGACTATAAGTTCCATTATGTCTGTCATAGTCTTAAGTGTATATAGAACAGTGCCTATCTTACACTTTGTTGCATAAATGATTAATGACTGAATAAATGAACAGATCAGTATTCCATAAGAAAATGTTCATAATGTCAATGTAAGAATTAATTTTCCCATCTTTACTGCTACATGGCTTCTAAGCATTACTGTGCTATAATGAGATTTGTACATGTCCTTCCTCCCCATTATATCCCATGCAATTTGATGCAAATGAGTGCTTTATTTTCCCTTCTTTGTACTTCCCAAGGAAGTGCCTTGCACATTACCTTAGTGTCTTAGACATAATGGCCATTCATAAATGTTTGTCTAATTGAATTATGTTGCCTTTACAAAATCTTAAGAGCCTCTCATGAGCATTCCTAAGGGAAAGATTTTTCTCTTGGAACCTCTCATGAGTCCTTAGACCAAAATTAATTGCTACTTCCTCTCTGTTTTCATTGCAATTAGTATATGCTAAGTGTTTTAAACAATATGATTTATATTGTAGAAATTCATCAACATGTCTATTTCCACAGCTAAACTGAGAGAATGTTAGCATTGTTTCTTAAATATAACAGTGCACAAAAATATCATTGATAATAAATTGAAGTAGTATTCAGTTATATGTTCATTGTCATCAAAATATGGGAGGTCATCATGGAAGACCATTATAATATAAAGATTTTGCAGTCTTTCCAGTTAGTGATTGCTACCAAAGAACAATCATACATAGTTCTTGAAGGATCTTGACTATTACAGAACCACCACTCAGTCAGCCAAGCAACTTGCTTGAGAAAACAAAGCTGAAGTTATTTACATGCATTTTGTCTAACCAATCCGTGAAATCTATGACAATGAAGTAGAGTCCATAGTTCAGTTTTTGTTTAGGGAAGTATGTGATACAATTCTTTTTTTTCCTTCACTTTAGTATTCTGGTAATAACAGACAATCTTCTCAGGAAAGGATAGTTTTTACAAGTATATAATAATTACATTTTCATTAATTTCTAATATGCTTTGTCTTACTCTGAAAAAAAAAAACTAGACTATATACTATCAAAACGAACACATCAAACACAAAAGGAAGTTCAGCACAAATGAAACTTCCTAAACGATATCTACACCTTGGATGATTTTTTAAAGAAACATGTTCTGGCTCAAACTACCTTCAATATATTCAGGAGGAACAGAAATTGTGCCTTTGAAATATGGAGTTCCACTTTGAGGAAACCCAGTACTCCTTAATGCCCCTGTGTGACTATGACTTCAACGTTTATTCATCATTCAATTGTTTGTTTGTTTGTTTTTTAATAGACCACTTTTTGCCAGGCACTGCTATTGAATCTGGGAATACAGTAGTGAATCGGACAGAGTTGGCCCTAGCTTACAGACATTTTTTATTCTAGTACAAAATTTGAAAGTTTATCATGTACCAGATAAGGCAGGCATTTCTCTTCAGGCACTTTATCTTTTCTATCCCTTACAAGATGAAGCCACCAAAATTGATGAATGGCATACTTGTCACTGAAACTAGAATAGTGGAAGACACCAAAGACCATTGTTCCCCTATAAATTAGCCTGGGAATTTTGTAGCCATCCGGACTTTATCTCACTGGTCTGAGAAATCCAACAAGAACAAAGCATTGCAGTAGCTCTTAGCTGAGATCCAGATTCTCCAGGTGGTAGATTGATGAACTGTGAATAATAAGCAATCATCCAGAATCCCAACAATGCAACCTGTTAGGAAGAAAGCATACAGATTCAAATTTTATTCTTTTACCTTTCATCCCATGAAGTCACTAGATAGTTCACAATACTAACCATGACCTATAGTGAGCATCTGGCAAAATGTCCTCAAATATTTGAGCAAAATTGACGTTTGTTGAGGCCAGACAATTCCTAAGAATTTTAAAATATTGTTCTGTCCATGTTTGATTATAAAGCTCCCCTGGTCATCACTGTGGTAAATTTTATTTTGGATCTTTCACTTCCTATGGCTGTGGCAACACCTTAGTGGTGGTAAATACTTTTGCCAAGAAGGCAATATCAATCCATGCCAGCCATCATTATACAGTTCATATGAAAGTCCATTGTAACGGACATTCAGGAACTAAATGACCTTTACTATTCTTCAGGTTATATTACTTTCTGGATCAAGTATTCAAACAACTCCATGTCAATCTAGCAAGTATATGACAGAATAAAACAAGCCTGGTATCTATCAAACGGGTCATGAAACAGTGCTTCCAATAGATCATTTAAACAGTTTTATAATCTTAGCATTGCAGAATTTGTCTGCCACAATTTACTACTTTTTGTTTTACCCATGACCCTTAGATTCATAATTTGCTACAACCACTACTTTCCTAGTAGTGCATTTGTATCTGGAAAGGGTACACAATTTTTGGCAAGCAACATCATATTGGACCAAGGGGCAGCACATTAAACAATGTGCTAGAGATTGCAGGTGATGTTTATTGTAGGGCATGAGGAGTGGTGTTTGGTTTGAGGTATATTTCAGAGAGAAATACTGCATAGCTGTCTTCCTGGTGTGTATACTATATATACCATCCACCTTTGCCAAAATCGGGAGAAATTGTACCTCAAGTGTTTCAATGGAATGGAGATCATCAACCTTATGGCCTCATAGCTTTACCTCCAATCTACTTTATTTTATATCTCTTCTTGGTTTGCCAGAAATATTTTATACAGGAATTACTTACATGATGGCTTAAGTCTGAACATCTACAGACATTGTGGTTAATGTCAATACATATATATGACCATATGTATTTGTTAATATAATTATTCACATATTTATCCCATTGTCTTTGTGGAGTTTGCAGCTGCTCACTCTGCATTTTTTTTTCTTCATCATTCCTTCATTGTCTCATGTAAGAATTCCTATACTCCCAGCCATGCTATCCTATTCATCCCATGTGAAAGGAAATGCAGAGAGGTTCAGGTAAATTATTACTGACAACTGTTTATCCTGTAACAATTATTATAGAGCAAATTAGCAATATTAGAGACATCAAAACAATTCCAAAAGAGCTGTATCTTGTACTTGGCATATACTAATTCAAGAGGTCAGTGCTTCTCTGCCAGGGGGTGGCATGTGTATGTACTCTCTTAAGAAATCTGTAAGATAAACATCCTTAAAACTTTAATATTGATTAGAAATTTAGCCTATCCATAAAGTGTTGCTTTTTGTCTCTGTAACAAGAGTAATGATTATTACATGATATTACTGGATGTGGGGTAAGAGATTGCCAAGTTAATAACTCTAGAAATTTATATTCTTAGACAAGAAATATAGGCACTTGTGAAAGTTTAGGAATTTTTATGGGGGGCTAGGTGTCATTGCAATAGAGTATCTCACTATACTCTGTAGTGGCACTTAAAGTATCTAAGTAGGAATACTCTACCAATTTAGGGCAAATAATGATGTAAAGAATGAATTACACAATCTGTAAGCAACCACTGTGTTGAATTTCCTATGGAAAAAAGGCATGATATCACTAGTGCCTTAAGCTTAAACCATTTTGATATGTTATAAACTGGAAATGATAGTGACCTGAATGCTTAAGAAGCACTAGAAACTAGAAAATATGAAAATCTGCAGGTGGAAACCTTAAATATTGCATACTTCTTTGGCTGGTTCTTTCTTCATGTTGCAAACATCAATTATTAAATACTACCGACATTATTTAAGTAGTCACTTTTAATCATAATATTTTACATGTATATTTATACCACCATAATGAAAGGTCCCATTGTGTTTTACAGACTATACATATCTTTATTAGTAAAATGTGGCTATCTTCACTAAAAGCACATTTTTATTCAAGATAATTGTACAATGCAATAGACATAGATTATGCTAATAGACAAGAGGAAGAACATGAATAAATAAAAGCCATAGATAATCCCCAAATCTAATTTTAACTACTATTTTAAATTTTTCTCTTCCACCAAACCTTTATAAGGGCTGCTAACAAGTAATAAAATTGACTGATTGGTATTTCATTTTCCCTTCCTTCTGTTGCTCACCTATAGGTGGAAATGCTAACAAGCATGGGAATAGGCATGAGACAAGAAGTAAAGGAAAAAGGCAATAGAAGAAGTAAGAGGTAATCCAACACCTGGGTAATCAGCTCATGAATAACAGAGAATTGACAGAAATGATAACACTTTAAACTCTGTAATCAGTATTCTCAGTGGCCTGGTGGCAAGAAAGAGAACTACTATCTTTACAAGAAAAGGGAAGTCCATGATTTTTAAAGGATTTGTGCTACAAACAGGATATTAAGCTTCAGTGCAAAATACCCGGGGTATTTCAACTGGAGAGTTTAGATCACCTCTAAAATGCCATTCTTACATTGTATAAAGACTCCAAGTTTATAAGCAGTCCTCAATAAACATATATATTTATATTTATATATAGTCATGATGTTATCACCACATATAAAATTCACTAACCACAAAATTCAATATTCACAAAATGTGATAAGATGAAATATTTTGGTTTTCTCCAAATTATCTTTCTCCTTAGCTGCCTGAAGTTACAGATTTTTTTTTTTTGAGACACAGGAAAGTATTGTGAAAAGAATGAATACTTGGATTCAATGACTGCACTCCATCCCAATAAAAAAGCACATCTATCTATAATCATCTTGCATAGGTACACAGTTTATCAAAGTTATTTTACCATCACTCCTAATGGAGGATTGTGTCTTCAGTTCTTTTTCCTTGCTCTATCACTGGATTGTATAACACACACAAATAAGGAGGAGTTGGTTGCTTACTGGCAGGAATAGAAACACTGATTATGGCTTCCTCTTAGGTCTTTTTCAATCTGTTTGTTTTCTGTAATCATTTTATACATGTCTGCCAACAAACCCTCCAATAAGAATTAAATGAAGTTCTTCCACTTATAGAAATTTTACCTTCCTGGGCCACTAGATATTTACTATATTTCTTAAATATTCTCAAGTAACATTTAAAAAAATTTTTTAAGCATTTTTTTTTCACAGAAGCCAATCACTCTCTTGCCACCTTCAGGCAAACCCACTTTTGAACGCCCATTTTTACTTTGCAAAGCAATATTTTGACTTCCAGATCTAGAGTCTTAACAATGCCAAAGCAAACCATAACTCTCCTGTTACAGAATGCTGAACACTGGAAAATAAGTTAGTGACCTCACCTCTAGATACATGCTTAATATCACACATTTGTATTTTGGGTATTAAAACTCCTGCATTTGTCACTCCTAATTGGATCCTAAGCAGAAAAAAAGCAGTTCACAGCATGCCCTCTGCGAGCTGTCATAAACAGAAATATGAGGCAGTGCCAAATCCCCCAAGGATTGACAGCCAATGATTAGGATGTTTTAATTTAGTGGACATACAGAACTTCTTTTGACATCTAAATGGGTAAGTGCCATAAGTAATCTATTTTTTGCACATATTCAAATTTAGAATGAACAAAAAGTAACTTAAAGTAGCATTTAGAAAAGTATAGTTAGCAGAGAAGTTGATTTCTCCAAAAATAATGAATTACCACAACTGAAATAATTAAAATAGGTTATAGATATTTTCTTTCTAAAAAAAAATCATGGTATGAAGGAAACACACGCACATGGAGAGTACTGTTTTATTTTTTTATTTTTATTTTTTGCCATGCTCTCTCTTTTGGCTCAGTTACTCACATATCTATAAAATAAATATTTTTTCTTGTTACTTGAGACAGGGTCTCACTCCTATCAGACAGGCTGGAGTGCAGTGGCACAACAATGGCTCACTGCAGCCTCCACTTCTCAGGCTCAGGTGATCCTCCCACCTCAGTCTCCCTAGTAGCTGGGACTACAGGCATACACCACCATGCCCAGCTAATTTTTTGTATTTTTAGTAAAGAAGGGGTTTCACCACATTGCCCAGGCTGGTCTATTCATCATGAATAAAAAGACATAAATGGGAAAGGTTATAGGTAACCTCTTTTGATTTAGAGAGAGACTGGAAAATGGACAGTTGGAAAGGCCTACTGGAACATTGGGTTAGACTGCTAATCAGTTCTATTTTATTGTTATCATTTATTTGAATATACCTATTCTATAAAATTTAAAAAATGGTGTAAAAATTAGGAAATTTTACCACTTTTTTTCTTTAATTTAATTTTTTAGGCAGGGTCCTGCTCTGTCACCCAGGCTGGAGTGCAGTGGCATGAGCATGGCTCACTGTGGCCTTAACTTCCAGGCTCCAGCAATCCTCCTTCCTCAGCCTCCCAACTAGCTGGGACTACAGGCATGTGCCACCATGACTGACTATTTTTTACACTTTTTGTAGAGACAGGTTTTTCCATGTTGCCCAGGCAGTTCTTGAACTCCTGGGTACCGTGTCTGGCCTCACGCTATCATTTTAAATTTCCTGTAGAAGTTTCATTTACTCTCAAGTAGGTCTCCCAACTCACTCATTTGTTGCTTGCTGTGATCCAGATAAAAATTTTAATCTTTTGACTTCAAATTTTAATGATTGAATGTTAATAACGATGAAGAAAAGTTATCATCCATTTGCTACCAAACCCTTGAAGAATTCTAGTTCTACTCTTGAGCGTATATTTCAATAATGAGGAGAGAAAAAACTCTTATGGAAGCTTGACAGAAGTGGGGAAATATTACCTTTGAAGCAGAGAATGAACACCCTGCCTTGCCTACTTTACAGCTTATTTCTGGGATAACCCTGAATACAACATCTCAGAATATAATGCTTTATTCCTGTGCCATGATTTTAAGAAAAAAAAAATTGACCATTAGAATAATAAAATGAGTCTCATCAGCATGTGAATTTGAATTCATAAATCACCTTTTCCTTGGAAATTTTATCTTAGGAAGAAATACAGTCCATAGAATGAAGGATGTAACAGCTCCATCATTGTTAAATAAATATGATCGGGAAACAATCAGAAACATGGTATTTTATTTTTATATGAGTTATTTTGCTTCATGGGAACCAGCAATATTTCATACGTATGATCTTTCCACTTTTAATGGCATTGGTCCTAAGAGTTTGAGATAAAAGTTATTTTAATTATTATTAGGAGAAAGTGGTACTAATAATAGCTTATATCAGTTTATTTGCAATAACACTACTAGAATGAGTAAGTGGAACAGTTGACTAACCACAGTGATTTGCATGTGGGATCCTGTAAAATCATCTAATGAAATTAACAATTAAATGAATTTAGTAGCTGTTTTTTTTCTCGTAAAACTTTTTTGAATTTTCCGGTGTTTTCTTCTTCTACACAGGTCGTGTTATTGTTTGTATTTTGTTCTTCTGTTTGATTTTTGTTACAAGTAGAGAGGCATATGATCAACTAAGGGGAAAGAGGGGGACAGTAAAGAGTCCTTGGCATTGGCCATGAATAGCTACTTTTTGTTGGACTTTAAATGGTGCTGAGTTCTGCAAACATAGCACCAACTCTAGGGCTATGAGCTATCGGCCACTGATTAGACCAAATCTGGAAAGTCCTACTTATTTTCAGTCAAGAAAATTTAAAGGGTACAAGGAAAACTAGTGCATTTTCATGAAAAGGTTCCAGGATTTTTTGATGGAGTATGTCCTGTTATATGGAGTAATTCTAAATGTTTACCTTGATAATGATTTAGCTCAGACATTATAACTATATTCAGATATTTGGAAGCCTTCCATGTGCAGTGGATTCAACTTAACATAAACGGTACCTCCAACCTTCATATGTAATATTTTAAGATCCACAAGATGTAACTTGATATAAGGAAGTACTTTTTATCAATTTTCTGCATAGAATACGTTGTTTGTGAGACCGTAAACTCCCTATTGTTTGGATTGTTCAAACAGAGAATGGATGGTAAAATAGCTAGACTGAATGGCTTTACAGAATATTGAATTTGGGATTGGATTTACCTTGTTTCAAATCCTGATTTCAAGACTTATGAACTGTGCAATCTTGGTATAGTTACTTAAATTTTCTAACACCCAGCTTCTTGTTTTACAACATGAGAATAATACATACCTCATCAAGTGTTTATGGGGCTGTTATAAAGTATGCAAAGCAATTACTGCAGAATATGATACCTGTAGAAACTCAAAAATAGTAATTGCCATTTTACTGCAGAATTAGTTTATTCATTAAATGGTTACTGGAGTAAAATGTTTTGAAATGTCCTCAGGTCACCATGATAGAGCTCCATTTAACCATGATTTTTAGAATTTATCTGATACTCACCATTATAAAATAGATGATATAAGTGACACTCTTTATCTAATTACAGTCACGGCATGGTGTAACAGTAAAAGTTTCCCATGACATGAGATTAACCGTAATTGAGTGAATATTATAGAATAGGATCTCTTATTCAATCATGATAAGTGAATAACATTGAGCTAGCTATTTTAACTAGCTAACCCACCAACTCTAATTGCATGTTACCACCTTTATATAAGTGGTCAGTAAATGGAAGCACATATTAGCTAGAGTTGGCTCAACTTGCAATGGCCTTCAAGTTTCTCATTTGTTCATTTCACTTTTAGTTTATCTTTCTAAAATTCTTAATACATGGCAGACCACGTTTCTGAAAAATATTTATATACATGTGTACATGTCTATTAGTTTCTTCATTTGAGCAATGCTTTTACTCTTCTCTCTTTTTTTTTTTTTTGCATACCTAAGAGAGCTTTCTTCAGATAAAATTTCTTTTTAGCAAGTCATTCTCAAGTATTGTTCCCTAGCATATCTGTACAACTGAGTTCTAGATAATTTATGGGTTCTCACTTTGCTCAATTTTCAACCACTTTTGAAAAATGTGATAAACCAGAAACCCAAGTGAGTTAAAATCAGTGGGAGTATTTCCCCGATATAGCTGTGTCTTCTGAAATTCATATGGAAATAATGTTTATATGCTCCTGAGTGCTTCTTTTCAAATTTCTTTTATAATGTGGAGTTAAACTCTTCATTTTTTCATAGTGTATCATTGATGATGTGATCATGAATAATCCCTGAATTATACACAAATATGTGTTCATTACCAGACATACCTTTGTCAATCAAAAAAAATCAATGAAACAGTGTTTCATTCAGGATTCTTGGTTAAAAGCAACAGGGTGGTGGGGGCGGGGAACACTGAGTACTTTTAAACAGTGTGAGAATCATTGCAAGCAAATCTGGACTCAGAAAATCAGTAGAAAGCTGACATACTAAGTTTGGAAAATTGGCAGAAGCCAAAAGAGATCTGGAGCATGAACAGCAGGAGCCAGAGGAAGGGCATGCATCAGGAATCCGATGGTTTGCACACCAGCTAAGCTGCTGCTTGAAACCTGACCTCCCAGTGTCCCTCTGCCACTAGAATAGGGTTCAACTTTTCAGATTAGGTCACATGGCCAAATCCTGGCTGTCATCTGTAGGTGGAAAAGGGAAGAATATGTCTTACTTTTCCCAAAAGAACTAACAGCTTGAGGAAGTTTGGTGTGAGAGGTGAGCCCCAGCAATTTCCATTCAGGTAAGAGTACACAAATGATAAAATTCTTACAAAATAGATATTGGTATAGCTGGGTGCAATAGGAAAAAGTGGAGTGGACTATAAGTCCAAACTTTTTAAATTAAAAAGAAGCAAATTGTATATTACTCAGAAATACTCAAAAAAGTATAGTTTGTAAAAATGTTATCTGCTGACTGTATTTTTTCCACATTTGTTGAAAATTACTCAAGAAAATAGATTTTTATTTAGGATAAATCTTTTTTTTAACAAAATTTTTCCTATTAAACTGTATATATCTACCTTTTATATTATGAATAAGCATCCACGACAGTGTCTTAGTTGCCACAGTAGACATATCCAGGACTAGTAGGATTATCCAAGTTGTATCATAATGACTTCAATGAAATTTACCAAAAATACGATGAAGGAGTATTTATTCCTAAATATCATTAAGCTTAGGAATTTACAAAAGAGGAATAGACACTATTATTCCTTTCAAATTGATTCTTTTTTCACCTTTTTTTCTTCCTCTTGAGATTTTATACATTGTTTCTTTAATTGTCTAGGAAACTTTTGCATCAAAATCATTCAGGGGATGGGATATGCATTCCTGAGCCCCATCCTAGAATGAATGAACCCGAATTTGGGATAGGAAAACTAAACACACTTATTTTAAAGAAACATCCCCCGTTTATTTGAACACTTAAAAACTATGCATTAGAAATTGTTCTTAGTAGCTCAATCTAAGGTTAACTTAAGTTGATCAGATTTGCTAAATAAGAAAAAAAAATCAGAAAGATCAGGGAGAATCTGAAAAGAAAAAAAATCAGGAAATTGTTTTTGAAATCTTATTCTCTCACATCGTGTCACTTTTATGTCCCAAAAGCTAAGATATTTGTGTTGCCATACCAAAGTGTTTTAGATGCTTAATAACATATTGAAACATAAAAGTAAATTTTCACTGTGGGCCAAAGTCACCTGTTCTTCTCATACGAAACATACAAAATTTACTAGAGATGTACATGATAATTTTAACCCAAATTTTAAAAATATGATTTCCTTAGATGTGAATTTTTTAGGCATGGTAAAGGAAAAGTTATTTAGAATGAAAGAGAAACTGCTAACAGAAAGGGAAGTTAGAAGCCTGTCTTTAGACAGCTTCTGGCCTTACAGTGTTCTAGCAAACTGTATTGAAATGAATGAAAGCAATTATAAAAGGAAGCTGCTGACCTTTTTGAAAAGGCTGCCAATCCATAATACCTCCTGCAATGCTCGTCCCCTTTATTCATGCTTAACAAACCTTGTCACCCTTGTCGCAGTGCCTTAGAACCCCTTAACTTTTCCCCTTTTGTTGTCTTTAGGGTATCTGCAGCATGCCTGCCCGCTGAAATACCTTTCAATTGCCAATTAGAGGAAGTTTAAGAATGAGTACCTAGGGATGAATTAACCTAGCAAGTTAACCTGGGGAAGAATGTGTTAGGGATACAAACTCTCATCATCACACCTTACATATTTACTTACTCATCTGATTTACTTGAGAGTGAGGATGGATTGGTTTAGGTTATATATTTGCACAACAGTTGGAAAGCATCTCAATCTGGTTTTTCAGCAGGTAAACAATTTGAAAAACAAACACCAGAACCTTAGAAATGCCTCCCCACCAATGTGTTCATTTTCCCTCAAGTGAAAAAAATGCTAATATGTAAGCACTGCTTTGCAGAAACACTTAACAGCTACCTGTAGGTAGAATAATGCAATTCCTTTAGGAGAGTCTTATCCAGAATATCTTCTTGCTTTATAAGGCCGACTTAACATATAAGCCCCTGGATCATCCCTGTTTGGATTAACAATCATTTGAATGATTATTAAGCAGAATTCTGTGGAATTGAGTAGTTCTGGCACTCAGATAAGAAAAAAAAAATCTCTTCTATTTAAATTATCCAATATTTGAACATCTAATCAAGATTTCTTTTTTTTTTTTTCAGTTTGTGCTTCTGATTTTCTGCTTTCATAGTAAGTAGTTTTCTTGAAGGAATGTTGTAGACCATGAACTCTTAATACCTACTACTGAATAATTTGTTAACGTGCTTGCAGTAGCAGAGTGAAGAAAAATGAGATAATTTAAAATATGCAGTGTATTTGATCCTGAGGTATTCTTACTTTCCATAAATATCATGTATTGTTGCTAATGTATGTTGACAACATATATAACTTTCTGTACATTTATAAAGGTTGAGGCATGGAAGAGGAAAAGCACATAATGAGCCTTTACTATGTTCTGTTCTCAAAAGACCAATGAGCTTTGTGGAGGCAAAAGGAGAACTTTATTTTCTAAAAGCAATCTGCAGATTGGGGAGACATAGTGTTTAGGTGCAAAATGAAATTGTGCTTCAAGGAGGGGTCAGGGAGTAGGAGATTATAAATGTAGAAATTGCAAGGCATGGGAAAGGAGTCAAGGGAGTGAGAAATCGAGTCTTGACTGGAGGACACTTAAGCCCCAAATCACTAGTCTCTCTTAACTGTGTGGTTCCAGGCGGTCTGTTCATGGGCATGATCTGGTTTGGATCTATATCCCCACCCAAATCTCATGGGGCCTGGTGGGAGGTGATTTAATCATGGAGGCAGATTTCCCCCTTGATGCTATCATATCCATAGTGAGTTCTGAGATCTAGTTGTTTTAAAGTGTGTGGTACCTCCTCCCTCTCCTTCCTCCTACTCTGACCATGTGAAGTGCCTCGTTCCTCATTTGCCTTCCACCATGACTGAGTTTCCCGGCTTCTGGAAGCCGAGCAGAAGTCCTCATGCTTCTCTTACAGCCTGTGGAACTGTGAGCCGATTAAACCTCTTTACTTTACATATTACTACTCTCAGGTAATTCTTGTACAGCAGTACAAGAATGGACTAGTACAGGGCAGTTAGGGAATTTCCTGCTGCAGACGATTTAGACACCAACAACAGTACCAGATTTGGCTTGAATGAAGAAAGGGCAGTCTTGGGACATTCTTATAAGATACCTTTCCAAAAACATAAAGTCCTTTTTTGAACAGACACGGTGAGTGACTGCTTTCCTGTACTGGCTGCCTGGTTCGGCTTGTAAGTTTGGGTGTCTTAGATATGAAAAGTCTATTTTGCCTGCTGGGTAGGGCATACTTTAACAGTTCAATTTTTTTCACATGTCTAATTTAGTATCTCAAAAAATCTATTATATTGTTATTAATCTTAGTTTTTAGAGAGGAACCTAAGATAAATACAGATGGAGTTATTTGCTGAATGCTACATAGCTAGTAAGAGGCAGCAGAGAAATTAAATTTCAAAGAGAATTTTCAAATTCAAATAGAATTTTCTATGGGTCCAGAATCACTGTTTTGTTTCCCCCGCCATGTTATCCCATACCATATATAAATAAATTCTTTACCAGATCAGAAGGTAGCAAATGTAAAGTGAAAAGGGCCAATTACAAGATCAGACACAGGTTAAGAAAATTCTAACTAGAAAATTTAAAGGAATAGTGGAGTTTATACAAAGTTAATTTGTAAAAATAAGTCTTTTCACGTTTTATTAATATCATCTGAAAAATGTTTGCTTCTTGTTTCACCCAATTTTACATTGGATTGGAAAAAAATGTATTATCTAGGTAAAGAGAAATATGCAAGAAATGAACTGTAGGTGTCTCTAGCTATATATTAAGATTCTCAATTCTAATAATGACGTCACTGAGACAGAATGCAACTTGCCCAAAGTTACGCAGCATTTATGACAAATAAAGTACAGTATTGCATGCCTTTATCTTTTAAAATATGAATAGCTATGTTAGCTTGAATTATTTTTTCTCATAAAATGCTTGCCAGTGTATTTAGATAAAAATCAGTATGTTTCCTTTCTCCATGCTTGCAGTAAATATCTTTTCAAAAGCCATAATGGTATTATAATAAGACAGATCATTACAGCAGCTTCATTATACCACCTTTTCCCATATTTCCAAATTCTTAATATCTTTCTTTCTGACTAAAGGTAAGATGGCTGAATCAATTCCTATAGAATTCCTCACAGGTAATTATTTCTTACAGTGCTAGGACCTGTAGGCACATCAGAAGTCATTGGATGCTAGTCTGATTGTGTCAGTTTGCTTTGATACTTTATTTTAAAGGGAAATGGGGGCTTTTCCTTCTTTTACACAATATAATGTTCCATTTTTTACCCACTAGACAGTGTCACTTCCAGCCTCCTAAAGAAACATTTCACTAGGGCGCTTCCTAAAACCCTATCAGCATGCAAGGGATTTGCATTGCAAATGCTTATATTATAATGTATTTCTATGTTATAACATTTCAGGGTGTTTTTTTTCTTTTTTTTTTGTTACATTCCCTGTCAAAGTTATTCATAAAGGAGGAAAAACTACTTTCATGTAAAAAATCATCCGATTGAGTTTAAAATACAGTGTTTAAAACTATAGTGTTTTATTTAACTTAAAGTAAGATAATTGTTTATTATTACTTTATTAATTAATTAGGAAGAAATTCAGTCATTTGGAAAAGTGCCTAAGGCTTAATTAACAAAAAAATGCAGTCATTTGTAAAAGTGCCTAAGGTTAGATTAGGTAGACTAGAAAAAGATATATGTGTATAGATAGATAGATAGATAGATATTTTATTTTCCAATTTCTTTGTGAATATTAAGCTGTTTTAAATATGTAAAGCTTCAAAGGATAGTCCTCTTAAACTTTGTATAGAATAAACAATATTTCTTTTTTCTTTCTTGGTCAGCAGCCCCATTCCCATTATTGGAAAACAAGTGATTCTCAAAAGTGACTTTATCTTACACAGAACAGAATAACAAATTCCTGATTTGTCCCTGTGTCATTTCTTATGAGGTCCCTGAAGACTTTAGAGAACAATTTTGGGGCTGGGAATCATAGTTTAAATAAAACAGGTTAAGAAGAGTATGAGGTAATTCCAAAACCAAGCACTAGAAAGCTGAAATGAAGTCTTCCCTCCTTTACTTAGTTTTCCCCCGTGCCTTATCTACCCTAGTAGTCAGAGAAGAATTAAGCCCATATTACATCACTGTCCTTCCCAATTTTATAATAGCTTTTTAGAGGAAAAGATATGTTGGAACAAAAGGTGTCTTCAACCTTATTCTAATTGCTCAGCATGATTCTCAACAATCTGACTTTTTATAATTAAAAAATAGTCTGGTATAAGTTTATTCTTTGAGGCTCCTTGTGGCACTTTATTAGATTTCATATTTATGGTCTAGCCATAATTTCTTTTCCCACATCTTGTACTTTGATCTCATCCTCAGCTAGACAAGTGCCTTATGAAGAGAAAAAAAAAGTTGGTTTACGTACTACAGTAATTAAGAACTAAAAAGATGCTTTCACAGCTGTTGCTTTTGAAGTCAAGTTTAGTTAGTGGCAAGGTGCCAATTTTCAATTAAAAATAAGATTTTTATTTAAAAAGTATAATGTGTTATATTATGTCAATAATTCATTTTTAATGCACTGTTTTTTAAAAAAAAAAAAAAGTTCTCTGCTAGTAACAGGGGCCCAAACTATCAATTATTTAAGGCCAAGTCCTTTGACAATGGTATATAGCATTCTGTGTTTGTTCAGCTTTTGTTTGTTCATCATTTGTTAGGCTGAAATAAAATACTTTCTCCCATTTTAAAAAAATGCTTAGAAAGAATTTTAGTTAAGGCAGTTTTTTCTATTTTTGTTTCATCTCTGAAAAAAATATTCAAAGTATACAAACACATATATGCATATATTCACCGTGCTTTAATTTTAAAATTGAAACTGAAGGGAATAGGTACTAGTGTTAATTCAAATCAACTTGGTAGTAATTGAATCTATTTTCTATTCTTATCTTTTCTTATAATTACAGAGATGTGTTTACTTAACCTGAACAGAAAAGCCATTTTACTTAGTTATCAGAAGAATGGCATTGGAGGAAGCTCAGGTGTGACTTATTATACTAGTGCAAATTCGGCCTTGACATTGGCTCATAATAAAGCTAAAATCCTAGAAAGATGCACCAGTATCTGAATGCTATGCCCAAGGAAGGATGGGAAACAAAGGATGCATCTCTTTCCTTGTGTAAAAACGTTGTTGTTTTTCAGAGTGATGGGCCAAACTGAAGAATTCAAATTTACATGATTGTCCTTCGTGAAAAAAAAGAAAAGGAAATGTCCTTCGTTTCTTTATTTCTTTCCTTCTGTCATCTCTCTGCCCCTAGTTTGGCTTCCTTCTGGGTCAGTGGTGCTCACTGCTGATGATGCTCTACTTGGTCCAACCTCAGGTTTCTCTTGGCACTCTTGGTAGCTGTTGCTTTTTTTGTCTGTTGTTTTTGTTTTCAATTTCTCACCCTTATCATCAAGACTCACTGCCTCCCATTATCAATATTTACTGAGCATTTACAGTGTCCTAGAAACAATGGAACATACGGAAAGCATTGTCCCTGCTCTTGAGGAGGAGCTGACATCTTAAATTTTTTTTTTTTTAAAGTCTCTTTTAAAATGTCATTTTTGTTTGGTGTTTTCTGCAAAATACTGAGGAAATATTTTACAGCGTGAGCTTTGGGTATAACTTAGCCCCATCATTGTTTAGAGGACAGAGGAAGAAAAAGAGGAATAATTTTGAAGGCAGACAATGACAGACCGTTCAGGTAGGCATTAAAGGGAGATAAACACAATCTCATTAACTAAGGAGAGATTTACTGCAGTAAATAGGATGAGGGAAATAGTTTATGGGATGCCAGCAAAAGAAACAGGGTCCCTTAGACATTGAGTGGAGCCAGAGAGATCCTGTGGCCTTGGACATGATACCAAGTAGGAATGGTAGAAGAGAAGGCTGAAAAAGGAAGGTAAACTTGTGCACCTGACAAATACAAAGAATCAAGGATCAAAATCAAAGGCAGGTTATAAGAGTATCAAGAAATTCTTAAAAACCAAAAAGTGATTTGGAAGCACAAAACTTATACTTAACGCTACTAAAGGTCATGATGGGCCAAGAACATCGTGGCTTCCTAAGTTAGAAAAGACCATATACCAAAATTTTAAATTGAACATACTTCTTTTTTTTCAATCTCCCCCTCTCCCAGAAAAAAATAGGAACTCATTTTTTTTCAGGGTGGCAGGGAGGAAAGGGGACCATGGGACATGGTTGGAAACAGAGTTATATTAGTAGTGTTTTTGTTGTTATGATAAACTTTGTGTTTAAACTCGATTGAAAACTCATTAGCTGCCAAGGGGGCATAAGGAATTAACTTTCTTTTTTATATTGTTTGCTTTTGTAGTTTTTATTTTGATACTTGCCTAATATGCATGTGCTGTAAAAATTGTTAACAGGGAAATATCTTGAGATGATGACTAGCTTTGTTTAATGTCTTATGAAAATTTCATGAACGATCCAAGGATAATTGTTAAGAACACGTGTATTAAATTCATGTAAGTGGAATAACAGTTTTATGAATGGACTTTTCAACTACTTTCTCCACAGCTTTTCATGTAAATTAGTCTTTTGGTTCTGAAACTTCTCTAAAGGAAATTGTACATTTTTTGAAGCTGTAGCTTTTGACTTGGAGGTAGTCAAAAGGCCTGGGCAGGCATATAATTCATTGCTTAATTATGTGTATGTGAGCGCAAATGCTTTCATAACCAAGATTTACCAATATGCTTTTCCCCTGCTCAGATTAGTTTATTTGGCTAGTGATAATCACAATGATGGAAATTTCAATTGCATGTCCAGTTGGGGAGTTAAACGGGAAGTTAGTATCTGAGCATGAGTCTTAAGGGAAGGCTATTTGACATTTCTTCTCATAATATTTCAAGCTAGATATTAAAAGATGTCTTCAAAGAAGAGAGGTTTTCTTCTCTGATGTTGCTTTAAATAGATTCATACACTAGGCAATTAATCTACATTTTCCAACCCGAATTATTTGAAAGACATTAAACTCGGAATTCTCTACAGAATATTGGAAGTGAGGTAGAGGAAAGAGGAAAGTTGATCAGGGGGAGCAGATCTCCCAAAATGTCATTCTTGTTTGTCATACTGAGGTAGCAAAACTTTAACCTTGTTTAAGTGCAGCCTTTCTCGGCTTATTCCTCATTTTTAGCCACCCGGCTGATCACCGCTAGAGAAGAAAACATAACTATTTTGGTTTATTCCATTTAACACTCATTACCATTAAATTTTGGCTGACGTTTGGTGTTAACTGCCATTTCTATTACATTGTATTTGTCCAGTGAATAGTCAGAAATGACACTTGTATATTCTCTTTTCTTCTCAACCCTTCAACAGCTTCTCTCCCTTATTCACTTGCACTGGTAGACTCACTTTCTCTATGCTTCTGAGAAAATAAAAGCAATCACTAATCACAAGACGTTTTCCACAAGCTCCCACCATTGCATAGGCCCATACACTTGCATCTCTGCCCTCATGTTTGTCTTCTGTCAGTCGGGGGGAATTACTCATGCTTCAAAGGACAACATGTCTAGCTGTGTTCTAGATCCATCTTTTTCACCTATTCTAGGATAGTGCTCCAGGAATTCTATATTCATTTTCTTAAACTAGCAACTTTTTAAATTATCTATTTGATCATCCCCATTGGAAAACAAATGGGCCATAATTGTTCCCATCACATGAAAAAGAGAAAAAGACCCACTTCTTGCTATTCTACCACATTTTCATTTCTGTCTTAATAGCAAAGCTCCTTGAATATGTAGTCTAAAACTCTAATTCCTCCCTTCCAATATACTAATGAGCACAGGGGCAATGAATACTGGTCTCCATCTCTGTCTCTGTCATCAGTATGTCGTATAGCTGATCTCTACTTCTTTGAAATGCTGTCCTCACTGGCGTTCAAGTTACCACTCCACCCTTCTGGGTTTCTTCTTGCCTCAGGTATCATTCTGCCCCTTATCACCCTTTTCTCTGAGACCTCTTCACATTAGTGTGCCCCAGGGGTCAATCTTTGAACCTGTCCCCTCTCTTCACCCACACGCTGCATGGTCATATACATCCTGTTGCCTTAAATTCCAATTGTATGCTGAAAACTAAATTTATATCTTCAGCCTGGGTAATTTCCCTACATTGGATCTCTTATAGCCATTAATCTACAAAACAGTCCTACAACAATATCTAGTAGACAGCAGAAATCCAATTACAGATCCCTACCCCTATTCCTACACACACAGACACAAGCACACACATGCATTTAAGTCACAAGGACTCCACTCTTCTAGGTAGTTAAACTAACAAATCTTGGCACAAGTCTTGACTCCCTTCTTTTTCTCATGTCCATGTCTAATTCATCAGAAATTTTCCAATTCTACCTTCAAAATATATTGAGAATCTTATTTATTATTATTATTACTATTTTTTTTTTTTACCATCTCTGCTACATCACCTCAGTCCAAACCACCATAGTTTATTTTCCTGGGTTATTTCATCAGCCTTTGAACTAGTATCTCTACTTCTGCCTTTCTCTCTTCCACACTTGAAGATCAACTAAGAATAATTTTTCAAAAAACATGAGTGAAATCATGCCATTTATCTTACCAAAAACAATAGTATAGTCATTGTCCTTCTTCACAGTAAAAGCTGGAGTCCTCCCAAGAATTTTCAAGACTCTAACCAAGTTAGTAATTTTCTAATTTTTTTGCCTAACATCCTTTAAACCATTTTATCTTGCCTCCTTTCTGGTTGTCTAATCGCCCATCCATGCTTCCCGGCCTGGGAGTTCTCACCTGTTGTTTCCTCAGTCTTTAATTCCTCTCTCTGCTATTGAAGTGTCCAGGTGGTGGCCCAAACACCTATATGTGGTTTGTCAGGCTTACCATAAGCAAGTTCAAGACTCTGTCTGGCATATCTCATGAGGGAAATATGCCCTTCCATCATCAGTCAAGGTGTACAGCAACTGCAATGCAGCCTCTAAGGAGAGCTGTATTCAAGGACTCAGGCCCCTCTGACCAGCATACTCTTATTACTTTCCTAGCCCAGGCACCTTCATTTCTAAGCCTTTTTTTTTTTTCCTTGGGTCTTCGGCTGAGGTCTTCTCCAAGTGCCTCTGCTGAGAACTCCTTGTTGGGTGCAGTGGGTGAACTTTAAAGACATTTTTTCCAACTCTGACTCTGTACTCAGTACTTTTCCACTCCAAGCCTCACCCATTCATCCTAGCTCCTAAACCCATAAGACTGCAGGAGCCCTTGGGAGGCCTGGTGCACTCTTTCAACAGTGAGAGGACTACCACGTGTGTGCTAATATGCTCTACCGTGTACCTGTGTGCCATTCCATGGGGTGAAATGGAATGGGGAAAATTAGCGCCTCCTCCAGTTTTAGCCTCTGGCTTATACTTTGCAATGAATGATTAAAGGTTTGATTCTTTTTGTCTTGTTTTGTTTTGTGTTTTGATTGTTGTTTTAATCAGCTGCTCCAACAACTGGTAGTTTAGGTCTATCGAGCTCACCTGAGCTTCTGAAACTTATTATCTGAATAATTCAAGTCTTTATTCAAATGTCCCTTCCTAATATAGTTTTCACTGACTAAAACATTTAAAATTATTATTTCCACCCAAAATTTCCTATATTTCTACCCTGCTTTGCTTTTCTCCATAACATTTGTCCCTATGGGATGCACTATATATTTTATGTACTTATTTTTTAATTCCCGATTTCCTCCCACTTAAGTATGAGATTTTAAGAGGTTAAGAGTTTTGGTTCTGGCACTCTCTTATCCCTTAAATTTGAGAACAGTACCTGGTGTATAGTAATTGTTCAATAAAATTTTGTTGAATTTTGTCTGAAAGGGGCAGAGTGAAAAGCAGTTTGCAGAGTTACAACTGTGTATCATTCTCAGCCTACCAGTAGTTGCAAAACCTGACCTTGGTTACTCTTTTCCTATCGTAAGGCCTCTTACGGGTTCCAAACCATACTTAGAATATAAGTTAAATGACTCATTAGGTCTTTTATCTACTGATGGGAAGAAAGGGGATAGTGTGGGGGGTTGAGGGGGCAAGAGGATCTGAATTGACTTAGAGTATAAGACAATCTCAGGGAATCTGTACAAGTTAAAAGTGGTTATATAAGGAAGGTACAGTTTAGTGTTGCAATATCTTCAGCTGATAAGTTGAGATCAACTGAGAATATCAAGTTTGCTTAAAGGCCATTGTTCTATCTTAAACACATTATGTTACATTTTGAGAAATGGGGATAATGATATTGTTTTGTATTCATAATCCAACTTGGCAGTAGATCATTCCTCAAGTGATAATCACCTCAAAAATAGGCATTAATAACATATATTAACTTTTGATTCTTACGTGTATTTACAAATTATAGTTTAAAAAGCTATGAGGTGATACAAGAATTTAAGATAGAGTCAATCATAGAAACTTATCTTTTAAAATTTATAAGCTTACATAGCTCTCTAAATATGCTTCTTTCATTTAATTTCTTCTATATCACATAGCTGTTTTATTCAAAAGTGTTCAACAACTTTCAAATCACACTTTCAAACAGAATATAATCATTCTAGTTTGATAAAACATTCTTCTTCAGTGCTAGGAGACTTCTGTATCTATTTTAGTTACAAGGCCATTTATGTTCTCTCCAAGTTAGAAGCAATGTAGATCTGTCTCTGTGGCAGGAATTATCTCCCTTACTTTTCCCAAAATTAATTTAATCAACTATTTAAAAATATTTATTGAATATTAGTTATTTTCTGGGTGTTATCTTAGGCATCAGTGGTGAACAATACAAAACCCAAAGGGATATACAGACAAACAAGCAAATAACTCATTTAATTTCAGATATTGTGTGAATTTATAACATATATAAATAGATAAAGGGAGTGTGTGGTGTTATAGATTCTAGAGTGTATTGGTTCCTAGAGTTTTCATACTGTTGACAGGAGGATTAATATCTATTATCTAAATATGAGTATCTATATCTATATACATGTTTTGGGAGGTAGAGAGAGAGATTAGAGAAGAATAGTCAGCAAGAGCCTTTGTGTATATGTGACATTGCTGCAGGCCTATTTGAGAAACAGGAGTGAATCATAGAAAGAATGAGACATGAAAAAATCTTGCTTGGACAAGATTATTCCAAGTAGAAAGAAAAAAGAAATGAGAAGAAAAGAAAATATGAATCCCACAGGTGAAAGGAAATAGTATAGTTATTATAGTCTGAATGCTTGGGTTCCTTTAATATTCGTATGTTGAGATCTAATCACAAAAATGATAATATTAGCAGGTGGGGCCTTGGAGATATGATTAGATCATGGAGACTCTGCCCTTATGAATGGGATTAGAGCCTTATAAAAGTAGCCCCAGAGAGCTGCCTAGCTTCTTTTACCATGTGAGCACACAGCTAGAAGGTCCCATCTATGAACTACAAAATGACCCTCCCCAGACACTGAATCTGCTTGAACTTGGATTTCCCACTTTCTAGAACTGTGATAAGTAAGTTCCTATTGTTTAAAAGCTACCGAGCCCACGATATTTTCTTATAGCAGGCCAAAGAGCCAGGAAGATATTTATAACATATAGATGACTGTGATTAAAGATAGGTGAGCAAAACAAAGAATACTAGTAGTTGAAGTGGGTTCTGTTTAGAAAGATATAATTTACAAAAAAAAGGTTGAAGAAATGTTCACACACGTTATGTAGGACCTCATAATTTTAAAAATAATTTTAGTTTTGTTTTAAAGGTAATAGGAAACCATTGAAGAGTTTTATGAAAGAGGGTGATGTTATTTTATTTATCTTGATTGCTATGTGAAAACAGCTTAGAGGATGAGAATGGAAACAGGAGGAACAGTTAATATTTCTATATCCCAGAAAAGAAATGATGGGGATTGAAAAAGGGTATGCATAGTAAAGATAATGAGAAGTAGTTAGAGTTAGGGTTTGTTTTGACTATAACTGATAGGAATTGTTAGTATATTTTTGGTGATAACTAAGGATAAGAAAATAAAATAAAATGATGTCTAAGTTTTTTGGTTTCTATGGGATATGCAAATTCTGCTTGGGCTTTGTTAAGTTTGAGGTGCATATTATACATCCATCCCCTGATAAAGCAGACAAGGAGGTTGGATATGCAAATGTGGATCTCAAGGGAGGAGTGGGAACCACAGAAATAAGTGTATGAGTTATCAGTCTTGTTTGTGACATTTAGGAGGCTATGACTAGGTAAAATCACTGGCAGAAACTGTGGAAAGAGCTCCAGGACTGAGCCTTGGGGACACTCAAATATAAAGAGGAGGAAAAATTAGAAAAATCCAGCAAACAAGGCTAAAAGGATAAGCCAAAAACATGGAAGGTAATCTAGAAGTGTGATATGTAGGAGATCAAGTGTAAAACATTTCAATGAAGGAGTAGTCATTTGTACCAAAAGTAGCTGAGAAATTGAATAAGATAAGATAGAACTGAATGAAAGTTAAAAAACTAGCATGCATCTGAGCAATTATTTAATCAGTTTAAAAAGGAGATTTCCTTCATTTTTCTTTATGTTTGATTGTACACTGATTTAGAATAAAATCATACACATTGTCTGGCAATAGAAATCCAGTCATTTACACACTGTGAACTTTCACCAGTCATCTTCTCTGTTAGGTACGTGTTCTGAAGGAAATTTGAATTTTAATTTATAAAATTAATACTAAAACATAACCCCAAATTAAATAATCTATACTTTTGCCTGTTTCTCAGATATTTCTTGAATCAAGATCTACAGAAGCATGATACTATTTAAGTAAACAAAGAACAGCAATAAGATAATTACACAAAAGACTGCAAAGAAAAAAGGAGATGCGAGCAATGCAGAAAAACTCATAAATAAGCACTTGCATACAAAGGAAATTTTATATCTGCAAGAGCGTATTGTTTTACTCCAAAGTAAAGTTCATGCTATCACTCAGCATGAAGCACAGTTGTTATTATATTGAAACTGGTGGTGTGTGGTGCCAATCTTGCGGTAGTAACATTAAAATACATAGTCTAAGCAAATGAATGAGACTCAGGAAACAGCTCAAGAACATAATTGGGCATATTAGAGTATAACATCCTTCCTTCCTTCCTTCCTTCCTTCCTTCCTTCCTTCCTTCCTTCCTTCCTTCCTTCCTCCCTCCCTCCCTCCCTCCCTCTTTCTTTCCTCTCTCTCTCTTTCTCATCTCAAATGAGGTAGCAAGCTAAATCTTTGGCCTAGGTCCAGATTTGATCCTCAAATAGTTTTATATTCCTTATATCTATAGCAGCTGCTCATCCTCTCTACATTATGCTTCTTCCACTTTGCGTAGGGTGGGCTGTATCAAAGTATCCAGCTTTGTACTGAGGCTTTCTGCAGTTACAAATTAAGACAGAATGTGTCTGGAAAGTATCAGAGCACACATTCTGCTCTCAGTACTGTCTCTGCATGCTTTTAAAGTTTGCAGCATCAACTCTCAGAACTACTGACTGCATCTTGCTGAGAATTTTCTAACGCTGAAATTTATAGATGACCATGTGTGGCTCCCATTGCTAGTCAATTGCAAATTAGAACAACTAAGATATATCTCAACATTGAGTTTGTTTTGTTATTTGCTAACTGAAGTTGACCTTTACATTCCGTGAATACATTGTTTATGCATTTTATTTTCCACCTTTAAAAAATATCTGGTGAAATAATCAATTCAATAATTATTTTCTTACGGCAATAAAGCTGAATAAATATTCAGTATTTGCTAACTACAAGCATGGTTTTCTTTTACTTATTTTTTTTTAATTCTATATCTATCTCTGGGAAGAAATATTTCCAATTTTGGGTAGAGGAGTGACTCAGGTTAATTTCATGCAAACCATTTCCTCCTTTTATCCCCATATATCAGTCCTAAATTAATACAATAGGTGCTCTGCAGCCAGCGTGGTTGCACATTGATCTTGGCCAGCTTGTTTACAGTGTTTTGGCAAGTTGCTGATGTACTTCTCCCTGGGGATAGAGCAGGGGTTAATTGCTGTTAAACTCTCAGTGCCAAGTAATGGTTCAGCCTCTCTGCTACATTAAAGATGACACTAATAAGGAAAGAGAGCAGTGGATTGCTCTATGTTGAAAATTGGACTAGTGGTGACAGAAACTTGGAGCAGAGCTGATGTAATAGGAAGACCATAATGTAATTATAACTGCTGAACATGTGTCATACCAAGTTAAATGATACATTAATGAATCAAAACAGGTGATGAAGTGTTGCTCTTACAGCGGATAGAGGTGCTTTCAAGGTTAGATTGCCATAATTTAATAATCTGTAATATGGATATTCTTCAAATCACAAATAAAATCAACCTTAATGCTTCAATACAGTATTGCTCCTTGAGTTTCAAATAGATAAGATAAAAGAAACAAAGCAAAAGTGAGCAGAGTTCAATGCAACTCATTCTGTGTTTAATTTTGTAAGAGCAGGTTTTACATCGTAAGGTGAGTGGTTGCCCAAGGCCTTCTTCTTGTCCCAGTAGACTACTTGATCATTTTAATCCACAGCTAGCCAGCCAGTAACTCGCAAGGGAGCATAGACCTTTAGAAGCAAACAATTACTTTTTTTAAAACAAGTCATTATATATTATCTATAAATAATATTTTAACAAGGTTAATTCTAAATTCACAATAGGTAGAATATAGTACGGTTCCCGAAATCTTCTAATCTGCTATCCTGTAATTTTTTTCTAAGAATTTACAAATCTTTCAAACTTATTTTCTTTCAGATTTTTAAATTAATTTTAAAAGTCATAAATGATAACAGATCTATTATTCAGTGTCCATGATTTTTAATTTTTTATCTTAATTTAAAAAAATACCACTGTCATGATTGTACTGAGTTTATTTAGCATTGTTAGGAGATAAAATAATATATTTTTAGTTGTACTTGGCATTTAAGATCTCATATTAGATTTATTTTAAACAAGTATTAATCTTATCTTTATTTTTTTAAATATCCTGGAACCTCAGTATACTATTCTATTGGCACCTATGATATATTTATATATGTACACATATTTATCCGTATATATATACATATATATACATATATAAGAAATATAAGCAATTTATTAACAGAAAAATTTTTATATGTTGGACCCACCCTATGTTGATTTCCATCATGTAATGTACAATTTAATGTTAATTTTGCCATACATTATACTTTCTAGTGACAAGTAGCTATTGTTGTTTCACGGTATTTTACCAAATGATTGAATCCATTTCTAAAGGTTGATTAGTTTTCACAAAGAGCTACTATTGTAAGAAACTAGAAAATAGATGGATGAATTAAAAAGTAAAATAATCATGGCATATCTACCTTGAATATATTAGGTATAAAATTTGTTTTTACACTAGACCTCCAGTTTTTATTTAATATTTGTGTATACTCTCAAGCAGGTTTGAATACTATTTGTTTTACTATCATTGACATTAATAAGAACACATGCTATCACTTGTCTTTTATTAATTAATTAATTAATTAATTTATTTACTTATTTATTTTTCTGAGACGGAGTCTCACTCTGTCACCCAGGCTGGAGTGGCACGCGATCTGTGCTCACTGCAACCTCCAGCGCCCGGGTTCACGCCATTCTCCTGCCTCAGCCTCCCGAGTAGCTGGGACTACAGGCGCCGGCCACAATGCCTGGCTAATTTTTTGTATTTTTTAGTGGAGACGGGCTTTCACCATGTTAGCCAGGATGGTCTCCATCTCCTGACCTCGTGATCTGCCCGCCTCAGCCTCCCGAAGTGCTGGGATTACAGGCGTGAGCCACCGCGCCTGGCCCACTTCTCTATTATTAAGAAAAAATAATTTTGTAAGAAATAATTTTAATCATTTTAATATATAGCCAGCCAGCCTGTAACTGCCATGGGAACATAGAACCTTAAAAGCAAAAACAAAACAAAACCTAGTTTCTTTAATGTTGGCATTGAATTTTATTTGCACACATCTTCCCTACTAAGGAAAGAGAGGAAAGCATAATTTGTATCTGCTGGGTTAACTTCTCAAGGTCCCATGTTTCATGTAAAAGATTATTTTCCTGTTTAGTCTTAGGTGATATTGGGTGAGTATATGGAAGATAATCTTGAACTAGAGGGAAGGGACTATGGCTGATGGTTTCTTGAGTGTCACACTCCATGACTTACTTTTTCTTGCACTCTGTTGGGAATGTGTGCATGTTGCTCTTATGGAAGCTGTACATTCATTCATAATGTCCAGCCTCAGTGAAAGCCTCCCACCCAAGCTTGACACTAAAGAAGCAGAATCAACCTCTTAAATGTTCACAGAAATTGGAAAACAAGAGCATCAGCAGTGTCCTCTGTGAAATGACAGCTGGAGACCTCTACCTTGAATATTCTAGAAAGTCCATGACCCTCAAAGATCTTGCACTAACTTATGGTGTGCTAAGTCTCCCTAGAAAACATCTGAAATGAAAGTTTTTGTTAGCTGGGTAAACAGGAGCTCAGAGAAGTGTTATCTTAGCAGATATAAGTGAGGCACATTGTACACTTGCAACTGAGAGGTGAAACCCATTCCCACCGTATATTGAGTTCTAATTTTATACCAGGAATTATCCTAAATACTGAATCTATATTATCTCATTTAATCTTTAAAGGCGAACAGCATGTTTCCAGATTGCAGATATAAAATTGAAGTCCAGAGAGATTAAATATGTTGTCCAAATCACACAGCTAGTAAGCTGCAGGGATGAGATTTGAACCTCAGACTGTCTGACACCAGAACCTCACCATTAACCAGAACATTTAATTGCTCCCAAAGAATAAGGAGCAATGTAGAAGTGACAGTTTATTTCTCAGAGTAATTGACATAATTCAATTCTAAATTATTCCGTAGAAAACACCCCCTTATAACTTTAAATTAATGGTTTTATCATTTAGAAACTCTCATATTCTTTCTAGTTCCATTTGAGAATTAAGAATTGTAGGACTACTCTGATATTCTATAAAGACACATGTCTTTCTTTAAATGACAACAGATATTTTTCCTGTGTGTTATTGATTATTTAGGGGTTCAGCAGCTAAAGTCATTTATTTATTTATTCCACCAGTCATTTAATAAATGCTTATTTTGTGCCAGAAGTTGTGCTTGCAGTGAACAGCCAAGATTAAAGACCCCAACTTTCAAGGAGCTAGCAGTCTCTAATGGAAAGTTAAAGAAATTAATTAGAAAATACAGAATTATCTGAAAATTGAAAAGGTGGTGTTGATGTACAGACAATACATGAAGTAAAAACTTATTTCAACACTCTTGAGTTTGGTTTGGCATCTGGATGAACTGAGGCAAAAAAAGAAAGAAACAGATGGAGATGACAGAAAGAGATGAATGGGGGAAGGGAGTATTCTAAGTCAATCTCAAGCTTCTTCTTAAAGACTGAGCTAAATGATAAACATCAGGAAACAACATAAAGTATGGTAATATTTGAGTAACATAAATAATACTGATAGAATTTAGAATGTTTGAGGATTAATAGAAAAAACCAAGTTTAGAGAAAAAGAGGGATAATCATTTTATCAGAGGTAGACAAAAATCAATGAAAGATTATTTGTAAAAGAAAGCCTTACTTAAATTTGACATTTACAAATATAAATAAAGATCACTGTCACAGTAGTGTGAAAAATGGCTATAAATGAATAAGTAGGAGAGTAAGGGAAACATTAAGAGAGGGCTAGAATAATGATGCAGGAATTACGAAAAATGAATGAAGGCATCACACACGGATCTTGAGAAGCAGAAGCCACCTTAGAAAATGCTAAAAATATAGAACTATAGGATGTGTATAACTAATTGTGGGAGATAAGAAAAATAAAAAATCAAGTTTGACTCTCACAGTCCTCTCACAGTCAATTTAGTGACCTTTCTTAAAGACTAGAAAATATTAAATTGGGTAGGAGCCAATTAGGGAAAGAGTATGGAAATAAAATAGAACATCCAAAATGAACTTGATGGTACCTCAAAAGTAAGGTAAATATATAGAATTTGGAGTGATCCAGGTACCCATGAGTAAGAGAATAAGACCAAAGCCTAGGGTCACCACTACTCAACAGATAGGTAACCTGAAAATGTCTTACCACAAGGGAAGAAGAGTTACTTCCCAGAAGGGAGAGAAAAAGTCAATAATACCAAATGAAAGAGGAAGTAATATATTATTAGGTAATATATTACCTAAAAATTACCATTGACTTTAACCACCAGAAATTGATTACTGTCTGACAAAAGAAGGATAGTGGCAGAAGTTACTCTATAGAAAGTAGAGGAAAGATTGAGAGATAAAGATGTGTATTACACATGTGTCCACTGCTAGGAATTGTATTTTATCTGTTAAGGAAAGAGGGAAATTTTTTTTTTCTTTTTTTGAGATGAGGTCTTGCTCTTGTCCCCAGGCTGGAGTGCAATGGCACGATCTTGGCTCACTGCAACCTCCAGAGGGAGAATTTTTAAATGTAAGAGTAACATAGGGTTGAGAGGTCATTTTAAGTTTAAATAAGGAAGAAACTAGACATTCTTCACATGAAAAAGAAAAAGAATCAGATAAGACGAAGGAACAAAGGTATAGTGTAAGTGAGCTACTTATATGATGGAGTGAGGTTAAGGCAGAAATGTAAACTTTCAGACATGAGATAGTGAATTCTTCCATGAAAACTAAAAGGGATCATGGTTGTTGAATGTTTAGGCTCAACTTTTCTTCCTGTTGAACTTTATTATTTACTTGTTTGTTTGTCTGTGAAGTAGAGGATGGGATGAACACTGTTGTATACAATGTTGAAAAATATGAAACAGAAAACTTAAGGAAATTGGTAAACTAATTAAAATAGCAGTTGGGGTTGTGTAAGAAGCGTTTAACTAAAAACATGGAGAAAACTCAGAAGACAGCACTGGGCAAGTGGCTGTATTTCAGTTTCAGAAGAGAGGTAAAAGAATCCTTCTCAGAACCAACAGGCCAACTATCTCTAAGAACCAGTGCAAATTTTTACTGGCTTCACTTTTTTTTACTTTTTAAACTCAATTTTATATTTTCTCCCATTTATTTAGTATTTTGTCAGAAAAAAATGATTCCTTGGTCCTCATACTTTTTAAGAATAATAGATAAAGCTAAACATGAAGATCTGAGGTACTAAAACAAATTAAATGAGAGTATTCTTGTGCTGTTTAAGGGCTGTCTGAAGTCAGCTTGGAGGGTTATATAAGCAGGCCTTAGCTTGTAAAGATTGCCCCAAATCAAACTGATAGGTACAATAATTCACTGAAAATTGCTCCTGAGTTATTGCATGCTACTGCTGACCACAAGGAAAAACAGAAAAGAAAAATTCCAAAAAGACTCAAATGGCAGACAACATATATTTGGTAATACGGCTCTGTTGCAGTCTTTTCCCATGTAGTGCTAAGTGTAATAGAAGGAGATGACACTTTATGGCTATTAAAAAAAGATTTTTCTAAATGTGAAATAGTTTTGTTCTCATGCTGAAATAGAAATGAATAATTTATTTCTTCATAACCAAAAGCATTTTCTGCTTTTTGAACATATAATAAAGACTCTCTAATTACAAATTTTCCATAATTACAAATTGTTCAGCCTTTTAAAAGGTGATTATTATTCATTATCTATTTATTTCATAACAAATGCCACTAAAGGTGTTAAAGATAAGTTTAAAATGCCAACTAAGATATTGCAACATTTTAATTAAATGGAAAGCAGTTTATATATATATTTAAAAACATAGCTTTTGGACTACACATTAGTAAATGCATTTTTATTTAACGAATTATAGAAAGATAGATGAAGATGTTCTGCTTTTAAAAATATTATATTTGGAATGCCTGTGCAGAGACACTGAAGTGTGATTTGTCCTCATAGCAGACAGCTGAAGAACAAGTGACATTCTTACACAAAATCCATATTGGTGATGTATTTAATTACAGAGCTGATTGAAATTGACAGCTTTAGTGACCTGAGTTTGCACTTGTGGTGATTGATGCATGCTTCAACTCTGGTTACTTTTAAACCAATTCACATATTGCTCAATACTATAATATCATCCTGTCAAATTGCAAACTACATTTTTACAGGTGGGGGACTGGAGAGAGTGCATGTTTAATTAAAATGAGATAGAGATGAGTTGTTTAAAAACACCTATACAACTGTTAAACTGGGACCACTGTTATTTGAAAGTGAAGTGAAAGAAAATTCAATACACTTACTCAGGCATTTATGTTCCTAGAGTCATCTTTTCTCCTCTAAAAATATACTTGACTGCTGTTCTTGTAAGAAAGAGGTCCCGGCCGGGCGCGGTGGCTCACGCCTGTAATCCCAGCACTTTGGGAGGCCGAGGCGGGCGGATCACGAGGTCAGGAGATCGAGACCATCCTGGCTAACACGGTGAAACCCCGTCTCTACTAAAAATACAAAAAATTAGCCGGGCGTGGTAGCGGGCGCCTGTAGTCCCAGCTACTCGGGAGGCTGAGGCAGGAGAATGGCGTGAACCCGGGAGGCGGAGCTTGCAGTGAGCCGAGATCCCGCCACTGCACTCCAGCCTGGGCGACAGAGCGAGACTCCGTCTCAAAAAAAAAAAAAAAAAAGAAAAGAGGTCCCAGAACCTTCTACTGCTATCTCGAAAGCCTTGCTTTCTTTGATATGATGTCAGCCTTTAAAAATAAGTAAAATTCATGTCTTAGAACAAGGAGGGACCTTAATGATCTTGTAACCCAAATCTCCTGTCTGTTTTTGTCTGGTTGTGTTTCTTTGTTACTCTGGCTAGATAGCTGCTACCCAGAGAGCTAACTTGTCTGTAGAGGTGCACAAAATTGGCTTTACTGCATAAAACTGGGGCTGGAGTTCACGTCTTTTCTGTTTCAGTTCAATGTACTTTCACACTATACAGAATTCCCTTCTGTAGATACTTTTCACTCCTTAACTCACTTTGTTGGCTATGGACATATTAGGATTACAGCCTTTGATATCCAATGATCCACTTAACTTAGGCACTTTTAATTACATTTTAAATAACAGTAAAAAGAACCATTGATTGAATCTTGCTGTATACCACACTCTGAAATATATCCTTAATATACATTACGTCTTACAACATATATGCAAGGTAGGTGATATTGCTGTCCATTTATTGATGTGTGGTGAGACTAAGGGAAGTTCAGCAAACTTTACAAATGGCCTTGGGCACTAAGTAGATGAAATTTGAATCCAGTTTTGTTGAGTACAAGGCCCACAACTCTTTTTACCACACAACACTATTTTCTCATACCAGAAAAAAAAGTCTTGAAATAGACTTCTTGACTGTCAGAATGATAAATAACTCTTGAAGGAGGTTGTCACATATCTAATTGTTAAGAATAGAGATCCACAATCTTGGGTGGTTTAGATATACATCTTTCCGAAATGTAAGATTGCTCAGTAGCATAGTCTCCAAAGTCTCTTTCCCAGATTAGAAATTTATGCCAGAATTAAATTTGTCGCTTCATTAAAATATACTAGTTTTGACAATGTGAGGGTCATTGGAAATTTTAAAATTATACAAACAAAATAGCTTAAATCACCATTCCAACTACTTAGGCAAGCCAGTTCCTTTCCCAATATTTCTTAGTTTCCTTAATATATGATGAACTGGAGAGGAGTAAGCATAAATGTCCCTCCTGTTTTTATTGCCTCAAAATGTTTGCTCTCTTTTTAATTTCTTATATGGCAACTCATCTCTACTTCAATTCATTCCACTCATAAACTTATGCTTTTTCTTCATTCCTTAAATTATCATGAAAAGATATGGCATAGAAAAATGGCAAAACAAGATAACTAAAATTAAATATTAGAAGTACTGCATATTTTAGCCCTTCCTGTGCCAGGTTGGACTGTTTCTACTTAGACTGTACTTGTCACCACTTCCTATATCTGTTAAGAACTCTTTTTCATGTTTCCTGCTCTTTGACTATTGAGTTTTTTAGTTTTGCTATAAGGCAATGCCATAGGAAACACAAGAACTCAGCATACAATTCATATATGTAAAGCAAACTTTCTTGTTTTGGTCCTCTCCCATTAATTGTTTGATTTCTTATCAAATCAATTTATAAATAAACATTAAAAATTGTAGACTAGATAAAAAAGTATATTTCTAATTTTTCCTCAAACTCCCCTATTCCCCTCAGAAAGTATTTACCAAATAAAAAAGGTTATAAACCAAAAGAATAGAAAAAATGGGGAGAAGTCAGGAGATAATTAATACCAGCAAATTTTTAGAAGATGGAAAGAAAAAAAAAAAGCAAAAATAGGTAAAACCGAAGAACACACAAGAGTTAGGCACCAACAGGAGCCATGCAGATTTAAACCATTGATCTCTAAAAGAGTTTAAGAGTTGAAAACACCAGATTCTCTGGAACATAAATGAGTAAGGGGATCAAGTAGGGTTCCATTTACAGAATGAGGCATTTTAAGCAAAAAAGGATTTAATACAGGAAATTAGTTTTTTTACACTATTGAAAGAGCTGGTAGATTAGCTTCTGGACTGGCCCTCCTGAAAGATGAAAAGAGCCATACAGACCAGAAACTCTAAAGAGGTTATTTCTGAAGTGGCTGTGGAGTTATGAAATCAAGAAGGTACCCATATTGCATTTTGTAATCATGCCACAACTGCTGCTTCATACTTAGGAATCTAGAGAACAGACTATGGAATTCCACTGTGTCTAAGTCATGTAGAGAACCCTAACAGAAGGAGGGTATGATGAGATTACGTGGTCAATCCACAATGTTTCCCTCAGTAGGTATGAGGAACAGGATTAAAAACATGTCCATTACAATCGTATTTTTCCCTCCTTATCCTAGGAAGCCAGGTGATTACTTACTGTGTACTCAAACAAGAGAAGAGACATTTGTTTTTCTGGATAAATTTATTATAGGATACTTGACACCAGGGGCAATGAATGACAAGAGTGAGGCACTGTACTGAAAACAGAGGAATCAAATATAGAGAATGATGAAACTTCACGCTCCTCTTACAAAGAAAAAGCAGGCCATGCATAAGAGGGTTTAAGGGGTAAGAATCTGAATTATAGCTGCTATGGTCTGAATGTGTCCTTCAAAATGTATGTGTCCTTCAAAATGTATGTGTTGGAAACTCAATCCCTAATGCAATAGTATTGGGAAGTGAGGCCTAATGGGAGGTGTTTAAGTCGTGGGGGCTCTGCCCTTGTGAATGGATTAATGATGCTATAGAAAGGGCCTAGGGGAGTAGGTTCTCACTCTTCTGCTCTTCTGTCATGTGAAGAAGAAAGTGTTTCCCATTCTAGAGGATGCATTGTTCAAGGTACCATCGTGGAAGCGGAGACTTGGATCTTACCAGACTTCAGATACTGGCACCTTGATCTTAGACTCCCCAGCCTTCTGAACTATGAGAAAGTAATTTCTGTTCTTTCTAAATTACCCAGTCTGTAGTATTCCATTATAAAAGCACAAAACAGACCAAGACAATGTCAGCTTTCTCAACTTAAACTCGTAAGCTAGATAACAAAGGAACATTGACAGTAAGAAATTTCAATATAAATTTCTATAAACAAGCTATCAAAATATGAGGTTAACATAAAAGTAGTTTCAGACATAATACCTTTTTTAAAAAGGCTATGAGTGACTCTCTTGGAATTCCTGCTAGCTTGGAAAGCAATGAGGCTAGATTGAAACAGAATGATTTAATACTCCAGGTGTAAGAGAAGCATAAGGTAATAAGGTAGGATGAGGGTCAAGAAGGAAGAGAATGAAAAAAATAAAAGGAAAGTGATAGATTACCTGATATACTGGGGAATATTAAGATTCTGTAATTTGTCAGCACGTTTGAAAACATTTAATAAGAGGTATGTAGGAATGACACAGAAAAATTTGAAGTATATTTTTATCTTCAGGAAAAACTAAGTATACAAGGTATATATTTGACAGATATTTTATGTCTGAATAATAATAGTCTTAATTATGTAAATCTCAAATATTTATTGTACATAATAATGACATTTTTCAAACTGAGATTTAAAGAAGTGAACTATGTACATGCTCACATAGAGAGCGTTGCTAGATTCTGTATTCATTTCAAAAATGTTACCATTGTATAATGGTGATATTTCAAAGAATCCAGAATTAAAAATTATGTATATAGTTGTGTTACTTATATATTCATAAATCAATACAAATAGTAAAGACTAAAGATTGAAGTGTATTGTGTCCTGGGAGTAGGCTGTGGTGAGGAAGTATATTAGAGGCAGTGGTGTTTTGTTGCAAATCTTTTTAAATAGATGGATTTTAAAAATACATAAAAACGTTACTTAAATTATGCTTTCATTGTACAGAAAAGTACTACAAATTCATTAAAGAATAGCTAGAAAATACAGACTGTGTGTGTGAAGGAGCACGCTTTATTGGGAAGCAGAGTGCTGCACAGTGACAAACGGACAAAGGCTGCCCAATGGGCAATTACACATCATACTCCAAAAGACACACAGGATGTTTTGCTAAGAAAAATCAATGGGAACAGGGATTCCCCTGGGAAACTCCCTCAAACTCATCCCTCTCAGGGGACGGGAAATCTCCCAACTATTTTCCTGATGGCAGCTGTGGTTCACTAGAAATAGATCCCCTTCCTGTTTCTTATAAAGAACATTTTCTTTCGATTTTTTGAAGTCTTCATTTGTTACTTTTATTCTAAGTTCTCTTAAGGACTTCAGACCAGCTTTTGTACAGATTGCTTTGATGTCATCACCAGAGAGGTCATCTTTAGCCATGATCAAGTCATGCAGGGTTACATCATCGGCCACCCTCATCCTGCTAGTGTGAATCTGAATGATGTGCTTCTCATTCTTTTCATCAGGCAGGAGGACCTCGATCTTCCTGTCAATGCAGCCTGGTCTGATAAATGCTGGATCCAAAGTTTCTATTTGGTTTGTGGCCATGATAGCTTTCACATCTCCCCTAGAATCAAATCCATCCAACTGGTTCAACAGTTTCAACATTGTTCACTGAATTTCTCTCTCACCACCAGAATTTGAGTTATATCTTTTTGAACCAATGGCATCAATTTCATCAATAAACATGATGAATGGTGCATGTTCTTCAGCAACTCGAAACAATTCCAGCATGGGTTTGAGCCCATCACCTAGGTACTTCTGAATAAGTTCAGAGCCAACCACTCTCAAGAAAGTGGCTGGGGTTTGGTTTGCTGCTGCTTTGACTAACAAGGTTTTACCTGTGCCCAGTGGACCATAGAGAACGACCCCCTTGAGGAGGCTTCATACCCATTTCTTCATAGTATTCAGAATAGGTGAGAGGAAGCTCCACAGATTCCAGATTCCTTAATTTCCTGAATTTGGTTTCCAATCCTCCAGTATTGGCATAGGTCTCCTGGGGGGGCCTTTTCCACCTTCATCACTGTGACCAGGGGATCCGTGTCATCCACCAGCGCCCCTATCATGGCATGCACCTTGTGGTTGAGCAGGACCAAGCCAGGTTCCAGCAGCTCCTTGTCTACAAATGAAAGAATGCTGATGTTGTGTTCTGAGCCCACAGATATGGACACGATGGCATGGTTGTCATGGGTGATCTCTTCCAACATTCCTCTGACATCAGGGTCCCCCTCAGATCATCCACTTTTGATCTTTCTTCCTATTGCTTTTCTTCTAATGGTTTTATTTGTTGCTGATTTATAATGAATTCTTTCTCCATGAGAAGATAGTCTTTAATTCTTTCTAACTTGAATCATTTTAACCAGCACTGAGTGTGAGTTGTCACCAGTGGCAGTTTGCTGGCAGCATCTGGTCTCTGTTTTCTTCTTTTGCCCCACTCTAGTCGGTACAGGAGGTTCGTATTTCTTTTTCTTGTCCTTATCATCCTTCTTGACCTCCAGGACCATGACCACCACTCTGACTTTGACCCATCTTGCCTTGGCACCAGACATTTTTAAAGGAAATAATTAAAATAGAACAGTCGATGATAATCACTAAAAGCATACTGATAGATACCCTTAAAGCTATATACACCTGTATGATACATACACATACATTTCTGCATTTCATTTATAATATCTTCATTTGGCATTTAAAAAATTTCAAAAATGTATTTTGCATCTCAAAAAGTATTGTATAAAAATATTATATTCACTCCTTTGGGGTATTTAGACTGTTTTATCTTTTAATAATCATAAGTAAGGCAGAAATCACCATCACTTTACCTGAATAATCTTCTCAAAATAATATTTAATTACATTTTCTTCATCACAGTTACAATAGCTTTTTTAAACTGCTAAATATCTAATCCTTATGGAATATATTTTCTTCTGTAATATGAGACCCTAACATCACTCATTTACAAATGATGAAGTGAAACTATATAAAGACTGTTGAATAGTTCACATTTTTGTGCTAATTTTGAATTGTTCCCTCACTTTAAAATAAATATGTATCTTTGAGTATGTTCCTCCCTATAATACAGTTTTATTTTTGTTTTCTTCTTCAATTTCTTGTATCATTTACCTATCTACTTATCTAATGGAAAAACTGGTCATTTATTATTGGCCTATAAAGTAAGACCATCAGTAAAATATTCAAAGTGTTAATTGGCATACATAAAACTGATAATTGGAAAACAGTAAAATATTTGTTATAGAATTTTTGTAGAAATAATTGATCAGATTAATGAGGTTTTACATTATACTTACTTTGCTATAAATACTTCTCACTAATATGGCAAATTATTCTATTTTTAAACTGTTAAGCCAACCTTGCATTCCTGGAATAAATTTAACTTTGTCGCAATATATTAGCTTTTTAAAGTATGTCATTAGGTTATTATGCTAGTATTGTAGTCATCAGAGAGATTCCCCTGACCATTTTCTTTTTCTTAATGTCTTTGTCAGGTTTTGGTATCAAGATTATCCTGGACTCATAAAATTAGTTTGAAAGTGTTTCTTCTTTTTATGTTTTGTATAAGAGTTTATGTTACTTTGCTATGAGTTCTTCACAAAAGTTTGGAAGAATTCACTGGTAAATCAAGTAGGTCTACAGTTTGCATCAACAGAAGATTATACGTTATTCATTCATTTTCTTTATATTTTGTTCTATAACCATTCAGATGTCTTCTTTAAATGTTTTTGCCCAGAAATTTGGATATGGTATCTAAAATTTTAAATTATCTATTTAATATCTATAAGATATATATTAATACTTCCTTTTCCATCTGAGATTGTATATATTCCTCATTCTTTTCTTGTATCTCTCTTTTCTTTCAGTTTTGATCAATCTTGAGAGGAATGTGTCAGGTTTAATAGTCTTTAAATATACAACTCTTTATTAATTTTCTTTATTAGATTTTTCATATTTGTTAATATAGTGACTTCTGTTTATTATTTCCATCCATCTTATTTCCTTTTGCTTAGAATGCAATTCTATTTCTGACTCTTAAAAGATGCTTACAAATTTAATTTTAAAGTTATTAAAACATTTTCTAATATATTGAAGGCTATAGGTTTCTTTATAAGCATATCTTCAATTGTATTTCACAAGCTATTTTTATATACCACATTGTTACTAAATTTAGTTCAAAATATTTTAGTTGCATTTTCACTTATTTTAGTCCATGAATTATTTAGCTTATATTCTTAATTTCCAAATATTTAAGATATTTCCATTTGTCTTTTACTTATTAATCATTAGTGTAAATTTAATGTGGCCAATGAACATTATCTATATAATTTCAGTCCTTTAAATTTTGTTCTATATGATATAACCCAGCAAATGCTCTATTTGGTGAACACTCTTATTTTTTCTTGAAAAGATATACATTTCCCTTTTAATTTGGTTCAGTTTTCCATACATACCAATTTTTTTTTGTTGCTAACATCTTTGATATTTTTGTTGCTAACATATTTGTTGTTTTGTCTATTCTTTTTTTTAACCATTTATCAAGAAAATCATTTTCCCAAGATTCCCACTTGGGTAGCTGACTCATGATAAATTTTATCATTACACAATTGCTGGTCCCAGTATTAACACTTCCTAACAAAGGAGGCCCTCATCTTTATTCAAGGTCCCAATCATAATCCCCATCTTTTCTTAATAAAAACATAAAAGTTTTACACATATATACATAACACAAAATATATTTATGTATTATATGTTCTCTATATACGTGCAAATATATTTAAATATTTTATATTATATATTGTTTTATTGCCCCACTGACAGTAAATATAGTTATTTGTATGAAAAACACCCCCATTCCCTTTTATTTTTTAAGAATACGTTTTGCTCAACATCATATTTTATTTCTTTTTTTTCTTTTTTCTATTTATTATACTTAAATTTTTTTTTATTTATTAAGTTTTAGGGTACACGTGCACAACGTGCAGGTTAGTTACATATGTATACAAGTGCCATGTTGGTGTGCTGCACCCATTACCTCATCATTTAACATTAGGTAAATCTCCTAATGCTATCCCTCCCCCCTCCCCCCACCCCACAACAGGCCCCGGTGTGTGATGTCCCCTTCCTGTGTCCATGTGTTCTCATTGTTCAATTCCCACCTATGAGTGAGAACATGCGGTGTTTGGTTTTTTGTCCTTGCAACAGTTTGCTGAGAATGATGGTTTCCAGCTTCATCCATGTCCCTACAAAGGACATGAACTCATCCTTTTTTATGGCTGCATAGTATTCCATGGTGTATATGTGCCACATTTTCTTAATCTAGTCTATCATTGTTGGACATTTGGGTTGGTTCCAAGTCTTTGCTGTTGTGAATAGTGCTGCAATAAACATACGTGTGCATCAACATAATATTTTAAATTGGCTGTTCCTTTATTCAGTATCTTATACATATCTTGACAGGGTCTAATGGCTCCGTCGTTGCTGTTAAGAAATCAGGTATCAGTCCTTTACCATTTCAATGTTATCTTTTTTTTCTGGATGCATTTATATTTTTTTTCTGTTTCTTTTTTTAATTTTGCTATTCAGGTATAAATTTTAAAAGGTTAATACAGTGTTCTCAAAACAGTGGATTGGTGTCTTTTATTAGTTTTGGATAATTATCTATAACATCTCTTTAGCTACTGTTTCTACACTTTTCTCTTTTTCCTATTCTTTTGAAATTTTGTCTAAATATACTGTATCTTCTATTATCTGTCACATATTCTTTCACCTTGGAGTTTCCATTTTGTCTTTTCACTTATTTGCAAACATTTTAATTCTCTCTTTACTTTGCCTAACCTTTATTTAATGCTACAATTGATTGTTAATTTTAGCTTTTATATGTTTTTTAGGTGTAGTATTTTTCCTTTTCCTAAATTAACTATGTCAATTTTATACTTTCCCATGTCCTGCTAACATTCTCAAGCTTGAATTTTGTTTTGTTGAACACAGTAAACATAGTTGATTTATAGTCTGGTGTTCTTGTAAGGCTAATTCTATTTTTATTATTTCCAGTGTATTCACTCATGTTTTCTTGTCTTCTTAAATACCTGGTTGTATAATCACTTATTTTACACCTTAGGTTGAATATCTTTAAAAAAAATGAATAACTATTTTCTCCTCTACCTTTGTCAAACCTATTTCCACAAGTCATCTTCACTTTATTACATAAATAATCCAGCTATTAGATTGCTAAACCAAATATGTTAGATGTCTTCCTTTTCTCTCTTTTTTCTCATCCCATAAATCTATTAAAATTAAAAATTAACTGTTTATTTTTACATCTAATAAAAGTATATAAAATATGTTCAAAACTTATCATGTACTATTATCTCTGATTTAGTCATAATTCAATCAGGAAAATAATTTAATATCAAAAATTAGGCATGCAAATAAACCTTTGAAATCAGAGAAGCAAAGATAAAAATTAGATGTATACTGAGCTAGTGTACTCAAAGATGCTGCTAAAATAGATGCCAGAGCCCAGACTGAAGAGAGATGACCATGGACTCTGAGGAGGCGACATTAATTCTGTACTACTTCTGATAAATCTTGGTCTGGGCTACCACTAATGATATCATAAAAAGGATTAACTTACTTTTCCTTATGCTGTCCTAATTTTGCATAAGTGTTTCACATTAAATAATCAAAATTAGAGCTCTCATGGAAAGCAATATATATATAAGCCTGAGTGCTAGCCTGCAGTGATGACTCATCACTGTAATTCACGCTCCCATAATATCTACAATCGACTACTTAGCTTTCAATCTTACTCTTTCTCATCTCCAAATCTATCCTCCAAACAATAGAAATCATATCCTCGATACCTTTATTGAATTATTTCAGGACCTGTCTTTAAACCCTTTAGTGACTTCCCTTTATATTTAGCATATATTCTTAATTTTGACCGTATCCTAACAAAATGTCATTGACCACAAGCCCTGCACAATTTAGCTCTATCTCTAGATCCAGTGTTATTTCTCTGCCTATTTTTACTATGCTTCAGCCATATTAATCTCCCATTTCCTATGTTATCAAATACCATCTTATATCAGGAAATGCATACATTGTATAAAAGTGTACATTTTATAAATGTGTACATCCCTTTGCACTGAATATTTTTTGTCTCTAAAGTTCACATGGCATGCTACTTTTTACCTTTTAGGCTCTATACTATATGTTTCGTCTTTGGAATAATTTCTTGTCCACCCTCAGGGATTTTCCATATCCCTACCAACGTTATGCTTTTTCTCATAATTTTCTTTGTTTTCATTCCTAAATCTTACAAAAATATGGAATCATTTTGTTTAATTTTGGTATACTAGTTTCAAACCTGTTTCCCCAAGTAGATTATAAACTCCATGAAAACAAGGAAAACATTTGTTTTTTCATCACTGAAATCCCATTACTAATCAGAAGTCCCAGTACCAAGGAAGTACTCAACAAACATTTTTGAATGCAGGAATAACTACGGAACTTTGGGGAAATTAATTATCTTCTCTAATCATCTTTAAAATGTAAACACACACAAATTCCACTCTTAGAATTATAGTGAAAATTAGATAAATACCAGGCAAATAATGTCCACATAATGTAGCTAATATCATTAACATAAAATATTAATATATCATAGCTATATAATATAATAATATATTATAATATATGTAACATAATAATATAATATATTATACTAATATTAATTAGAATAATCCCTGCTACTCAGGAGATTGAGGCAGGCAAATCACTTGAACCCAGGAGGAGAAGGTTGAAGTGAGCCGAGATCGCACTATTGCACTCCAGCCTGGGCGACAAGAGCGAAACTCCATCTAAATACAAAAAAAAAGAAGAGGAATCTAAATTCAGAAGTAATTGGCTATTTTTGAACAAAGATGATTTAATCTGTGCTTCAGGAACTTGAATTTGACCTTACTATAGGAATAATAGATAATATTAGAAAGTAAGCAGACTCGGTAAGAAGTTATTTTAGTAAAATATAAAAATAATACAGTTTTCAATTAAAATAGTGACACTATGACTAGTACCAAGTGTATGAATATTAAATATATTATGATGATAGAATTTGCTTTACTTGACAACTAATTAGGTATAGAGAATAAGAAATAAAGATATTTGATATTTCAGATATGAAAGGCATAGAGAATGCCAGTGTCATTAAAACCAACAGAAAAATTGTATGGTAAAGTAGATTTTTTTGGAGTTGGGAGTGGGGAGAGGGCATCAGGGGAGATAATTTTGAGTTCCCTTTTGACACTGATTTTCAGTGTTAAGAAATCAGAAATGTCAGTTTGGAATGCAGAAATGAAGTTTGCCTAGTTATCGAAGTGTTGGAATCAACAGAATTAAAGGAAATAATGATTGCATGTGTTTAAACAGTCTATTTGGTCATGTTTCAGAGATGTAAAAGAAAAAAAATTACAGTTAAAACTGAGCAAAATAGGGACAGAGCAATGAGAAAAAGGCTATTATTATCATAACTTTGAAGAAAGAGTTTCAAAAAGTAAGATATCAGCTGGCACAGGGAAGCAAAGAAGTTGAGTGTCATGAGAATTGAAAGCTGTCATTGTTTTTTGGAAGTTGGCAATTCTTGGTGTGTGAGCACTTAAGTTGTGTTTTGATAACACAATTTTAACATTTTAAGTGCATACGGTTAACACAAAAACATCATTTTTGCTTTCTTAAGCCAAGAAAAATTATCTTCTCCATGGCTGCCATAACATAACAGCATACCACAGTGGGATTCTGTTCCCTGGAAAATTCATATATTGAAGCCTTTATCCTCATTGCCTCGGAATATAATCTTATTTGAAAATCAGGTCATTGCAGATGTAATTATTTAAGACCATCATACTGGAGTTGAGTGGGCCCTTAACACTCTAATATCAATGTTGTCCTTACAAAAATGGGAAACTTGGACACAGACACACACACACAGGGAGACTGCCGTGTGAACATCAAGGCAAATGTCAGGCAATGTCTTGGCAAGCTGAAGAACACCAAAATATTGTCAGGAAACCACCAGCAGTCAGGGGAGAGAACAGATTCTTACTCACAGACCTCAGAAGGAATCAACCCTGCTAACACTTTAATTTTGGATTTCTGGCCCCTAGAACTGTGAAACAAATTTCTATTGTTTGAGCCACCCAGCCCTAGCAAACTGATACAGATTTCAATGCAGAAAGAACTATGCTGACAACTGATAACCAAAAATTGAGTAGGGGCTATATTTCTTTCTTATTTTTCAAGTCTATTTCTGTCTCTTGAATCCTCTGTAATTAACCTTCAATATCTTCTGGTACATTACTTAGCAAATAGTGTATTTGTCACTGTAAAAAGAAAAGAGAAAGAAATAAAACTAACTTCCACAATGGCACAATCTTTCTATTTCCAAATATATACCTATGCAGATTGATTTATTTTGGATGTCCCTTCCAAATCTCATGTTGAGAGGTAATCTTCAGTGCTGGAGGAGGGGCCTCATGGGAGGTGTTTGGGTCGTGGGGTGGATCCCTCATGGCTTGGCTCTCCTCAAATAAGGAGTTCTCCCAAGATCTGTTTTTTTAAGTGGTGTGGCACCTTTCCTTGCTGTCTCTTGCTCCTGCTCTGGCCATATGACCTGCTGCTCCCACTTACCCTTCTGCCATGAGTAAAAGCTCTGTGAGGCCTTCCAAGAAGCTGAGCAGATGCTAGCACCATGCTTCCTCTATAGCCTGCAGAACCACAATCTAACTAAAACTCTTTTCTTTGTAAATTACCCAGCCTCAGGTATTTCCTTAGAGCAATGCAAGAATGGCCTAACACATAGATTCATGTTTACTGCTTTTCTCCCAGTACATAAGTGGTTATTGAATAAAATAATAATTATGTGAATGAATGCTAGATATTTTGTTGCTGGATAGACTTAGTAAGCCTCATTCATAATATAGGTATTAGTGTGTACATAACCCTGGCCCAAACTGCAGTTTAAAATGATATTTTAGATTCATGATTAAAGAGATTGTAGCAGTCAGCATTCCAAATCTCAGGCCTTTTTCTGTCCCCCACTCCCCTTTTTAACTGGGAAATCTGAGTTTAGCAAAAACACAAGGCATTCAAAAACCCCTTAGGGTCTTTTTCCTACGTGTTTAAAATTTTCCTGACATCAGAAAAACAACAGTTGAATGATGACCAGATGGCAGAAGAGCTGTGGTAATTTGGCTGGAAGTAAGATGAGCATTGAAGCATAATAAGCGAATTAGAGATTTAAATATTTTCTATGAGCAGATCAACCTAATGGTGTGGACAAGATCACCTAATGGCTCTTTATTAAGTTTACTTATTTCTTTTAAAAAAGTTACTGATTTATCAGTATGATGATTTTGGAGAGATATTACTAATGGATTACATGGAAATATTTTTCAGGTATTATCTTCTTAGAGCTACCCAGGATGAATCCTTCCTAATCTTAGCATATGAGGGCAGGAATGATATCATTGAGGAGCATAGCTAAAACCTTGGAAACAATCTTGTACTCTCTATTCAAGAGAGTAAAAGGGGATGAAAATCCCCCAATTTTTCCTTACCTTGTCATCTTTTTAAGGATTAGGGGATCAAGGGAGTTTTCATGTCTTGAGACATAATTCTGGTCTTAAAAAATTCTGAAAAGACTCTCTGATGTTGGAGATAATTGCCACGATCAGGTTTTATAAGAATAGATGGGAAATCTGTCAACACCTGAGGCTTTTCCTGGGTTTATGGATTGGATTTAGGGTTTCTCACTTTTAATGATATTATGTTGTCCAACTGATTGACTTAATGGAGGGAGTGAACTGAAAGCAAGGCCCATCGGTTTTCTTCGTGGTGTAGCATAGAAAACAATGTTGACTAGATTCAAAAACATTTTGAAAATATTAAATGCCTTTAGCTTGTGTTTCTGAATGATTGGAATAGTTTAATTGGGCATGCAGTTTACTTGTATCTTTAGCAGTTTTCTAGCCCATATGAAACTGCTGAGAAATGTGTATTGAATAAATTAATCAATATCTGAGGTATTAGAAATTGGAATTCTATTGGAATTCTATTGGAATGCTATTAATATAGATAGATGGGAGGGTGTATATTTAGTGTATATTTCCTACTCTATGTAAAATGCTGGTGATGATATTTTTAAAAAATTAAGTGGAAAGGAGAAGAAATTAGACTGATGGGTCTATTTATTTAAATTTTATTTCTAAAAATATGACAATTGAGCATCTTGAAAACTAGAATGTAATTCTGCTTTATCATGTCCTATCAATAGTTGTTACTACTAAATTGGCAATAAACTCATGATAATAACAATATAATATTTCAACACAAGAAGTTGCATATGGATATACACACAATTCTGGAAACTTTAATGCCAATGCATATGGATATACATACAATTCTGAAAACTTTAATGTCAGTCTTTATATGCAGCTACTCAAATGTTTTATAGCATCTTTTAAAAATGAAGTTCTCAGACATGTATAGTGATTTAAGAGAAATGGATACCTCATGTAAATATAAAATTATTAAGTTTTGTGAAATATGAATTTGGTGAGAAAAATACCACAGTAGGTTCATTTCCTTCTTGTGTCCCAGCGCCTCTTTTCATGTTGGCAAATTTCCTGTCTTTTAATTAGGTGGGTCTGTTGAAACAATTATAATGTCTACCTGGTAGAACACCAACTTGGGCCACTAAAGAAAGCATGAGACTCCAACCTGGCTGATCATCAGACATCTAACCATAGCAAAAAGTCATTAGAAATTCTTTTTGCAATTTGCTATAGTATGGCTGAGAGAAAGGTATCTTTCTCTGGGATACGAGAACCACACAGCCTGTAATTTCTGAGATTCATCTTTTTTTTTTCTTATGGGCAGAATATGTCCATGAGACAAAAACATGTCTAAAAACAAAGTGAAACAGAGAAAAGCAGTTTAAGAGATGAAAGCAAACGTGTAAAGCAGTCAAGAAAGAGAGAACTAAAGAGATAGAAAGAGAATAGCCCATTTCTAAAGAGATAGAAAGAAAGAGAACTAAAGAGATAGAAAGAAAGAGCTAGAAAGAAAGAGAATGGCTGTAATTTTATCATTTGGATCTCTTGCTCAACAATTTGTAAAGCCAGTGGCATCCCTTTGACTTCCCAGTTATGTTAACCAATGCATTTAATCTTTGTGTGAGCTAATTTTGTAAGATTTCTGCCACTTTCAACCAAAAGAGATCTAACAAATACACTGACTTAATAGTAAATTGTGAAAAATAAAATGTAATTAGTTAATGAAAGCAGAAATATATACATGCTACTCTTTATCTAGATCATCATGATATAGGAAAATCATGACTTTTAATAGATATAAACCTTTTATTTAGGCTGGTCAACAGTGGGAATACATTTTCCCAAAATCTCTTGAAGAGATGTATTCAGGAGAGTTGCAGTCAGAATGTGAAAATCACTTTGACTTGTAATATTAAAGATCTTTTACTTCCAAAGATAAGACAAAAGATAAGAAAACAGAATTCATTATAATAGCTGGGTATTAGTCCATTTTCACACTGCTATGAAGAAATACCCCCAGACTGGGTCACTTATAAAGAAAAAGAGGTTTAATGGACTCAGAGTTCCAAATGGCTGGGAAAGCCTCACAATCATGGTGGAAAGTGAAGGAAGAGCAAAGGCACATCTTACATGGTGGCAGGCAAGACAGCATGTGCAGGGGAACAGCCCTTTATAAAACCATCACATCTCCAGAGACTTATTCACTATCACAAGAACAGCACAAGAAAACCCACCCCCATGATTCAATTACCTCCCACTGGGTTCCTCCTGTGACATGTAGGGATTATGGGAGCTACAATTCAAGCTGAGATTTGGGTGGGGACATAGCCAAACCATATCAAGCTGAAGAATTTATTTTCCACTTCTGCTGTTGTTTTAATAAAGGGATATGTTTTAATAAAGGGGCAACACAGTAACCTAGAAAAACTTAAGAGTTTAATTTTGTGGTGGATGTTGAAAATATATTGTACTATTGCCGATGGCTCTTGGTCGTTTATGAACAACCTTTGAAACATGTTGAAATTATTGTAGTAGTGAAGATTGTGCAAGACCTTGGGTTTATCTGATGAAAGTTGGGACTAGCAGTCAGCCATCAGTATATATTTCTACTCTTTGATTTGTGAGAGAAGCGGGGATCTTTAGTTACCTATTCATTTGACAAATATTTACTGAATGCCTACTCTTTGTCAAGTACTGGGAAAAAATGAACAAGACAGACTGTTTCCTTCCTTCAAAGACCTTGCAACACGACAAAGAAGACATGTAAACTGGATAATTTAACATTGCATGCTATAAACTATGATGGGGCAGGGAAGAGTGCAAGCTATAAAACACATTTAAGTAGCATCTAATTCTGTCTTAAAGATTCATGGAAATCTTCCTGGATAAATGGCTGCCAAAACTGATTCCTGAATGACTAGTAGAACTTAGGCAGTAATAAAGTCAAGAGAATGATACAGACCAATAAAATATCCTGTACAAAGTCCAGAACAGGGGTCTCCAACCCATGTGTCATGGACTGGGTACTGGTATGTTGCCTGTTAGAAACTGGGCCACATGGCAGGATGTGAGCAGCAAGCCAGCAAAGCTTCATCTGTATTCTCAGCCATTCCCCATCACTTGCATTACCACTTGAGCTCCTCCTGTCAGATCAGCAGTGGCATTAGATTCTCGCTGGAGCAGGAACCCTATTGTGAACTCTGCATGTGAGGGAGCTAGGTTGCATGCTCCTTATGAGAATCTAATGCCTAATAATCTATAACTGTCTCCCATCATCCCCAGAGGAAACTGTTAAGTTGCAGGAAAACAAGCTGAGGGGTCCCACTGATTTTACATTATGGTAAGTTATATAATTATTTCATTATATATTACAATGTAATAATAATAGAAATAAAGTGCACAATAAATGTAATGTGCTTGAATCATCCCAAAACCACCTGCCTCCCTTGGTCCACGGAAAAGTTGTCTTCCAAGAAACTGGTCCCTGGTGCCAAAGTTTGGAGACTGCTGGTCTAGACGATAGTAAGGCATGACACAGTGAAAGTATTTCAGAATGGCTCAAATATACATACTAAAATTGATTAGAAGATAAGAATGGTGAGATATTCAGTAACCAGATCCAGAAGATTAGAGGAATGATGTGGAGAGATTTGGTCCCTCTGCTGAAGAAAAGGTAGCTATTGAAACAGCAGTTATAGGATCAGATTTCGTATTTGAGGTCTATAACTGGCAGAAGGCTTATGTGAGTGAATACAAGGGAGACATCATATAAATATTTAAGAGGATAATGCAACAATCTAGTGAAAACATTATGGAGTTGAAAAACTTTACTTGCACAAAACCCTGCAGATTGATGTTTATAGCATCTTTATTTTTAATTGCCCAAATTTGAAGCAACCAAGATGTCCTTTAGTAGGTGAATGGATAAATAAATGGTGGTACATGCAGACAATGGAATATTATTCAGTGCTAAAAAGAAATGAAGTATCAATTCATGAAAAGATATAGAGGAAGTTTAAATGTACATTATTGAGTGAAAAGCCAATTTGAAAATAATAATTAATGTATGATTATCATTCCAATTATATGACATTCTAGAGAAGACAAAATTATGAATATAGTAAAAGATCAGTGGTTTCCAGGAGTGAGGAGAGAGAAAGGAATGAATAGGTAGAGCACAGATTATTTTTAGGGAATTCAACTCTTCTGTATGATACTATAATGGCAGATATGTCATTATACATTTCAAAAGACTTGTAGAATCAAGAATACATCAAGAATAGACACTAGGCCGGGTGTGTTGGCTCACTCCTGTAAACCCAGCACTTTGGGAGGGCAAGGTGGGTGGATCACCTGAGGTCAGGAGTTCAAGACCAGCCTGGCCAACATAGTGAAACCCTGTCTCTACTGAAAAATACAAAAATTAGCCAGGTGTGGTTGCGTGGGCCCATAGTCCCATCTGCTCAGGAGGCTGAGGCAGGAGAATCGCTTGAACCTGGAAGGCGGAGGTTGCAGTGAACCCAGATCGTGCCGCTGCACTCTAGCCTGGGCGACAAAGCGAGACTCTGCCTCAAAAAACAAAAAAGAATGGACACTAATGTAAACTATGGACTTTGAGTGACAATGATGCATCAATATAGGTTCATTCGTTGTAAAAGAATGTACACACTGGGATGTGGGATGTCGATAGTGGGGGAGGCTGTGAATATGTGGGGATATATGGAACTCTCTGCACCTTCAACTCAATTTTGTTGTAATTGTAAAAAGCTCTAAAATAGTCTATTTAAAAGTTACTGTAGTTTGTACTAGGCAACTAATAGTTTTTATAAGGAAAATAAATACTTTCAAATACATTTAAGAGAAAATATTTGGCAATTTGTTAATTGAGCTGAATAAAGAGAGAAAAGATTATGGAAAAACACTCCACCTCTGACTTGAACTAGGGGCTAGGGGAAAATGCTATTCATTGACAAGAGGAACATAGAAGTAAAAACACACTTCAAGTAGAGATGATGTGTTAAGCTTTAATATATGATTTCATGGTTCATGAGACATTCGATTGAAGTAGGATGTTTAGCTAGAGCTCAGACACAGTTGAGCTGGAGTTATATAGAGATTGTATAATCTGTAGACAGACACACTTGAAAACTGGGGTGGAGTCAAAATAAACTAAAACAGGGTCCTTAAAATATCAAAATTAAAGAAAATTTTACAAAAATATACAAAGTAGCCAGAAAGGTCAGAGAAAATCCATTTGTCATATACCAGGATTCAGGATAAATTCATAATATGGCATAGTACGGATCAGGGATGAAGGAAAGTAACCTAAGTTGATGGAGAGAAAACGCAAGTTTTCTCTGACCCTCTTGTTGTCTTAAAATATGAGTTTGGCTCCATTGGAAAAAAAAAAAACATATCTTGCTTTTTTTTTTAAGCAAAATAATAAAGCAGGAATGGGTAAGTGGGTTATGCCAGGCTTTTTGACTTGGGATGCTAGCTGTTTACAGAATTTGTCCAGGAATATCAGCTCTCTCTCACCTAGAGACTTTGCGGCCAATGGGAGGCTGAAGTCTCCTCCTAAGAAAGGAAGTGACTGCTCCAATGCAAAGCTGAGTGTGAAGACATTCCCTCCTGTTGCCAAAAAGAAAGCAGCCAATTCTCTATCCTCTGCCCAATTCTGCTGGCCCATTTTCTAGGAAACTCACAGTAACCACCCGAAGACATTTGCAGACAATTCTACTCTTGCACCACAAGATAGGTTCTCAAAAACAAAGGAAAGGGCATGTTAAGAAGGGGGAAGTGGTTAACATTGTTACATGCTGCTAAAGACTGAATTAAGAAAGTACTGAAATGTGTATATTGGATGTAGCCACAGGACCTCTTTAGGGATTCTGGTGAGAATATTTTCAGTTGAATGATGGGGAAAGAAGCTAGACTGCAGTTGTTGGTAAGTATACCATTTCTCTCTTTTTGAAATAATTTCTTCACTTGTCTTCAGATATCACCTTTTATGATTTTACTCCTTCACAGCCTCCTTTTCTGGATACTCACCTTTGCAATCCATGTATTTGGAGTATCTCTGGCGCAATTCTTGAAGCTTCTGTCTATACTCACTTATTTGATTATCCAGTATTAAGGGGCAAAATACCATATATAGATGGCTCCAGCAATGACCCAACAACTATCTCTTTTATATAAATAATAACAATCTCTTTTAACGTAAATAATGAACAATTCAAATTTAATATGTCCAAAAGCAAACTCCTACCTTTTCCACCCACATCTATTCCTCCAGGACTCTTCTCAATCTCAGTTAATGTCAACTTAATCTTCCTAGGCATTAAGACCAAAAATATTGAAACCATCCCTGACTATTTGTTTCATACTCACATCTAATTTAGCAAGGAATCCTGCTGGCTTTTACTTCAAAGTATTTTTACCACTAATGCCCTCCCCAGCCAGCTTAAGTTTCTTACTTTATTTCTTACTCATTTTCAACTTTTGCTTTCTTTAGTCTAGTCACACTGATGACTTCAGTGTTTCTTGAACAAATAAGGGATATTCCCAGTTTACAACTGTTGAAATAACATTTTCTTTTGTCGGGTATCATTCCAGGCAAAGTCACATGACTTGCTTCTTCATCTTATTCACCTGTTTGTTTAGATGTATATTCTTTGTAAGGGCTATCAAAACCACCCTATTTTAAATTACATCCTCCTGCATGGACATTTTTTACTTTATGTACTCAGGTTTAATTTTTCTTTTCTTTTTTTTTATTTTTTGTGTGAGATGGAGTTTTGCTCTTGTTGCCCAGGCTGGAGGGTAATGGCACGATCTCGGCTCACCACAACCTCCACCTCCCAGGTTCAAGTGATTCTCCTGTCTCAGCCTCCCGAGTAGCTGGGATTACAGGCATGCACCACCACACCCGGCTAATTTTTGTACTTTTAGGAGAGTCAGTGTTTCTCCATGTTGGTCAGGCTGGTCTCAAATTCCCAACCTCAGGTGATCCATCCGCCTCGGCCCCCAAAGTGCTGGGATTACAGGCGTGAGCCACCATACCTGGTCTAATTTCTCTTTTCTTCTGTATTCATCAACCTCCCACATGCTATATTATTTATTTATATTATGATCTGGTTGTCCTTACTAAAATGTAAGCTCCATGAGGAAAGGGTTTTTAAGCCAGTTTTGCTCACTGCTGTATCAACAGTACCTAGAAGAATGCCTAGCACATGCTTGTCTTTAAATATATAATTTCTCCATAAATGAATAAAGTCATTACTGTCATACATGATCTCATTAATACTCATAGAAAACTTAGAACATTTTATGTTACATATTATGTAACTGCAGAATTAGTGGTATCTTTTTCTAGACTGGATAAAAGTTTGGATTCATGTAGCAAGTACAGCAGGCAAAAAGTACGCATACAGGTATCTTTATATATATCTATGCTATTTGTAATAATAAAAAATTAAACAGAAGTATCTAAAAATTTCATCAGTAGATGATCTGCTAAATAAGTTTAGTAGCCCAAATACTTTATATAGAAAGCAAATTAAATTTTTGCTTAATATGAACTAAGCATATTATATCACTGTGTAAAAAGAATAGTTGTAACATAAAAAGTATGCTTGCGGGCGTCCGGTGCCATGGAGGAGTACGCTCGGGAGCCTTGCCCATGGCGAATTGTGGATGATTGCTGTGGAGCGTTCACTATGGGTGTCATTGGTGGCGGAGTCTTCCAGGCCATCAAGAGTTTCCGCAATGACCCTGTTGGAATTCGGCACCAGTTGAGAGGTAGTGCCAACACTGTGAGGATCCGAGTTCCCCAGATTAGAGGTAGCTTCGCAGTGTTGGGGGGCCTGTTCTCCACCATCGACTGTGGCCTGGTGCGGCTTTAGGGCAAGGAGGATCCCTGGAAATCTATTACCAGTGGAGCATTGACTGGGGCTGTGCTGGTAGCCTGCAGTGGCCCACTGGCCATGGTGGGCTCAGCGATGATGGGGGGCATCCTGTTGGCCCTCATTGAGGGCGTTGGCATCCTCCTCACTCGCTACACGGCCCAGCAGTTCCAAAATGTGCCCTTGTTGCTGGAGGACCCCAGCCAGCTGCCTCCTAAGGATGGCACCCCGGCCCCAGGCTATCCCAGCTATTAGTACCACTGAGGAAGCCACTGCCACCATGGGAGCTGCTTCTCGGTTTTCTTCCCGATAATCTACCTCGAAGGAAGGGCTAGCTCCTAGTTAGCCCTGGGACCCTCCAGAGAGGGCTTCTACTCTGCTCCCTAGTCCCAGGCTGGGGGTGGGGCACTGCAGCTGCCCTGACAGATGGGTCCCCTTTTTCTCTCTCGGGGCACGCCAGCCCTACATTCCCATGTATCAAGTTCTCACCCCAGCTCCTTTGTGTGGCACTCTGATGTATATTTAAAGCCCATTTTAAATGTCAAAAAAAATATGATCGCATTTGGAAAATACATACAACTCTTTGCACACAATATGTCTATAAGTGTATGGGTGCATGTTTACATGGAAAGGTGACCAAAAATTATGTAAAATTAAGAATATTAAATATTTACCTCTAGAGTTTGACGTCACTGTATTGAAAGGGAACTCTTCTGGCATGTTTGATTGTTTATATTTTACACTAAAAATCTTTCATGTTTTGTAATAAAAAGTAGATAAAGAATATTCGGAATGACATAAAATAAAAGTTAAGTAAGATAAGAAAAGAGATGAGCAGTATTCAAACAGCAAACAAGGAACAATGAGAAAGAAAAATAAATAAAGTGAAACAAGATAAATAAGCCAAAACTATTTGCCAAGATGTAGGTTAAGAAGTTTCTTTTTTCAAATTCAAATCAATCATTTTGAGAGTGACTATTCTACATACAGTTAATGAAATCTTTACATTACTTTATCTCAAATTTGTGTTTTCAACCCTAAGTAAAATTTTATAAATTCTAAATGGAGCTATTTAAGAAATGTTTATATAGTGATTCCTAGTAAATGAAAATTTAAATGTTTGATTTCAGAAAACAGCAAACCTTTGCCAGAATATCAAAGTAAAATGGGCAAAAAAATTAAATTTAATAGAGTCATAAATCCAAGTGAGCTAGGACAAGAGATTTTTTTTCTGTAGCTGCTTGATGCAGACATGTGTCACCGTTATCACCATGTATAACTTTTCCCGCTTGACACACTTTCATGAGAGCTAGTTTGGCAAGAAAGTATGGTTCTAACTGGAGAATTAGTAAGTTTATCTCTCCACCTTAGTCTTTCAATATTCATGGTGGTCATACTACCAAGTAACTGAAGAGTTTCTGATAGAAGTCATAAAACTTTATGGTGGTTAGATAATGTGATAAATTTGCCCCAGGATGAAAATTTCTACCTTACAGTCTCATTAGGTAGAAGAAAGAAAGCCTTTGGGAGGTGTGAAAGGAAAATATCTTGGGTTTCTAAAATCACTAAGCTAAAGGGAAAATTTGAGCTGGAAACTGCTTAGGGAAAGCCTGCCTCCCATTCTGTTCAAAGTCATCCTTCTGCTCACTGAGATAAATGCATATGTGATTGCCTCCTTTGGAAAGGGTAATCAGAAACTCAAAAGAATGCAACAACTTGTCTCTCATTTACCTGTGACCTCGAAGCCCCCTCCCCACTTTGAGTTGTCCCACTTTTGCTTGGAGTTGTCCCACTTTTTCAGACTGAACCAGTGTTCATTTTACATATGTTGATTGATGTCTCATGTCTCCCTGAAATATATAAAACAGAGCTGTGCTGTGACCACCTTGGGTACATGTCATCAGGACCTCCTGAACTGTGTCACTGGTGTATGTCCTCAACCTTGGAAGAATAAACTTTCTAAATTAACTGAGACCTGTCTCAAATTTTCAGAGTTCACAGAGGACAGATGAAAGCAAAGATCAAAATTGTGAAAATCAGAAAAAAAATAAATTATAAAATGTATTAAATTTTTAATTTAGGGTAATTTTTAATGTAATATATCTCCCTTTCCATGGTCCTCATACTAAGAATAATTTTAAACAGTAAAGATTATGTACAAAACAAGTATGAAAAGACTCTGAAGGTAAAGAAAAAATGTAATAAAGCTAAGGACCTCTGGACAAGAGAAACAAGGTGATATTGAGTTGTCTGAGTATTTTTGTTTCTGTTTCATGTATCACAGCCTGAGACCTGAAGAAGATGGAAACCCAGAATGAGCACTGACTGAACAAGAAAAAAGAAAGCTTGCTCTCTAGTCAAAGTACAAGGAAAGGAGAAGCACAGCAAGAAAGAAAACTTTTTGAAAATAACCTCTCTATTCCAGCCAAACAAAACGGAAAATAAGTTGTTGCCCTACTCTCACCCATCCTATTTAAGAACTACTAGACCTAGATATCCCCCCACAAAAGAATCTAACAAGTTGCCTCCAAAATCTCATTGTGGTGGTATCAGAGAGGACTAAATAGGGAGAATGTGGTCTTCTACCCCACCAAGCAATAAGGAAGTTCAGCTTTTCCTCTCAGCTTAAATGGTGTCTTAGGAGGTCTAATGCAAAGTCAGAACTTTTGCCATCACTCAGCTGTACAGAACCTGCACCCACTACGTTGTCATAGAGATCACCTGAGAAACCAATTGCCAACACTAGCCCTGCAGTAAAAAGGAAGGAGCTGCCCATTCCCATCACTCAAATGTCAATAGAGGTCAAGTGAGGAATCCTGAACTTCTACCTCCAAATAGCAGTAATAAGGTGGTGCCCTCTATCCCCTACCAGAGCAGAGAAATATTGTTAAAACAGAAGTTTTAAGTAAAATCCAGAGTTTCATAGCACAATACGAAAATGTCTGAGTTTTAATAGACAATCACTTATCATGCCAAGAACCAGGAAGATGTCAAACTGAATTAAAAAAAACACTCAGTTGTGGCAGTGGGCTGAGATCGTGCTGGTGCACTCCAGCCTGGACAACAGAGTGAGACACCATCTCAAAAAACAAACAAACAAACAAACAAAAAAAACCACTCGATGGCAAGTTGACAGCAATATAATGAAAATAATTGTGTAACATCACTGATATTTTTTGGCTGTGTCCCCACCCAAATCTCATCTTGAATTGTAACTCCCTCAATTTCCATGTGTTGTGGGAGGAACCCAGTGGGAGGTAATTGAATCATGGGGACGGGTCTTTCCTGTGCTGTTCTCATGATAGTGAATAAGTCTCATAAGATGTGACAGTTTTAAAAATGGGAGTTTCCCTGCACAGGTTCTCCCTCTTGCCACTGCCATGTAAGAAGTGGCTTTTGCCTTCCTCCATGATGGTGAGACCTCCCCAGCCACATGGAACTGAAAGTCCATTAAACTTCTTTCATTTTTAAACTGCCCAGTCTCAGGTATGTCTTTATCAGTAGTGTGAAAACAGACTAATACAGTAAATTGATATGAGTAGAGTGGGGCGCTGCTGAAAAGATACCCAAAAATGTGGAAGCGACTATGGAACTGGGTAACAGGCAGAGGTTGGAACAGTTTGGAGAGCTCAGAAGAAGACAGAAAAACGTGGAAAAGTTTGGAACTCCTAGAGATTTGTTGAATGTCTTTGACCAAAATGCTGATAATAATATGGACAATGAAATCCAGGCTGAGGTGGTCTCAGATAGAGATGAGAAACTTGTTGGGAACTGAAGCAAAGGTAACTCTTTTTATGTTTTAGCAAAGAGATTGACAGCAATTTTCCCCTGTACTAGAGATTTGTGGAACTTGAGAGAGATGATTTCCAGTATTAGGCGGAAAAATTTCTAAGCAGCAAAGCATTGGGAACTGGAGTAAAGGTGACACTTGTTATGTTTAGCAAAGAGACTGATGGCAATTTTGCCCTGCTCTAAAGATTTGTGAAACTTTGAACTTGAGAGAGATGATTTAGGGTATCTAGCAGAAGAAATTTCTAAGCAGCAAAGCATTCAAGAGGTGACTTGGATGCTGTTAAAGGCATTCAGTTTTATATGGGAAGCAGGGCATAAAAGTTCAGAAAATTTGCAGCCTGAAAAGGTGAAATAAAAGAAAATTCTATTTTCTGATGAGAAATTCAAGCAGGTTGCATAAATTTGCATAAGTAATAAGCCAAATGTGAATTCCCAAGACAATGGGGAATGTGTCTCCAGGGCGTGTCAGAGATCTTCATGGCAGCCCCCAATCACAGCCCTGAAGGCCTAGGAGGAAAATATGGTTTTGTGGGCAGAGCCCAGGGTGCCCATACTGTGTGCAATCTAGGGACTTGGTGCCCTGCAACCCAGCCACTCCAGCTGTGACTAAAAAGGGCCAAGGTACAGTTCAGGCCTTGGCTTCAGAGGGTGTAAGCCCCAAGCCTTGGCAGCTCCACTTGGTATTGAGCCTGTGGGTGCACAGAAGTTAAGAACTGAGGTTTGGGAGCCTCTGCTTAGATTTCAGAGGATGTATGAAAATGCCTGGATGTCCAGGCAGAAGTTTGCTATAGGGTGGAGCCCTGTTGAAGAACATCTGCTAGGGCAGTGAGGAAGGGAAATGTGGGGTTGGAGCTCCCCCACAGGGTCCCTACTGGGACACCATCTAGTGATGCTGTTAAAAAAGGGCCACCATCCTCCAGACCCCAGAATGGTAGATCCACCAACAGACAGCTTACACTGTGCATCTGGAAAAGCTGCAGACACTCAACACCAGTCCTGAAAGCTGCCAGGAGAGGGGCTATTCCCTGTAAAACCACAGGGGAGGAGCTTCCTAAGAATGTGGGGACCCACCTCTTGATCAGCATGACCTGGATGTGATACATGGAGTCAAAGGAGATTATTTTGGAGCTTTAAGATTTGACTGCCCCACTGGATTTAGGACTTGCATGGTACCTGTAGTCCCTTTGTTTTGGCCAATTCCTCCCATTTGGAATGGCTGTATTAACCCAAGGCCTGTACCCCCATTGTATCTAGGAAGTAACTAACTTGCTTGTGATTTTACAGGCTCTTAGGCAGAAGGGACTTGCCTTGCCTCAGATGGGGGTTTGGCTGTGGACTTTAGAGTTAATGCTAAAATGAGTTAAGACTTTGTGGGACTGTTGGGAAGGCATGATTTGTTTCGAAATGTGAGGACATGAGATTTGAAAGGGTCCAGGATGGAATGATATGTTTTGGCTGTGTCCCCACTCAAATCTTACCTTGAATTGTAACTCCCACAATTCTCATGTGTAATGGGAAGAACCCAGTGGGAGGTAATTGAATCATGGGCTGGGTCTTTATCATGCTGTTCTCTTGATAGTGAATAAGTCTCATGAGATCTGATGGTTTTAAAAATGGGAGTTTCCCTGCACAAGTTCTCTTTCTTGCTGCCACCATGGAAGAAGTGCCTTTAGCCTTCCTCTATGATGGTGAGGCCTCCCCATCCAGGTTAAACGGTAAGTCCATTAAAACTCTTTCTTTTGTAAATTGCCCAGTCTTAGATATGTCTTTATCAGCAATGTGAAAATGGACTAATACAATGACCAACTTGGCTTTATTCCAGGATGCAAGACTAGTTCAATATTCAAAAATCAATCAATGAAATTCACCATATAATCAGTTTGAAAAAGAAAGATCACAGGATCATACAAATGAAAGCCAAAAAAAATTTTAAAAAAATCAATTAAGGAGAAAATAAAATAAATTATAGCAAACTAGGAATAGAGGAGAACTTCCTCTACTTTATAAAAAGTATCTACAAAAATACTTCAGCTAACATTATGCTTAATGGTAAAAGCCTGAATGCTCTTCCTCTAAGATTGGGAACAAAGAAAGGATGTCTGCTTTCACCATTGTTATTTTAACATAATGCTGAAAGTTTTAGCCTGTGCTGCAAGACAAGAAAAAGAATTAAAGGGTTTACAGATTAGAAAGGCAGAAATAAAACTGTGTCTATTTTCGGGTGACATAATTGTATGTAGACAATTTAAAACAATCTACCAGTAAAACTTCTAGAACTAATAAGTAAGCTCAGCCAAGGTCAGAGGAAATAAGAAGGATAAATTTAATAATATTTTTATATCCTACCAATAAACACAAAAACATTAAAAATTCAGTGCCATTAAAATCACTCAAGAAATGAAACAGGTGTAAAGATAATAAAATATACAGGACATGTATTCTGAAAACTACATAATTATAATGAAGAAATCAAAGACCTATATACTTTGAGTGACATATCATTTACATGAATAAGAATATTCAATATTAGTAAATATGTCAGTTATCCTCAAATTGATATAAAGGTTTAATTCAAATTTTGCCAAAATTGCAGCAAGAATTTTTTTGTCAAGATAGACAAGATTATTCTAAAATTTATATGGAAAGTCAAAAGGACTAGAACAGCTAAAACAATTTTGAAAAGGAAGAATATATTGGGAGAAATTAGTCTACACTATTTTTAAACACACATCTATAGTACTCAAGACTGTGTGGTATTGGCAGAAGTACATGCACATAAATAACAGGACAGAATAATGAAACCAGAAATAGACTCACACAGATATGTCCAACTGACTTTTGACAAAAGTTCAAAACAATTGAATGAAGAAATATAATTGTTCAATGAATGATGCTGGAGTTAGTGGACATCCATTGGGAAAAGTAAAAAGGTTCCTTGACCTAAACTTTATGTTTTATGAAAAATTTAACTAAAAATAGATCAGAGGCTAAGCCATAAATTATAAAATGATAACGCTTTTAGAAATAAACACAGGAAAAATATTTCAGGATATAGTGCTAGACAAATAATTTTTAGAATTGACAACAAAATTATGACTTATAAAAAGGAAAATGATTAATTAAATAATTAAGTTAGACTTTATCAAAATTAAAACTTCTGTGGTCCCATACAAATTTTAGGATTGCTTTTTCTGTTTCTGTAAAAATGTCATTGGAATTTTGATAGGAATTTCATTGAATCTATAGATTTTTTTGGGTTGTATTGACATTTTCATAATATTAATTCTTCCAATCCATGGACATGATATCTTTCAACTTATTTCTGTGTAATTTTTTTCATCAATGTTTTATAGTTTTCAACATACATATTTTTTACTTAAATTTATTATTATTTTCTTTTTTCTTTTTTTTTACATATTGTTAATGGAATTATTTTCTTAATTTTTTTGAATAGCTAATTATTATTGTATAGAACACCGCTCATTTATGCATGTTGATTTTGTATTCTGCAACTTTACTAGATTAATTTATTAGGTCTAAAAATTTTTTTGATAAAGTCTTTAACATTTTCTACCTATAAAAATCATGCCATCTGCAAACAGAGACAACTTAACTTCTTCTTTTCCAATCTGGATGCCTTTATATATTTCTCTTGCCTAAGAACCCCAATAGCCAAAGCAAACTTGAGCAAAATGAACAAAGCTGGAGCCATTTACACTACGTGATTTAAAAATACAAAGCTATAGCATTTACAAAGAATAATACTGTCATGAAACAGACATCAGAAAATGGAACAGAATAAAGATCACAGAAATGAAGCTATGCATTTATGGTCAATTGATTGTCAACAAAGGTGCCAAGAACACACACAGGGGAATGAAAAATATCGTTAATAAATGGTTTTGGAAAAACCAAAGTAAAATAATTAAAGTGGATCTCTATCTCACACCATCGACAAAAATAACTCAAAATAGATAAAAGGCTAAATGTAAGACCCAAATCTATAAAACTACTAGAAGAAAACATAACAGAAATGCCAATTAAAATCAAAATGAGGTATCACCTCACCTGTTAGAATGGTTATAATCAAAAGGATGAAAGATATCAAGCGTTGGGCAGAATGTGAAAGAAAGGGAACCCTTGTACATTGTTGGTGAGAATCTAAGTTAGTACAGTAATTATGAAAAACAATATGAAGTTTCCTCAAAAAATTAAAAACAGAACTACCATATGATTCAAGATTTAATAATCCTACTACTGAGGAAATATCCAAAGCAAATGAAATAAATATTTTGAAGTGATAGCCGTACTCCCATGTTTATTGCATCATTATTACCAATGGCCAAGATATAAAATCATTTTAAGTATCCATCAAAGGATGAGTGGATAAATAAAATGTGGTATATATACACAATGTAATACTATTCATCCTTTAAAAGAAGGAAATCCTGTCATTTCAAACAATGTGGAAGAACCTGGAGGACATACATTAAGTGAAAAAAGCCAGGCACAGAAAACCACATACTGCATGGACTCCATTATGTGTTGAACCTAATAAAGTTGAACTCATAGAAGCAAAGAATGTAAAGGTGATTACCAGAAGCTGGGGGTTGGAGAGATCGGGCGGATGTCTGTGAAAAGATATAAAATGTCAGGTAAATAGGAAGAATAAATTAAATTGATCTATTATACATCATGGTGACTATAGTTAATAGTATATTGTATATTTGAAAGTCACTGAGAGTTGACTTTAAGTTTTCTAACCCCACACCAAAAAAGGATAAATGTGCAAGGTAATCCATACGTTAATTAGCTTGATTTAACTATTCCACAAAGTATACATACATCAGAACATCTGTAGTGTACCTTAAATATATAAAGTTTTGTCAATTAAAAATACGTAAATTCATAAGTAAAATTAAAATACCCTACAGAGAGGATACAATTGCAAGCTACAGACTGGGAGAAAATAGTTGCAAAGCACATATGTGACAAAAGACTAATATTTTTATGTGAGGAGCTCTCAAAACTAAATGATAACCAAAAAGTCTAAGAAGAAAATGGGCAAAAACCTGAAGAACCATTTCATTGTAAAGAATGTAAGAATAAAAAATGAGCACATGAAACTATATACAACATTATAGCTATGAGGTAATTGCAGATTTAAACCCCAGTGAAATATCACTACACATCTATTAGAATGACAAAGATAAAAAATAGTGATACTACCTGTTCCAGGGAAGGACCATATATACAAAGCAAACCACAGAGCAGAAGGCACTGAGAAGCCAAAGTGTGAAGCAAACAAATCTAGTTTGCTAGTAAAGGATGTTTAATTGGGGTTTACAGAGAGAAGTGTGGTCTTGGTTTAATTGGTGGAATTTACACAGAGAAGTGTGGCCACTCGGGACTGATATACCATGGGGAAAGGTTGTACATGCTCTATAGAAACAATTAAAAGCAGTTCTCCAAAAAAAAATGCTAGATGTGTTATAGCCCTTATGTGTGATAAAATCAAGATTGAACGTGTTCTTACACTAAGAATAAAGTAGGAATCAGGAGGCATTCAAGGAACTGGGGCTAACAATAAGTAAACATGACGGATTAACATCCAAGATGGAGTCACTTTTGTCTTCACGCTCTACCTCTCTAATCCTGGTCTTACAATCTCATGTACTCACCTCTTCTGGGATAGTCCCTGAGTCTCCGTGGGGTGGGGGTGGGGGATGCTGCAGTTATTTTGATGGTGTGGGTGACGCTTTGCATCAATTCATTTTCTACTTGTGATGTACTTTAACATCACGTCCTCAGGATCTAAACCTACAGACATAAACAGAGAAGCAAGAGGAACAGAAGGCAATAGGCAGAAATAGAAGTGTTTAGGCAAGGCACTTCTTCCCGATCAAGCAGCATGACAGTGGTATCTTCATCTCTGTTGGTGAGGACATAGGATTATGGGCTAGGGTTGCATATCAAACATGTTACTCAAGGGGCTAGGGTGCTGGTAATATCTGTAAGATTACATGGGCAGCAAAGGACCATGTCAAGTGGCCAACCAGAGTGCCCTTAAAAGGGGGCTGTATTCCAGTGTATTGGTATGTGGAGCATTTTGGCTCAGACTCAAACAGGACCAATGGATGCCACTTTAGTTGGCCATGGAATTCCTTGATCTCTGGCAAGAAATACTCTGTCCAACTTGGGGGAAGTTGGCAGTTCCACACCCATGCAAGTATCCCCTCCCCTGGCTCAAGGACTTGGGGAGTCCCAAATAACATTTACCATTGTTCTTTTATCAGCTCCAGTAGGAATGTATCTGTTAAGATCTTCTTTACAACTATGGATAATAGTCCTTCCTCTGTGGTGGTCCTGAGTCCTTAATATGGTGCCAACCCCATATTAGTCTCAACTGAATTAGAGTTCTTAATGGCTTGAGGCATAAACTTCACCAATTTATGAAAGATATAGGATTGTGAAAGTGCTAGCAGTTTTGTATTCAAAATGACATTTTTCCTTTCAATCAACTCTTCCAGTTGGGGATTATATGGCAAATGAAATCTCCAGTCTATAACATTTTCATATGTCTAATCTTGGACATCCTGTCCAGTGAAATGTGTGCCTGGGTTGCTATCAATGCATCAAGAACATCCATACATGACACTTAATTCCTCCAAGCTCTAACGGTGGCTGTTTGTTGTGTGGCAAAGAAAGGCCTGCAACAATCCTGTGGAAGTATCTACACATATTAACGCACACTTCTCTACCAAGCCTACTAAGAGGGATTGAAAAGAGTCTATCTGCCAGTCTCTTATAGGGACAACTGTTTTATGTATGTGTCTTGTATAGGTAGAATGTAGCAGGGGCACAAACGAGAACGAACTAAGCACTTTGCTACAGCTGCCACAAAATCTGCATAGCAGAGGTACAATCCTGCTGGCTTTGTTATTTGCTAGTCCACTTCTGCACTGCAATGTCTACTATGTTTATGTTCCCAATAAGCTACCTGCAAGGATTAAGAGATAGCCAGTGTTATCGTTTTTGCTGGAGTGTCAGCCTCCATGTTACCAGAACGTGAACCTGACTGGTCTGCTGAAGTATGATACACAGCTAGGCTTGCAGTGGGTTCTTGTAGCCCTTCTCAAATGTCTTTTCATGTAGCAGCTCTTCATAAGGGTTTTTAAAGCACATACAAATCATCTCTGGCTCACTGAGCAAGACAAGTTGCAAGATGCTTAAATACTGCTCAACTATTTGTACAGAGAACTGTAGGCCATAGCTCATAGGTACAAACTAACCATGCAGCTCAGAGTTCTACCCATTAAGTGCTTTGTTGCATTCCCATCTCAAACCAGATATTATCTGTCTGCCATTGTATAGCTGCTGTTGTTCATACATGAGAGTTATCTCGGCTCGCCCCATCTGCGTACCAGGTGTTTTCAGAAAGTGTGGCTGTGCCTTCATGTATCACTGGAGGGATCTCCAGTGGGGACTCAACAATAGGAGCAGCCTTGTGTTTTTTGTCGGTCGGTGGCTTATCTTTTGAAATGCAGAAGGGTGCACAATGCATCAAGTTGTTGCTGTAGCAATGACAAATCTTCAGAGGTTAGCATAGTATCATCAGTATAATGCCTCTAAGTTGGGGTGTAAAGGGATGCTGTAAAAGGTGTCAGCCAAATTTAATACAGCATAAGTGCCAGTATTTTGTATCATTTATTCTATCACTAGAGATACATTAGGCAGAGCAGTGTGTATCTTGGAAACTACTTTATTTAGTTCTGAGTAGTCTACTGTCATATGCCAGGTGGCATCAGGTTTTCTTACTGGCCATACAGATCTATTAAAGGAGCTCTGGGCAGGACAAGTAATATTAACTTTAGCCAGTTCCTGTATGGTGGGGAGGGTGCAAAGAAACTGGATTACTCATATATTGCTGACTGGAATGTAAAATGGTACAGCCACACTGAAAAGAGTTTGACTGTTTCCTACTAAACTAAACAAACAACTACTACACAACCCAGAAATTACATTTCTAGACATTTATCCTGGAGAATTAAAGACTTATGTTTCCATAAAACCCTATATATAAAATGTTATAGTATCTTTATTTATAATAACCAAAAACTGAAAACAACTCAAATGTCCTTCAACAGATGAATAGTTACTGTGGTACATCTATACCACAGAATAGTACTCACTAAAAAGGAACAAATCATTAATACATGCAACAACCTGGATGAGTTTCCAGAGGATGTTTCTAAGTGGAAAAAAATAAAAAGCTCCAAAGTCACATACTGTTTGATTCCATTTATATTATATTAAATAAATTCCATTTATATTATCTTAAAATGATAGAAATTGAAAATGAGGAATAGTTGTCAGAGGTGAAAAAAGAGGGTGTGGCTTTGAGGGAATTGGGGGTGGCTATTAAGTGGCAACATGAAGGATCATTATGCTTATGGGAATGTTCTTGTATCTTGACTGTATCAATGTCAATATACTGGTTATGATATTATATTATAGCTTTACAAGATGTTACCATGGGAGAAATTGGAAAAAAGTACATAGGGTTTCTCCATATTTTTTATTGTAAATGCTCATGAATTGATAATTATTTCCATTAAAAATTACTTTAAAATATCACCATGGATTGACAGATAATAATATCAACATGTTTGTTGCATGTGGAAGCTCTCTGTTCACACATATATATGTGTACATATATATATGTATATATGTATATATATGTATATATACATATATACACACACACACACACACACACACACACACATATAAAGGATGGATCTGCAAGATATTTATGAATACCTGTGAACAGTTTTGATTTATTGGATTGCGGATGTTCTATAATAAAATTTTAAATACATTGAATACATTTGAATGGAAAATTAAATTTATGCTAAAATGGCCACATTTTATAAGATGTCATAAAAATCCAATTTCGTTTTGTTTTACTTTAGCTAATCAGTTACTTTTAAGTAAGAAAAAATGAAAAATCTAAAAGAATGCTATGTGGTTACAAGGCATGGCATTTAGTGCAATTTGTGTCAAAAAGTGTAAGTGGAAGTCAAAAACTTCAAATTTAAATAATGAAACACAAAATGCATGTTCTAGGTTGTCAACTGACAACTTTTCAGGTAGTTGACATGTGCACTGTAGGTGTAAAATCATATTTTATTTTTAGACCATTGCAGGCTGCTTACTGATTAGAAGTTGAGAATCATTTATCTTTTATTACTTTAAACAACTTTCTATTTGTGGGCCAGGCCAAAGTAACCTAGATAAAAGAAGGCTCAAGCTAATAGTTAGAAAAAACGTAAGAAAAGAAAGAAAAACTTTCTCATGCTGTATAAAGACCTTCACTCTAATGGATATCTACTAGGTATTAAAAATGTATAGTACTTATATTGGATAGATATCGGATCAGTACCTTTTATTATTATCATTATTTTAAGATGTAAGGGTTTTGTGATGCTAGATAGGCAATATTAAATGGGAATTGTCCTGGAACACTATCAACAAAGTGAAGAAGCAAGAGGAAAAGGTAATTTTCTGGCTTCTGATTTTTGTTTCCCAGAGGTTGCCCTAGTAGATAGCTTTGTTTGGCGTAAGTTGATTTAAAAAAAAATCAGCAAAAACACTTATCTTCTTATGTTCTTCTTTGGCCCAAACACACACACATACACACACACACACACACACACACACACACACACACACATATAATGCACATTTTTAAGGGTATCTTTAACTTTCGCATTGGTAAACTCAGTAAATAATGGTATATATGAATGTATTTAAATGAATTGTATATTAAATAATATATGATGCAATGTAAAATGCAAAAACACATTTTTGATAACTGAAGAAAATATTTCTTTGCAAATGATTATGTTGAAACCTCTAGATTCTGTTAAAAACTTTAACAATACTATGAAATTACATAGGACTTTTTTTTAATGGACCAAAATTGCAGGATATTTAAGTGGGGTTTGAGAGCTGTAGAAGAAATCCCACTCAAAAAACATCCCAAGATTTATGAAATGTAAATATGTAGTTGATCCTAGCTAAGTAGTGAGTGATTATTTAGAAAAAAAAAGATACATTAGAAAAACATGAAAGTGATCAGCTATATCAAATTCTCAGTGAATTTTGATTAAATTTTTTTTAAAAAAGAACTTGAAAAGAAAAAGCAAAGTGAAGAATCAAAAAGAGAAAAAAGTTTTGCTCCATCTAAGGAACCACTATATGAATTTTATAGCAGCTCTTAATAGAATACTAAAGGATTTCTATTTGGAAGTTCACAAACATTCCACATGAATCCCCCAGTGACTGAATTTATAGTTCTCTGGTTTTTGAATTTGGCTTGAATTGTGCTTTCTGCTAGCTAGGTTAGTGCTGCATTAAATTCTAGCTTAAAAAATCTTTTCTATTACACATTGTTCATATAAAATACATATTTTATTTTTAAATGTTACTATATGTTTTCAGATAAAATATTTATAATGCATTTGAGAATTGTTGCCATTTTAATTCAAAATGCTTTCAAGTATTGAATGTACATAAATGAAATTATTTTTGTGACTTCTGTCAATAAGTCTGCCATTTGTGTCTGGGGATAGAATTTATTTCCAAATGATAGTTTTTTGTTGCTGTTGTGGCTGTTGCTTCATAGTCATTATTGTTGTTTTGCAACTCATTCCCCCACCATTTTTATTTTTTTGTTGTCACAGATGGATATTTCTATATACTGTATGCCTTGCTAAATTCACTACTGAGTGCCACATAGATTAGGTCACCAGGATTGGACATTGTTTTAGTCCATTCAGGCTGCCATAACAAAATACCATAGACTGGTGGCTTATGAACAACAAAAATGTATCTATCACAGCTCTGGAGACTGGGAAGTCCAAGACAAAGGTACCAACAGATTAGATGTCTGCTAAAGACTTATTTCCTCATAGACAGCTGGCCTCATCATAACCTCACAGGGAGAATGGGCGAGGGAGCTTTCTCTGACTGCTTTTATAGGAGCACTAATCCCATTCACAAGGACTCTTCCCTAGACCTAATCATGTCCCAAATGCCCCACTTCCTAATATATCAATTTAAGGATTAGCATTTCAGCATATGAATCTTATGGGGACACAAACATTCGTATCACAGCCTTATCCCAAAGAAAATTATCAAAGTCAAGCTCCTTATATATTAAAAGGAAAAAAATCTGGACTATTCCTTAAAAGAAGAATGAACTGTTACCTGATTTACGTCCTGGCTAGTAATGAAAATCAAATCTATAATTATTTTGGAAATGTTTTACCTGTATTCACTTCATAAATTTACACTTCCTATCTCTTTTTACCCATGTTTTATACTAATGTCTTCTGAAATAAAACAATATTACATCAATAAGCAGAAAGCCATTTATGAGGTCTAGAGTTTTCACTGCATAAATATTGTTCATTGATTTTCTTTATCAAAAAAGTATCAATAGTGGCAGGAGGCAGACAAATTGCTGGTCAGATAAGGACTGGTCCCTGGTGAACCCCAACCTTCAAGCCAAAGGCAGCCTGAAGCCTGAAAACCAGGCTGCCAGTTCTTGGTAGAATTCATGAACCAGAGTGAGAACTTGATGCCTTTCAGCCAATCAAATGGTGTTTTGTCCAGGCCCACTAATGAACCAATCAGCACACACTTCCTTCATTCTGGGTCCATAGAAAAACCAGGACTCAACCACATGTCAGGACTACCTGCCTGTGGGGAGGAGCTACTCACTTTGGGTCTTCTCTCTGCAGAAAGCTGTTCTGCCACTCAATAAAACTCTTCACCTTGCTCACTCTCCAGTTGTCCACATAACCTCATTCTTCCTGGACATGGGACAAGAACTCAGGACCCACTGAACAGTGGGCATGAAAAGGGCTGTAACATTTTCCTGGCCAGCTCACCAAGCTGTGGGCAGAAACAAAAGGGGCTGTAACATGTTCCTGGCCAGCTTGCCAATCTGCAAGCAGTGACATGCTTCCATTCATTGGATTGCAGAAGTGAAGAACAACCACCCTTTTGAGGTCCTGGACCTTGGTATTCTCCAAGCCAGAGCTGTAACTCTATAGCCCTCCCATCCTCTGCTGGCATCAGGCAGCTTCCCCGCATGATGGGAAGCAGTAGCAAAGCCAAGCCAGCCAGGAGCTATGGGCCAGAGCAAGGCAGCTGGACTGAATGAGATGAAACACACCCCTCCCTACTGCTCACTGAACTACCGGTGGTGGGAACAAGATAGCCGTAGTATGCCTACCCGCCGCCCCGCCCCCACTTCTTGGGGATCTGTGGTTGCTGGTGTCTCCCAGTTTTCAGGCACCACCGCGTTCAGCTTATCCAGACACTGACTCCCACAGTGGAAGCCACTACCAGTACCCTTGGTCCAGCTGCAGACTCGCATAGAGCCGGTGCCTGTGCCAGCACCTGGAGCTGCCCACCCCGCCACAGCAGGTGGTGTGCTTGGCTGTGCCTAGTGGCCGGACCTCATGCTCACTTGTTCATACACCCGTTGTTGCTCTGCACCAGGATCGCCGTTGGTGGGTGTGGGATCTGAGCACAGCCTGCCAGGTCAAGTGGGCAGAACGAGCCCAGCAGGCATGAACAAAACTCAAGCAGAGGTGCTGCTGGCCACAGAGGTTTCCAGCTGGAGAAGAGACACCCAAAGAATCTTGTGAGAGTATGATCTTTCTAAAAACACATGCAGGAAGGTTAAGATATAGAAATAAAAAGATATATCAGGAGGCTCCTAGTAATGAAGGATGCCAAACGTAGTAACAGTGAAGCTGTAGAAAAGTGGATTAATTTCAGAAATAGTTAAGAAATGTTCGTAGGACTTGACGTTTACTTAGATATGTGGTCTAAGTGAAGAAGGCTTAGAATTTTCCTTTTTCTACTTTTTCATTAATCACTTTTAATTTATACTTGCTACATAATAATTATAGATGTTTATGGGGTACGGTGTGATGTTTCAATGCATGTATACATTGTAAAATGATTAAAACAGGGTAATTATCATATCCACTACTTTAAACATTTATTATTTCTTTGTAGTAGTGATATTTCATTGTTTTTTCTTCTAGCTATTTTGAAATATACACTACATTGTTATTTGCTGTAGACACCCTACAGGAACGTATTCTTTCTGCCTAACTGCAACTTTGTACCCGTTGACCAACTTCTGTTCCCTAGTCCCCACTACCATCCTCAACCTCTTGTAACCATTATTTTACTCCCTACTCCATGAAATCAACTTTTTTAGATTCTACATATGAATGAGATCATGTAGTTTTAGTCTTTCTTTCCCTCGCTTATTTCATTTAACATAACATCCTCCAGGTTCATCCATGTTGTCACAAACGACGGAATGTCATTCTGTTTAATGGCTGAATTGTATTCATATATATATATATATTTAATTCATTAATCTGGAGATGTAAATTTAGATCAATTTTATATCTTGGCTATTATGAATAGCACTGAAATAAACATGAGAGTGCAGATATCTAAAAAGACATAGTTTTCTGACCTAAGAAATATAACGATAATGTTGCTATTTATTGCCATTAAACCATAAAATACAAACAAACAAAATAATCATGAAGACAAATGAGAGGATGTTTTTCTCATCTTTCAAGCTGGAATCCAAAACTTTCCAGTTAACTGTGGGTGTAACCAGATTCATTACATGAACCACAACAGCTAAGCATATCTGTTTTAGGCTCTGGTCAGAGCAGCGTTAGAAATGTCATCCACGGTTCTCACCATCACAGAGGAAAATAAGTGCTGCTAAGTGATGTCTCTGGAGACAACTCAGAAGAGCTGCCTGCCCCTCTGCCCTCGTGATACTTATCAGTTGAGACAATAGTACCTTGCCTTACTTCTGACCAAATAAACCTTTGATTCCTTTCCTGGTGACCATTGAGGCACAAGACACTTAAGGAGCCATTTGACACACACATATAAAAACTCAGAAATGCAAGACTGTAGATTCTTCAGAAACAAACTTTGACCATCTGAAAACAAAATTAAGTAGATAAATTGTTATCTTCTCCAATTTTATTTTAAAAATGCAATGTAATTGTAGTCTCTTTGAAGACATAGTGAGACCAAGAATTCAGTTTTTCATAAAGCTGTGAAAGATATCATAACTGAATACCTTCTGATAGCCCTTTATTCTTTCCAGATCATTCTTATTTCCCCACATTCCTGCTTCCCTGTGATTGACACTTGATATGCAGCCAGTGGTGCAGCAAACTTATTATTTAAAATATTCATCAATTAGAGTGATGAAATGCATTACAATTTTGAATGCCAAAGATAGCAGTAAACATTCACGTTTTACCCAAGGGCTATATTAACTCTCTTGCTCTCTGTCAAAATGTGGTCCACAGAGACCATTGATTATTTTAAATTCCACAGGATATCATGCTGGCTCACTATATTTATGACATTATGCTAATTGTATCTGATAAACAAGACATGAAACATATCTTACATGCCCTAGTGAAATAGATGTGCCAGAAGGTGAAAGATACAGTAAGATTAACAGAAGTAGACCATGATGACATTATAGTCCTGCTCAAGAGTGCTATGAGAGTTTGCTTGTGAAGAGAAATTCACACAGTAGAACAAGCTATGAGTAGAACTTTTGGTCTTTTATTTAATTTGGAGGGAGAGGTGACCAGAGATAATCAGTATATATCTGGGCTGTGGTGAATGGCTGTACTGGTTAAGGTAGTCCTGAAAGAAAGGGAATCTAAGAAAATGGAACATGGAAAGACATATATAATTTTGAAAAATGGCGTGGGGACATATGGGGAGATTCTGATGAAGCTATGGACCTTGAACACTTAAATTTCACCAAATCTTCTTTGCTATTAAAAGCCATCATCCTGCCCCTCCCTAAATATTTTAATCCTTCCTTACTGAATTAAATTATAATGATCTTCCTTGAAATATGTGACTTGCAATGCACTGTTGATGTAGCTCAGCATCTACCCCACATCTCCTTGCTTTTCAAACAGAAGTTGCCAAGTTTATTTTTAATGTAATTATTTATTTTAGAGTAGTTTAAGATCTACAGAAAAAAATGTGAAGATAGTACAGAGAGTTCCCATATACCCAGTATACAGTTTGCCCTATTAATAACATATTACATAAGTCATAATTAATAAAACTGTATTGAGCCATGATTATTTAGTAAAGTTCACACTTTACTTAGATTTTCTTAATTTTTATCTAATTTCTTTTTTTGGTTCAAAGACCCATTCATAATACCACACTGCATTTAGGTGTCATGTCTACTAATTCTCTGCTTGACTGGAACAGTTTCTCAGACATTTTTTGTTTTTTGCAATGTTGAAAATTTTCAGTATTGGCCAGGTATTTTGTAGACTGCTCCTTAATTGTGATTGGTGTTCTGTTTTTCTTATGATTAGACTGAGATTGAGGTTGTGAATTTTGGAGAGGAATACCATACAGTGGTAAAGTGCCATTCTCATTCTCATCTCATTTTATCAACATTACATCTTGCATGTGCGTATGTGTGCGTGTATACTTGTTATTTAAAATATTCATCAATTTAAGTGATGAAATGCATCACAATTTTGAATGCCAAAGATAGCAGTAAACATTCACATTTTACCCCAGGGCCAAATTAACTGTCTTGCTCTCTGTCAAAATGTGGTCCATGAAGAACACACACACACACACACACACACACACACACACACCCTATCAGAATATATATGTGTATATACACACACACACACACACACACATATGTGTGTGTGTATATATATGTATATATACAGTATATATATTCAGTAAATTTTCAGTTAAAAACTAATACCATTTCATTCATTGTTTGCTCAAATTTTTCCAATGTTGGCTATTGGCAGCTCTTTCCATTGGCTCCTGAAATACCCAAATCATTGTGATTTTATTTTCTCAGCATTTCTTTATTTTCTGGCACTATAGGGTGTTCCAGGCTCCATTAAATATGTTGTTACCTGTGGATTTTTCATAGATGCCCTTTATCAGGTTGAGAACCTTGCACTCTATTCTTAGTTTGTTGAATGTTTTGCTTTTGAAAGGGTGTTTGGTTATTTCAAATGCATTTATTGTATCTCTTGAGATAATTGTGGATTTTTACTGTTTACTAATAAGGCATATTACCTTACTTGATTTTTAGATGTTAACTCAACATTGCATCTCTGGAGTCAGTCCCACTTATCTGTCATGTATGATTGTTTTGACATGTATTTTGCTGAAGATTTTTGCATCTATAATCATAAAAACATTATTTTGTAGTTTTCTTGTGATTTCTTTGTCTGGTTTTAGCCTCAGAATAATACTGCCTTCATAAAATAAAATAAATTGGGAAATTTTTCTCTCCTTTTCTACTTTTTGGGGCTACTATGTAAAGCATTGTTATCAATCATTTGAATGTTTGATAGAATTTGCCAGTGTAGCCATCTGGACATGGACTTTTTCTTTGTGGGTAGTTTTTTGATTATTGATTCTGTTTTGTCACCTGTTATGGGTCTATTAGAGTTGTCTATTTCTTCTGTAGTCAGTTTCAGTAGTTTGTAACTTTAAATCTAGAATTTTTTTTCTATTCTAAGTTATCTAATTTTTGGCATATAAATTTTCATAATATTTATTTACTTTTTAATTTGGCAGAGTTAATAAGGTTATTTTATATTTAATTTCTGATTCTAGTGACTTGACTCTTCTCTCATTTGTCTTGGTTAAAGTAGCTAAAGATATTTTATTTTTTTGTTTTTTTCTTTTCAAATAACCATCTTTTGGCGTCACTGATTTTCTCATTTGTGTTTCTATTGTCTATTTCTTTAATTTACTCTAATGTTTATTATTTTTTCCTTCTGGTTGTTTTAGGTTTAGTTTCCTCTTATTTCATCCAAAAATGGGGGATTAGGTTAATGATTTGAGATTTTTCTTATTTCAAAATATAGATATTGACAGCTATAAATTTCTGTCTCAGCAATTTTTAGCTGCATTCTGTAAGTTTGATATGTTGTGTCTTCATTTTTATTATTTTCCAATTTCACTTTAGATTTCTTCTCTGACCCGTTGGTTACTTATGGGGTATTGTTTAATTTCCACAGATCTTGGTTAACAATAATTTATTGTATATTTCAAAATAACTGAAAGAGTGGAATTGGAATGTTCCTAACACACACAAAATAGATAATACTTGATGTGATGGATACCCCAGTTATCCTGATTTGTTTGTTACAAATTGTATGCTGCTATTAAAATATCATACTTACTTCATAAATATATAAAATTCACATATCTTCACTTCTCCTTTTTTTCCTATTATTATTTTATTTATTTATTTATTTGAGACAGTGCTTAGACAGAGTTTGCTCTTGTCACTCAGGCTGAAGTACAATGACATGATCTTGGCTCACTACAACCTCCACTTCGCAGGTTCAAGCAATTCTCCTGCCTCAGCCTCCCGAGTAGCTGGCATTACAGGCACCCACCACCATGCTCCACTAATTTTTGCATTTTAGTAGAGATGGGATTTCACCATGTTGGCCAGACTGGTCTCAAACTCCTGACCTCAGCTGACCCGCCCACCTTGGCCTCCCAAAGTGCTGGGATTACAGGCGTGAGCCACTGCACCCCCATGTTATTGACTTATAATTCCATTCTGTTATGCTAAAAATATACATTGTATTATTTCTATCCTTTTGCATTATTAAGACTGGCTTACCACACAGAATAGCATTCATTCTGGGGAAAATCCTATGTTTACTTAAGAATAATGTAGTCCATTTTTGAGTAGAGTGTTCCACAGATACTGTGTTCCATAGACGCCTGCTAGATCAAGTTGATTTATAGTGTTATTCAAGTGTTGTATTTCCTTATTGATCTTCTGTCTTGTTATTCTATCAATTATTGAAAGTACAGTATTGAAATCTCCAACTATTACTGTTGATTTGTTTACATCTCTCTCTTTTTTTTTTTAGGTTCCTTCATGTATTTTGGTGCTCTGTTTTATATATACGATGTAGGGGGGTGATAGGTAAAGACTATGGGATTCCTTTTTAAACTGGTGAAAATTTTTAAAAATTTTAACTATATATATGTATATGTATGAATATATTTGGCATATGTACCATTTGATGAAATGTCTATCCTTTTTGTGCTACTTTGTCAATAATCGGATGACGATATTTTTGTGGGCCTCCTTTCTGGGTCTTCACTGTATTCTATTGATCTGTTTCTATTACTTCATGGATATCATGCTGTCTTGATTGTTGTAACTTTATAGTAAATCTTAAAGTTGTGTAATGTCAGTCTAGCAGCTTTATTTTTTTCTTCAGTATTGTGTGTCTGTTTTATACCTGTTTTCTTTCCATACAAACTTTAGAATCAGTTTGTTGATATATACAAAGTTTTTCTCCAGAATTTTGATTGAGATTGCATTGAATTTATAGATCAAGGTGGGGAAAATTAATATCTTAATGATATTAAGTCTTGCAATCTATGAACATGAAATATTTCTGTAGAAACCTAGATTTCTTTTGGTCTCTTTCAGAAGCGTTTTACAGATTTCTTTATACAGATAATGTACGTATTTTGTTAGGCTTTTCTATGTATTGCACATTTGATGCTGTTGTCATTTTTTTGAAACTTCAAATTCAAGTTATGCTTTTCTTATACATAGCACAAGAAGTGAGTTTTGGATGTTGGCCTTTTATTTTGAAAACTTGCTGTCCTGAAAACTGTACTTGGTTATTAGTTTCTGAAGTTTTTTTGTACACATATTAAGATGCTTAAAAATAAACAATATTATTCTCTGTGAAAAAATGTTATTTTTCTTTTCTAATCTTTATTGATTACTTTTCTTATTTTAATGCACTAGATAGTACTTTCATTATGATGTTGAACAGGAGTGGTGAGAGAGAGAGGACTTCCTTGCCTTGTTGATGATCTTAGGATAAGGAGACTATTGAGTATAAAGTTAGCAGTAGGTTGTTTATGGATATTCCTTTGATAGTTGAGAACATTTTATTCTGTTACTCGTTTGCTGAGATTTTTTATTTTTAAATCACTAATAGTATTAAATTATGTCAAATGTCTTTCTCTGCATCGATTAATCATATGTTTCTTCTATGGCTCTTGATATGGTAGCTTATATTGTTTGATTTCCTAAGGCTAACATGCCTTTCATATCTGTAATAAATCCCACTTGATTGTAGAGTGTATTTGCATATATTGTTGGGTTCGATTTGCTATTTTGTTGAGTTTTCTTTCTTTGATGTTTATGAGAAATGTTGGTCTGTTGCTTTCCTTTCTCGTCATTTTTTTTTCTGGTTTTGGTATTAGAGTAATGCTGGCCTCAGAACATGTGCTAACAGTTTCATATGCTTTTATTTCCTGGAAGATGTTGTGGAGAACTGGTATCATCACTTTTCACTAAATGTTTGGTGGAATTCATCAATGAAACCATCTTGGTCTGGTATATTCCATTTTAGAAAATTATGAATTTTTTATTTAATTTTACTAATAGGTAACAGAGTTATTCAGATTATCTCTTTCTCCTTATGTGAGTTTTGATAGTTTATTTCATTCAAGTATTTTTTCATTTAATCTGATTTATCAAATGTATGAATATACATTTATGTGTGCGTTCTTTAATATCTACATTTAATGTGTGTGGACTCAGTGGTAACGAAACATCTTTCATTTCTGATTTTGATAATTTGTACCTTTGGTCTTTTTGTTTTTGTTAGTCTGTATACAGAATGATCAATTTTTACTGATATTATAAATATATGAGTTTGGAGCTTTTTCTACTATTTTTTTTTTTTGCTATTTTCTATTATTATTCTACTATTTTCTATTATTGTTTTTCCGTTTTAAATTTACTTGATTTCTGCTCAATTTTTTACTTCTTTTATTCTGCTTTCTTTTATTCTGTTTTCTTGAGACGTAATCTTATGTAACTGATATTAGATCTTTTTTTCTAATCTATGAATCTAATTCTATAAATTTCCCTCTCTCCACTACATCTCACAAACATTGATATGTTGTATTTGTATTGCTGTTTAACTCAAAATAATTTTTCTTTTGAGACATCTTATTATTTGAGACATCTTAGACTCATGGACTACTTCAAAGTATGCTGTTTAATTTTCAAACACGTGGAGTTGTTTCCAGTTATACTTTCTTTATTTACTTCTTTTTGCTATTTTCTATACTCTTTTTACTTCCACTTACAATATTTATAATTCCACTGTGACCTGAGAACATGCTTTCTATGATTTCAATACATAAGCTTGTTAAGGTGTGTTTGTTTCATGGCCCAAAATGTGATCAATTTTGGCAAATGCTTTATGTTAGATTGAAATTAATTTGGCTTCTGCTGTTGTTGGATAGAGTATTTGCCAGCGGCAATTTCATACGTTTGATTAATGGTCTTCTCAGTTCAGTCTTTTTCTGCCTGATCCATTAATTACTGAAAGAATGGTTTTAAAGTCTTAAAATATAACAGTAGATTTGTCTATTTATTCTTTCAGTTCTATCAGTTTTTTTTCCTCACATACTTTGACATTTTGTCATTAGGTGCATACATGTAGAATTGTTATGTCTTCTTGGAAAATTGTCATATTTATTGTTAAGTAACACCTCTCTGTAACCCTGATAATGTTTTTGTTTTAAAATCTGCTTTGTCTAAAATTGACATAACTATTTCAGCTTTCATTTGACTAATGTTGGTATATTATGTTTTTCTCCAGCCATTTATTTTAACCTGTGTCATTAAATGTATTGTGGTTTCTTGTTGCCAACATGCAGGGCATGTTCTTTTTATTTTTTATTTTTTGATTTTATTTATTTATTTATTTTTTGAGATGGAGTCTCCCTCTGTCGCCCAGGCTGGAGTGCAGTGGTGCAATCTCGGCTCACTTTAAGCTCCGCCTCCTGGGTTCACGCCGTTCTCCTGCCTCAGCCTCCCGAGTAGCTGGGACTACAGGCGGCCACCACCACGCCCGGTTAATTTTTTGTATTTTTAGTAGAGACGGGGTTTACGGTATTAGCCAGGATGGTCTCGATCTTCTGACCTCGTGATCTGCCCACCTCAGCCTCCCAAAGTGCTGAGATTACAGGTGTGAGCCACCGCACCCGGCATCTCTGTCTTTTTAACTTGTATATAGAGAGCATTCACATTTAAAGTGATTACTGATATTGTTGGATTAATATCTATCATGTTTGTAACAGTTGTATATTCTTTGCATATATTGTGTAATTTTTTTCCTCTCATTTTCTGTCTCTTCTAGTAGTAATGGAACCTTTTAAATATCTTTTTATGTCCTCTCTTAGCTTATCAGTTCAGTTTTTTGTTTTGCTTAAGTGTTTATAATACACACTTTAGCCAAAGTCCACCTTCAAATAACATTGTATCACTTCAAGTTTAGTGTATTTACCTTATTACATATTATTTCCAGTACTTTCATCCTGTTACTTCTGATATTGTTCTCATTCATTTCCCTGATTGCTCTGCTATAATCACCCAATATATTGTTACCTTTATTTCCTTAAGCAGTTTTCTTTTAGATCCATTAAGAATAAGAAAAATTAAAGATTTATTGTACCATCCTTTATTCCTTTATCTGACACTCTTACATTCTTTATGTAGATTCAAGTTTCTGACCTATTTCATTTTCATTTGGTCAGAATAATTTTTTAATTTTATTTTTTCCAGAACAAAGGTGCTCAAGATGAATTCTGCCATTTTTTGATTTTCTGAGAAAGTACTTCTCCTTCATGTTTGAAGAATAATTTCGCTGATTATAATTTTCTTGGTCGATGGCTATTTTTCTTTCAACACTTTAAATATTTCACTCCTCTCCCTGCTTGCATGGTTTCTGATCATAAGCCCACTGTAACTTTTATCTTTGTTTTTCTTTAGGCAATACGTATTGTTTCTCCCCAGCATCTCTCAAGATTTTGTTGTGACGGTTTTATGCAATTTGAAAATGATATGTGTGGATTATTTGGTATTTTTTTTATTGTTCTCTAAGCTCCCTGGATGTGTGATTTTACGTCTGTCATCAATTTTACAAAATTTTTGGGAGTTACTATTTGAAATATTTCTTCTGCTCCCTTCTTTTTCTCTCCCTGCTTGTATTCCAGTTATGCATATTAACACCTTTTGAAATTGACCCGTAGTTCTTGGATCTTCTATTTTGTTTCTGTTTCGTTTCATTCATTCATTTTTTTTTCTAGACATATCTTCCACTCCGTGATTCTTTCCTTGGTCCTGTCAAGTATATCAACAGGCCTATAAAGGACATTCTAAAATTCAATTTTAGCATTTTGATTTCTAGTGTTTCCTTTTAATTTTTTTCTCAGAGTTTCCATCTCTCTGATTACACTTCCCATGTGTTCTTGCATGTTGTGAACTTTTTTCCATTATAACCATTTATATATTGACCACAGGAATTTTTAATACCTTGCTGGACACTTTCAACATTTGTATTATATGTGAACCTGGTTATGATGCTTGTTTTGTCACTTCAGATAGTATTTTTTTTTATCTTATGACAGACTTGTAATATTTTTGTTAAAAGTCCGAAATGTTTGAGTAATAGGAACTGAGATAAATGGGATGTTAGCGGGAAGATTTGTTTTAAACTGGTTAGGAATTTATCTATGTTTAATATTTGCTGGCACTATATGTTCCAGAAACTTCAATTTCTCTACTTTCCTTGTTTTCTGTCACTTCTGTTGATTTGAGTTTCCATGAATCCCTTCCACAGAAAGAGTCTGTATCTTACAGGTCTTTCCACAATAGCCCACCATTATTATTCTGGAGTCCTATTTCTGTCTCATTAAAGTGTAGGGGAGGAAGAACATTCCATAATCTTACAATTAAACCTCATTGTTTAGTAAATTTATGTCTTGGGGTTGTGACCTTCCCCAGTGGTGTGGCTTTATTTCTGCCTACTTTCTATTCCCTTCCTTAGATGCAGTTTTTCCAGATTATTTCCTTGATGCCCTAATCTCTGTTGTCTACACCCTCTCACCTACACTTTTGGTGAGAAAAGAAGGCTAAAGAGGGCGAGGATGGGTGTAATCCCCTACATACAATGTGAAAAGTTCTGGCAATATATTTTCTTCTGGAGATGAAGTTTTTATTATAAAAACTTATCTGAGTGCATATTTCATAAGGTCTACTCTTCTCCTTCCCCTGACAGAACTGTAAATTATTTTTTTCTGGATTTTTACCATGAGAACCTGATGGGGTTTCTGAAGAGAAAGCCCAGGAAAGCATTGAGCCTCATAAAATTCTGCGCCTTCCTTCAGGATGTTCTCACTCTTAGTTTACCCTAAAACTTCATTAATTCTTACCAATTATTATTTAAGTATTCTTACCGGTTTATGGTTCCAGTGGCTCATGCTTTAGGTGACCATATCTTGGCTATTTCTTTTAGGACATGCCTATCTCTCCTGATTTTGTAGTGTTGTTTTGTTATGCAACCACTGTTCTCTAATGTGTACAAGAAAAGTTACTGATTTTCAATTTGTCCATCTTTTTTTGTTATAAAGACTGGAAAGACAACTTCTAAGCCCTTTAAATGTTCTTAAAGGGACATTTAATAACTATGTTTGTCTTGAAAGTCATATGATTTCTGCCATAATTGCTCATCTCTGTTGTTGTAGTGCAAAAGCAACCACAGATACTGTATAAACTAATGGATTTGAGTGTATTCCAATAGAAATTTACTTATAAAAAACAGTTTTCACCGCATGTACTATGTAGTTCACTGATCCTTAGTTTGCACTATACAAAGACTCAAATTTCAGCAAGTCCTAAATTGTGAAATATAAAGTGAGACCTTTGATAAGATGTGATATACACCTAAACATTTGCATGATTTAGCTAATTTATGTAGGCAGAATACTGAGGAATCTGTGGAATGGATTTTATAATTGTAGGGCTAAGGTAGAAAAATATATTAAGTTGGATGGAGCTGGATTTATTGATATTAGCCCTCTGCAGCAGAGATTCAGTGTTTCACTTGATGGGCTAGGAATGTCTCCTATAGTTTGGTTGATTAACTGAAATATGAACCAAACAATAGCCTACCCTATGTGAAGATAAAATGCTTAAACTTTCTTTTTCTACTACAAAGGAGGGTTATCAACAGATTTAGGGAGATTGGAATGCTACAGAGAATTGATCATGTAAGATTTGTTCTCTCATTTTGAGAGGGACTATTTACTATTGTTGCAGTAAATAAATGTGAGGAGAGCTCCAGTTCACAGACCCAGAACCCCTTCAATATGAGAAGTGACATGTACCTTTGAGTAAGGCCCTTGCAGTTCTTCCAGAAACTTGTACTGTTAATTATACTCCCAACCATCTCTATAAGAAAAATAACAGTTCTCGGGGATGACTGGACATTGATTCTGTAGACCCAAAGTATCACTGTGATCTACCAGTTGGAGTAGGGGCTTTAAGAGGTTAGAGTATCAATGATTTTTTTTTCTTTTTTTGAGACAGGGTCTCACTCTGTCACCCAGGCTGGAGTGCAGTGGGACATCTCCGCCCACGGCAGCCTTGATCTCCCAGACTCAAGCTATCCTCCCACCTCTGCCTCCAGAGTAGCTGGGACTACAGGCATGTGCGACCATGCCTGGCTAATTTTGGGGGGCTTTTTTTTGTAGAGATGGGGTTTCAGCATCCCAGGCTGGCCTTGAACTCCCTGCCTGTAGTGATCCACCCATCTCAGCCTTCCAAAGTGCTGGGATTACAGGCATCAGCCACTGCTCTAGGCTTGCATTTTTTTTTTTTTTAATTCAGTGAAGTTTTGTTTCAGATCTGTTTCAGAGTCATCTGTTTTCCTAGAACGTTATCTGTTTTAGTTTCAGATTCCTCGGTTTTCCTTGGAAGGTTGTATGGGCTGGAAAAATTTATTTTTCCCCAAAGAGCAGTATTGCTTTCCACAGTGGGTCTGAACAGCACCATCAGATCCCTGTAGCAGACCTCTGACAGTCTGTCCTATGGGCAAAATCTTATTTTGGCAAAAATATGGAAGAATTGCTTTCCAGCATGGGCCTTATCCTTGTCTAGCCATCAGACTTTAATCACCAGCTTGCATACTTTCATTTATATGACACTGGTAAGTGGACCTACCCAACTGATAATAAACAGCACACAGAAATAATGAATTTGAGCCAGTCAAATGCAATCGTACTACTCATTTCAGCCAATCTAATAGAAAACAATATAAATAAATTAATTTAAATTTCCACAAAAGCTATTTCATGGACTTGAAATTGAAAAGCATATACCTTTCAAATAATACAGATAGCTCAAGGCATAGCACAAGTACTTTATCTTGCTAAGAGATCAGACAAATTCATTTTGAAATGATAACCTCTATATTAATCATAGCATAATCACAAGTGTATAAATCTGTCTGTACTGAGAGATATAAATATATTTGTCAGTGCTTAAAAATATTTTTAACAGCTGAATATATTATTTAATTCAAAGTTAAAGGGCTTATACTAAAGTTCAGATAATTTTAGTAGATTAAGTGTCATTATGTGAACATCTTTGTCAGCAATTACTGGGTATAAAAATATGAAAACAAGTACAATTTGTCTAAAATAGACATTTTTCCTTTGAAAGGTAATATGAATGTTTCTTTTGTTGTCCTCTTTCACGAAGAAATAGAAATAGAATCAGCCAGAAGAGTGTCAAAAATTTACCTTCGCTTTTCCAAAACTGAAGTTTAATTGAACTTTAACGTCAAATAAACAGTTTTTACCTTTAAGACTAATGGACCCAAAAGACAGTCTCTACTCATTTTGTATGATTAAAACTATGTAAGGAATGTAAATGTATTAATTTATAGATACAGATACTAATTGCTTAAATATTAAGTTCTAAACCAGGCACTAATACATGTGGAATAATTGCTTCTCGCTGTAGAAGGAAACCATAATAAAGAACTTGAAAGTGCTGTCACATTTCACATAACCAGTAAAATCTGAGCATATTTGAAAAATATTCTGAAAGAAAATGTCTTGGGGCTTTCTTAATGAAAATGAATGTGGTTTGAAAAGATCAAATAATATCTGCATATGTCAAATACAGGTTTTAATAACAGTTAGAGATAATGAATAAAATTAAAGTAGGTCAATTTAAGTCATTTATTTTCCAAAAGGAGTTACACATCAGAATCACTACTTGTTAAGATATAATTAAAAGTGAAAAATGATATTTACCAAGAAAGCTGTTACTAAATATAAAAAAATGAATTATTTCATCATCTTTTAATTTTAATGCTCAATTTTTTTTACCAGCATATCAGCATTTTGTAGTTAATGACCATGTAAATATGATAATGTAATAATAATTGAGATAAGTGTAGATATCACAGTCATGAAAACAGAGTGCCTCTGCTTTGCCACTGATGTTTTAGGAGCCTGCTATTACTGTTATTGAAAAATAAATCAGATGTTTTCTAGTATAAATAAAATATTCTTGGACATGCATATCTTATCTCTGGAAACAAATGACTCCAAAAATCAAAAATCATCCCAAATATAAAACATGATTTTCACGTTTACATAAATTAAATAACATAGGCTATAATTCTGCTTTAGTAAAACTTGTTCTTTCTAAATAAGACTCTCATACTGAAGCTTTTCAGGTCATGACTTAAGAGATTATTCTTGTTAGAGGGAACAATTAATTTAGTAAGAATCTGTCATAATTCAAAACAAATACCTAATCTCTTTTAAAAGTCAGACTCGAATGTGCTGGGATTACAGGCATGAGCCACCACACCCGGCCAGAACTTTGGGAGGCTGAGATGAGTGGATCATTTGAGGTCAGGAGTTCAAGACTAGCCTGGCCAACATGGTGAAATCCTGTCTCTACTAAAAATACAAAAAATTAGCCGGGCGCGGTGGCGGGCGCCTGTAGTCCCAGCTACTCGGGAGGCTGAGGCAGGAGAATGGCGTGAACCCGGGAAGCGGAGCTTGCAGTGAGCCGAGATTGCGCCACTGCAGTCCGCAGTCCGGCCTGGGCGACAGAGAGAGACTCCGTCTCAAAAAAAAAAAAAAAAAAAAAATACAAAAATTAGCCTGGCGTTCCTGTAATCCCGGCTACTCAGGAGGCTGAGGCAAGAGAATTTCTGAGCCTGGGAGGCGGAGGTTGGGGTGAGCTGAGATCATGCCATTGCGTTCCAGTCTGGGTGACAAGGTGAGACCCTGTCTCAAAAAAAAAAAAAAAAAAATTAGACTCTAAAAATTGTGGGGTTTTTTAAAGAAAATTTTATTAAATTTATAATCTCCAATGAGTATACTATCTGAAATAACTTTGTATAATACTAATTTTTTAAGATACCCATTTTAGAAGAGTTCGAGATAATCAACATTATATGTTATAACTATAATTTCTAAATTTTGAGTGAAATGAAAGGAATATGATTCATAATCAATAGAGGAATTTATAGTTTTAAAAAGGCAGGTATTATTATTATTCTCTCTAAGGCATTGCAGATGAGAATATTTTTTTAAAAATTCTAAATTATTGGCAGATTTCAAGGAATAATTCATTTATCTATTATTTTTAAATAGACATTGTCATCTTGTCATACTATGTGGCTCTGGACGACATAATGAAATTTGCTTCAAGTTTAAGACTAGAAATATCTTCACTAAATTCACTCTACTAAAACAGAATTTATCATTTATGAAGTAGATTTGATTTAGGCTATATAAGAGCTTACTTCTTAAATTACTTAAACTGATTTTGAGTAAAACTTGGTTTTCAGAAAAAGACTTTTACACATATTTACTCAACATGAACATGAAAATAAATATTAACTTTTCCTTGGAAAGTTCTTCCAGCAAGTTTACCTGGTGAATTATCATCCATTTCTCAAATTCAAATACAGACTTACCTGTTTGAATTTGTTCCAGATATACCAAGAATTAATAACCTTCCTTTAATATCTTTTCAATACCTATATTTCATTAAGTATCACAGATTTCCCATACTTCGGGGAAAACTAAACTATTTTGGCCAGGTGCATTAGCTGCTTAGCAGGCTGATGCAGGAGGATCGCTTGAGCCAGGAGTTCAAATCCAGCTTGGGCAACATAGTGAGACCTCATCTCTACAAAAACAATACAAAACTATTTATTGAAATATATATACAACAAAATGTACAAATCATAAGTACAGCATAATGACTTCTCACAAAGGGAGCCCACTCAAGAAACCACCACCCAGGTAAAAAAATAGAACATTAACAGCACCTATAATACTTTTCCTTACCCCTCCCAATCAATACACTTTCCCTTCTAGCAAAAGTCTAAGTGCCTATGTGTATTTTTTTTTTTTTACTTTTTATAAAACGAATATATGATATGTACTATCTGTGCCCACACTTTTTATTTTTCATTTTTTCATCAGCACTACATTCGTGAGACACGTACATGGTGTTGCATTCCTTCATTTTCATTGCTGTTTAGCATTCCATTGTATGAATAAGCCAAAACTTATTTATGCATTGAGTTGCTAATGGATATTTGAGTTGTTTTCAATTTTTGAATATTATAATTAATGCTGCTACAATTCCTTTTACATGCCTGTTGTTGCTCATGCATTCTATTAGTTATACATTGAAGAGAGAAATTTCTGAGTCATAGAATATGCATACATTCAAATTTGGTAGACAATGTCAAAGAGTTTTCCAAGTGGACATGCCAAATTTCACTATGATATAGGCACTTTATGGGAATTCTCGTTCCCTTAAACCCTTGTCAACCTTATCATTAGTGGCTATATGATGGTATCTAATGTGGTTTTAATTTGTCCTTTTCTGATTACTATGAGATTACATACATTTGTTCTTTGTTCATTGGCCTTTTAGATATCCAGTTTTGTAAATTGCTTTTCATGTTTTGGACCTATTTTCTCTTTAGCTTTTTCTGTCTGTCCTATTAAGTTATAGAAATTTTTATAAATTCTGAACACAAAAACTTTTGTGGCTTATGTATCTTGTATTACAGATATTTTCTCCCACTCTGCAGTTTGTATTTTCATTCTCTCATAGATGATATTTGCTAGGGAAAAAATTACAATTTTGATGTATTTGAAATTACTGGTATTTTTATTCCTAATGCTATATTTTATGCCTTATTTAAGCAATTTACTTTCATGCCAATGCTTAACATATTCTGTTATACCCTATAAAATTCCCTATTGCTTAACTTTTTACATACATACATATATAATCCTAACGAAATTGATTTCTACATATGGAACATGGTTGAAGTCCATTTTTCTTCTTTTCTTCCACATAGATGTCCAATTTACCTCACTCTTCTCTATTATCACTTTTTTTTTTAACAAATAAACTGTCTTCGTGTATGCATGTCTGTTACTGGGCTATTTATTCCAGTCTATTAATTTATTTGTCTATCTGCATCAATATAAGAATTATCATAGTTTAATTATCATAGTTTTAGAATAAGTCACGCTATCTAGTAAAGAATTATTGTTGTTAGGATTTATGAATACAATGTAGAATAATTAAATCAAGCTAGTTAACATACCCATCACCTCAATTGCTTATTTTTTTGTGGTGAGAACATTTAAAATTCACTATGTGAATTAGTGATTTTGAAATAAAATTCACTTTATGAATATGGTAAATATTAAGTTACTATTTGCTATGTTCAACACACTGCCAGGAACAGTGTCTCATACCTGTAATCCCAGCATTTCGGGAGGCTGAGACAGGTGGATTACTTGAAGCTAGCATTTTGAGACCAGCCTGGCCAGCATGGCAAAACCCTGTCTCTACTAAAAATACAAAAATTAGTTCAGCATGGTAGTGGGTGCCTGTAGTCCCAGCCTCTTGGGAGGCTGAGGCAGGAGAATCACTTGAACCCGGGAGGTGGAGGTTACAGTGAGCTGAGATTGTGCCACTGCACTCCAGCTTGGGTGACAGAGTGAGACTCTGTCTCAACAAACAAACAAACAAAAACCAAAAACACACCATGCAATGTATCTCAAAGTAATTTTTAAAATATTATTTCTGTTTAATTGAGGCTTTATATCCTTTGGCCATCATTTCACTTAGCGTAATGGTCTCCAATTCCATCCATGTTGTTGCAAATGACAATTTTTTTTAAGACTCAATAGTATTTCATTGTGTATATTTTCTGTATTCATTCATTTGTTCATGCACACAAGTTTGTTTCATAACCTTGCTATTTTGAATACTGCTGCAATAAACATAAGAGTCCAGACATTTTTTCAACATACTTATATCAAATCTCATGGGTAAAAACCAAGAAGTGTGATTGCCAGATCATATGGTAATTCTATTCTTAGTTTTTTGAGGAATATCCATACAGTTTTCCTAGTGGGTGTACTAATTTGCATTCTCATCAACAGTGTACAGCATTCCTGTTTTCTCCACATCCTGGCCAACTCTTGTTATTTTTCATTGTTTTGATAATAGCCATTCTGACAAATGTGAGGTGATAGCTCATTGTGGTTTTAATTTGTATTTTCCTACCCAACTTATTTTTGCATGTTGATTTTGTGTCCTGCTACTTTTCTGAATTTATTAATTCTAAAAATATTTTTGTGGAATCTATAAGGTTTTCTACATATAAGATCATGTCATCTGTAAACAGGAACAATTTTACATCTTTCATTCCAATTTGGATGTCTTTATTTCTTTTTCTTGCCTAATTGCTCTGGCTCAGACTTCCAGAACTATGTTGAATACAAGTGGCAAGAGTGGATATTCTTGGTTTTCTCTTGGTCATCAAGGAAAACTTTTAGATTTTTACTGAGTATGATATTAGCTATGGGCTTTTTATATATAGCCTTTATTATGTTGAGAAAATTTTTTGCTTTTCCTAGTTTGTTGAGAGTTTTATTATAAAAGGGTATTGGATTTTATCTAACTATTTTTCTCCATTTATTGAGATGATCATGTGATTTGTATCCTTCATTCTTAATGTAGTTTGTCACATTAATTGATTTCCTCTTGTTAAAACATCCTTGCATCCCAAAGATAAATACCACTTCACAAGGGTGCCAAAAATACACAATAGGGAAAGAAAGACTCTCTTCAACAAATGATGTTGAGAAAACTGAATATTCACATGTAAAAGAATGAAATTGGTTCCTTATCGTATGCCATATAAAAAATTAACTCAAAATGAGTTAGATTTAAATGTAAGCTTCAACTCTACAAATCTCCTGGACGAAAACTGTATTAGTCCTTTTTCACGCTGCAATAAGGACATACCTGAGACTGGGTAATTTATAAATTAAAGTGGTTTAATCAAATCACAGTTCCACATGGCTAGGGAGGCCTCAGGAAACTTAAAATCATGGTGGAAGGCACCTGTTCATAGGGTGGCAGGAGAGAATGAGTGCCTAGTGAAGGGATAAGCCCCTTATAAAACCATGGATCTTGTGAGAACTCACTATCATGAGAACAACATGAGGGGGAACTGCCCTCATTATTCAATTACCTCCCACCGGGACCCTCTCAACGTATGAGGATTATGGGATTACGATTCAAGATGAGATTTGGGTGGGGACACAAAGCCAAACCACATAAAAAACTAAGGAGAAAACCCCTCATGAAATTGGTCTTGGCAATCATTTAATATATGTAACACCAAAAGCATAGACTACAAAAGCAAAAATCAGCAAGTTTACTACATCAAACACAGCAAAGAAAACAATCAACAGAGTAAAAATGCAACTCATGGAATTAGAGAAAATATTTGTAAACCATATATCAGATAAAGAGCTAATTTAATTTCTAAAATATATAAGAAACTCAGAGCTCAATAGCAAAAAAAAAAAAAAAAAGAAAAAAACAAAATTTAGCAACCAGTTGAAAATGAGTAAAGGACTTGAATAAATACTTTACAAAAGAAGACATACAGTGATCAGCAGGTATATAAAAATGTGTTCAACATCACTAGTAATGAAGAAATGCAAATAAAAACCTCAGTAAAATAACGCTTCACACCTGTTCAAATGGCTATTCTCAAAAGAAGAAACAAGAGCTGGTAAGAATGCGGGAACACTGAAAACCTTATACACTATTAGGAAAGCAAAATGACGCTGCCACTGTGAATAACAGTACAGAAGTTCCTCAAAAACTTAAGAATAGATCACTATAAATTCAGCAATCCTGCTTCTGGATATTTATCCACAAAAGCTAAAATTAGGATATTAAAGAGGTATTAACACACCCACATTCATTGTAGCATTTGCAATGGGCCTGATGTAAAAGCAACCTAATTTTCCATGAATGGATGAAGGGATAAATAAAATTATAAATAATTATATGTCTTTAATTATAATTACATATTTATAATAATTATATATTTAAAATTATAAATAATTATATGTATTATATATGTCATAATACACATAAATTATGTATTATGTAACATACACATATAAATAACATTTTATATATAATATATAATATATGTTATGTATAATATAAATAATTATATGTAATATATTATTACATGTAATATAGTATTAGTATATATAATATAGGAGTACATACAGTATATATATAATATACTATTATATGTAATATGTATTATATAATACTTTTTATAAAAGGAAGTATATATTATATTACATACATTTTATTTATATTATTAGTACATATAACATATATAATATATAATACATTTATATACTTTCATATGTAATATATATTACATGATTTTAACTCTCTCTCTCTCTATGTATATATAAATTTTTTATCCATTCAACTAGTAAGAAGAAGAAAAAGAAGGAAATCCTGCAATATGCAACAACATGGATAAAACTTAAGGTCATTATACTAAGTGAAATAAGCCAGTCACAGAAGAGCAAATACTGCATAATTCCACTTATATGAGGTATCTAAAATAATCAAACTCATAGAACCAGAGAGCAGAATAATGGTTGATGCATGGAAAAGAAGGTAATGGAGAGTTGCTAATCAATAGGTATAAAGTTTTATATCATTCAAGATAATTAAGTTTTAGAAATCTGCTGCACAACATTGTACCTAAAGTTATCAATATTATATTGTACACTTAAAAATATATTAAAAGGCCTGGCATGGTAGCTTATGCATGTAATCCCAGCACTTTGGAGGCTGAGGTGGGTGGATCACTTGAGGTCAGGGGTTTGAGACCAGCCTGGCCAACGTGGTGAAGCCTCAACTCTACCAAAAAAAAAAAAAAAAAACGTATCCGGGTATGGTGGTGCATGCCTGTAGTCCCAGTTACTTAGGAGGCTGAGGAAGGAGACTCACTTGAATCTGGGAGGTGGAGGCTGCAGTGGGCCAAGATTGCACCACTGCATTCCAGCCTGGGCAACAGAGCAAGACTCTGTCTTTAAAAAAAAAATCTATTAAAACGATACATTTTATGTTAAGCGGTCTTACTTCAAAAAAAATAGAATATTAAAAACAAAACAAAACCAGAAGAATGTCATTGTTGTTTAATGTTTGATTCCTGATAGCATTCAAGTCCCACCACACCTCCTTTGTCTTCTGGCCCCCATCAAGCTGATAGGAAAGTCAGTGTTCCCTCCTTTGTAGTTGATAGAAAGTTCAAGCCACACAAACCCAAACCCATGCTCAGGAAACATTATCCCAGACCTAATTCATAACCAACATAATCAATGTACCAACATATGAGCTAAGCTAGTCAGCTTTCCTGGCTCTCTCAATTCATTTTTGGACCAACTGCTGTGCACTCCTATAGAATGCTTCATTATGTGAATAATAAAACTTTTCATCTCTGGATTAGTCCATTCTTCCACTGCTGTAAATGAATACTTAAGACTGGGTAATTTTTGAAGAAAAGAGGTTTAATTGGCTTATGGTTCTGTAGGCTCTACAGGAAGCATGGCAGTTTCTGCTTTGGGCAAGGCCTCAGGAAAATTACAATCATGGCAGAAGGCAAAGGGGAAATAGGCACATCTTATGTGGCCAGAGCAAGAGAAAGAGAGGGGGGGGAGGTGCTACGCACCTTTAAACAACTATATATCCTAATAATCATTCAGTTACTATTACGAGAACAGTGCTGGGGAGATGATGTTAAACCATTCGTGAGAAACTGCCCCCACGATTTAATTCATCTCCCACCAGGCCCCATCTCCAACATGGGGATTACAATTGAACATAAAATTTGGGTGGGGGCCGGACGCGGTGGCTCACACCTGTAATCCCAGCACTTTGGGAGGCTGAGGCAGGTGGATCACGAGGTCAGGAGATTGAGACCATCCTGGCTAACACGGTGAAACCCCATCTCTACTAAAAATACAAAAAATTAGCCAAGCGTGGTGGGGGGTACCTGTAGTCCCAGCTATTTGGGAGGCTGAGGCAGGAGAATGGCGTGAAATGGCACCACTGCACTCCAGCCTGGGCGACAGAGCAAGACTCTGTCTCAAAAAAAAAAAAAAAAAAAATTGGCTGGGGACACAGATTCAAACCATATCCTTCCACCCCAGCCCTTTCCAAATCTCATGTCCTTCTCAAACTGCAGAATACAGTCATGCCTTCCCAACAATCCCCAAAATCTTAACTCACTCCAGCATTAACTCAAATGTCCAAAATCCAAAGTCTCACTGGAGGCAATGCAGGTCTCTTCCACCTATGAGCCTGTAACATAAATAAAAAAAAAAACAAAAGAAAACAAAAAACAAAAAACAAGTTAGTTATTCCCAAGACACAGTGGAGGTACAGGCATTGGGTAAATACTCCCATTCCAAAAGGGAGAAATTGGCCAAAAGAAGGGGGATACAGTCTCTATGCAACTCCTAAACCCAGCAGGGCACTCATTAAATCTTAAAGCTCCAAAATAATCTCCACTGATTCCATGTCTCACATAAAGGGAACAGTGGTGTAAGGGATGGGCTCAGAAGGCCTTGGGCAGTTCTGCCACTGTGGCTTTCCAGGGTTCAGTCCCCAAGGCTGCTCTCCAGGAATGACTTTGAGTGCCTGCAGCTTTTCAGGTACATGGTGCAAGCTGTCGGTGCCTCTACCATTCTGAGGCCTGTAGGACAGTGGTCCTCTTCTCATAACTCCAGTAGGCAGTGCCCCAGTGGGGCCCCTGTGTGAGGGCCCCACCTCTAACATTGGGGATTAAACTTGGACAGATATTTGGGTCCAGACACAGATACAAGCTGTATCAGTCCCCACTTGGTATATCAGTGGCATCGTAAGAATCAACCTGAAAACCTAATTTTGAATGTGTGTTGGGAAGTTCTAAGTAAATTCATTCTGGTGAGTTAACATCATCCAGAGTTTGAAATTATTAATCCAGTAATATCTTTATAATGTTTGATTACCTTGGTAAATCTAGTTCTGTTCTTTCTCTTCTACTTTCGGAAAGAGGTGTGGAGAATTGGTTTTATTTTTATTTAAATACTTGACATAATTGAGCTGTAAAACCATCTTGACCTGGAGTATTATGTAAAGATTCTTGATTTTTATTTTAAACCCTTTAATAGATATATTACTATGTAGATGTTTGCTTTATTTTCTGACATATTAGGAAAAATTTTGAGGAAAAATTCTTAATTTTTTTAAGTTGTCAAATTTGTTGACAGATGTTCATTATATTCTGTTACATTTTTGATGTTGGTAAGAACTGGTATTTCATAACTGATATTGGTAGTTGGTGATCTCTTTCTGTTTAATTTGAGTTTTATCAGTTTTGTTAACCTTTTTCAAGAGTCTACTTTTGGCTTCTGTGTTTTATCTATTCTGTCAATCTCTATATTTTAATAGGAAAATTTGGTCCACGGTCATTTAATGTAAATTGTATATGGTAGAATTTGTCTGACATTTTATTTGCTTCCTGTATGTTCCTTCTTATTTTTCCACTTGTTTATTCTTGCCTGAATTTTTTTAAAACTTAATTTAAATGCCTCAATTGGCTTTTAAAGACTTTTTAAAGAGAAGTTATACTTCTCTTTAAAATTGAGAGGAAGATACAGAGATTTTCCATATACCCACTGCCCTTACACATGTATAGCCTCACCAATTATAAACATCTTCCACCAAAGTGGTATTTTTCTTACAATTAATAAACATGCACTGACACAGCATTATCACCCAAAGTTCACAGTTTATATTAGGATCCATTTTGTTGTTGTATTTCTATGGGTTTGAAAAATGTATAATGATATATATCCCCATTATATTGTCATATTGAGTATGTACATGGCCTACAAAATATTGTCCTCCTCCTATTTATTCATCTATTCCTCCTCCACTGATCTTTTTTCAGTCTCCATAATTTTGCCTTTTCCCAAATGTCAAGAAATTGATCCATTTTATCTAGGTTATCAAATTTGTGTGCATAGTTATTGATAGTATTCTTTCGTTATCCATTTAACATCCATAGGCTCTGTCATTTCTGTTATTAGTAATTTGTGTCTTTTTAATCCTTAGCCTGATTAGAGGTTTATCAATTTTATTGATTTTTTAAAGAATCAACTATTAGTATCATTTTTTCTATTGATTTTCTGTTTTGCTTTTCATTAATTTCTGTTCCAACTTTTATTATTTCTTTTCTTTTGCTTATTTTAAATTTAATTTGTTCTTTTTTTAGCTTTCTGAAGTAGAATATTGTATTATTTATTTTACACCTTTCTTCTATTCAAATATATCCATTTTGCCGGGCATGGTGGCTCACGCCTGTAATCCTAGCACTTTGGGAGGCCAAGGCAGTTGGATCACCTGAGGTGAGGTGTTCGAGCCCAGCTTGGCCAACATGGAGAAACCTCATCTCCACTAAAAATACAAAAAATAACCAGGTGTGGTGGTGCGTTCCTGTAATCCCAGCTACTCGGGAGACTGAGGAAAATTGCTTGAACCCAGGAGGCAGAGGTTGCAGTGAGTCAAGATTGCGCCATTGCACTCCAGCCTGGGCGACAGAGCAAGAGTCTGTCTCAGAACAAAAACAAAAACAAAATCCAACAACAACAACAACAAAAATATATATCCATTCAATCTCATAAATTTCTCTCAGCCCTGCTTTCACTGCATTCTATAAACTTTCATAAACTATATTTTATTAAGTTTAAAATATTTTTAAATTTGATATTATTTCTTGACCCATGTTTTATCTTGAAGTATGTTATTCATTCTTCATATATGTGGGAATTTTTCAGTTGTCTTTCTATCACTCATTTCTAATTTTAATCCATTGTGGTATGGATGCATCCATGGTAATATGGTTTGGGTTTGTCCTCACCCAAATCTCAACTTGAATTGTATTCCTAAAATTCTCACATGTTATGGGAGGGACCCAGGGGAGGTAATTGAATCATGGGGCCCAGTCTTTCTCATGCTATTCCTGTGATAGAGAATAAGTCTCACAAGATCTGATGGTTTTATCACGGGTTCTCACTTTTGCTTTTTTCTCTTGCTGCCACCATGAAAGAAGTGCTTTTTGCTGCCCACCATGATTCTAAGGCCTCCCCAGCCATGAGGAACTGTAAGTCCAGCTAAATCTCTTTTTCTTCTCAGTCTCGAATATGTCTTTCTCAGCAGTGTGAAAACAGACTAATACAGTAAATTGGTACTAGGAGTGGGGTGTGGCTGAAAACATACCTGAAAATGTGGAATCAACTTTGAAACTAGGTAACAGGCAGAGGTTGGAACAGTTTGAAGGGCTCAGAAAAAGATAGCAAAATCTGGAAAAGTTTGGAACTTCCTAGAGACTTGTTGAATGGCTTTTCCCAAAACACTGATAGTGATATGAACAATAAAATCCAGGCTGAGGTGGTCTCAGATGGAGATAAGGAAATTGTTGGGAACTGGAGTAAAGGTGACTCTTGTTATGTTTTAGCAAAGAGACTGGCAGCACTTTGCCCTGGCCTTAGAAATTTGTGGAAATTTCAACTTCAGAGAGATGATTAAAGGTTTTTGATGGAAGAAATTTCTAAGCAGGAAAGCATTCAAGAGGTGACTTGGTTGCTGCTAAAGGCATTCAGTTTTATAAGGGAAACAGAACATAAAAGTTCAGAAAATTTGCAGCCTGACAATGCAGTAGAAAAGAAAAACTCATTTTCTGGGGAAAAATTCAAGCCAGGTGCAGAAATTAGCTTAAGTACCAAGGAGAGTAATGTTAATCCCCAAGACCATGGGAAAAATGTCTCCAGGCCATGCCAGAGACCTTCAAGGCAGCCCCTCCTATCACAGGCCCAGAGGCCCAGGAGAAAAAAGTGGTTTCATGGGCTGTGTCCAGGGTCCCTGTGCTGTGTGCAGCCTAGGGACTTGGTAACCTGTGTCCCAGCTGTTCTAGCCATGGCTGAAAGGGGCCAACATAGAGCTTGGGTCATGGCCTCAGAGGGTGGAAGCTCCAAGCCTTGGCAGCTTCCATGTGGTGTTGAGCCTGCATGTTCATAGAAGTCAAGAATTGAGGTTTAGGAACCTCTGCCTAGATTTCAGAAGAGGTATAGAAACAACTGGATGCCCAGGCATAAGTTTGGTGTGGTGGGGTGGGGTGGGGTGGGGGACATAGGGGCTCATGCAGAACCTCTGCCAAGGCAGTGCAAAAGTGAAAAATGGGGTTCAAGCCCCCACACAGAGTCCCAAGACCATGAGAACCCACCTCTTGCGTCAGTATGACCTGGTTGTGAGACCTGGAGTCAAAGGAGATCATTTTGGAGCTTTAAAATTTGACTACGCCACTGGATTTTGGACTTGTGTGGGCCCTGTAACCTCTTTGTTTTGCTCAATTTCTCCCATTTGGAATGGCTGTATTAACCCAATACCTGTACCGCCCATTGTATTTAGGAAGTAACTAGCTTGTTTTTGGTTTTACAGGCTCATAGGAAAAGGGACTTGCCTTGTCTCAGAGAAGTCTTTGGACTGTGGACTTTCAGGTTAATGCTGAAATGAGTTAAGACTTTGGGGGACTGTTGAGAAGGCATGATTGGTTTTGAAATGTGAGGACATGAGATTTGGAGGGGCTAGGGATGGAATGATGTGGTTTGGCTGTGTCCCCACCCAAATCTCAACTTGAATTTTATCTCCCAGAATTTCCATGTATTGTGGGAGGGACCTGGGGAAGGTAATTGAATCATGGGGGCTGGTCTTTCCCATGCTATTCTCATGATAATGAATAAGTCTCATGAGATCTGATGGTTTTATCAAGGGTTTCTGCTTTTGCATCTTCCTCATTTTTCTCTTGCTGATGCCATGTAAGAAGTGCCTTTCACCTCTCACCATGATTCTGAAGCCTCTCCAGTCATGTGGAACTGTAAGTCCAATTAAACCTCTTTTTCTTCCCAGTCTCAGGTATGTCTTATCAGCAGTGTGAAAATGGACTAATATATATGGTATGATTTATTTTACTATTTTATTTTGAGATTGGGTATTATTCTGTCACCCTGGGTGCAGTGCAGTGGTGTAATCATAGCTCACTGAAGCCTCTAACACCTGGGCTCAAAGGATTCTCCCGCCTCAGATACCCAAGTAGCTGGGACTACAGACATCACCACCACTTGAGGCTCTGATTTCTATCCTTTTAAAATTTGTTAAGGTGTGTTTTATGTCTCAGAATGTAGTCTACTTTGGTGAATATTCCACATGAATTTGATAATTGTATTGTGCTGTTGTTGGATAAAGTATTCTATAGTGATCAATTCTATTGAATTGATTGATATCATTGAGTTCAACTGTGTCCTTATTAATTTTCTAACTGCTGTTCTATTTCTAATAGAAGGATGTTGAAGCCTCTAACTATCACAGTGGATTTATTTACTTCTTGCAATTCAGTTCATTTTTTTCCTCATGTATTTTGATGCTCTATTTTCAGGCACATATAAATTAAGTATTGTTATGCCTTTTTGGAGAATTGACCCCTTCTTCAGAATGTAATGCCCCTCTTTACCCCTGACAACTTTTCTTCCTTAATATAGCTATTTGCACGTTATTGTGATTAGTGTTAGTATGCTATGCATTTCTTCATTTACTTACTTTTACTGTATATGTCTGTTTATATATGTTTATATATGGAGTGGGTTGTTGTAGACATCATATAGTTGGGTGTCATTTTTTATCCACTCTGAAAATCTCTTTTATTTGGTACACTTAGGCAATTGAAATTAAACGTGATTATTGATAGAATTGGTTTAATATCTATCATATTTGTTACTGTTTCCTATTTGCTACCATTAATGTTTGTTTCTATTTTTATGATACTTGATAAACTAGGAACTATTTTCAAATGAAACCTGCCAATTGTGAAAGTATAACTTTACAATTTGTAATTTTTTAAAATAAAAGCACACTTTACATAATACAAAACATTTAAATGCATGAGCATAGGTAGAGAAAATATAAAACATGTTTGGAAAGGATTCATACCATCTTCAGGTTGGTGTTTACTTCTGGCATTGAGGAATGGATAATTTAGTTTTTACGGTCATAAGAAGAAATGCATCATTTATTTTAGGATATCAAAATTGGGGGAAAGACCAGGTGGGTTTATTTAAATTACAACTAATTATAAAGAAACAAGAAAGATATAGGATATTGTTACAGTATAGTGCAGGAAACATAAATTTGAAGCAGGAAAGCTCTTCCATTCCTAAATCTAGACTCAGCAAAAGAGATAATTTTCCCCAATTTAAAAGTGGCTTTCTGTTGAAAAAAAAATCATCATAAAGTGTTCACCATTAGAGTGTTAAATAATCTGAGTTTACTCTTTTCTATCCTGTAATCTCCTACTGCATTTTTCCAATGGCATCCAAACTGAAAGTCAGAAGAAGGGAACCTATTAAATCAGTACCTGTAGATCAGCCTACCATGGGATAAAGCATGAAGAAATGTGTAGAAAGCAGATCTGAAGAGCAAAGAGACGATATCTCACATCATCCATTCCATTTACCCCTTAACATCCACTTTTGTACTTAATCTTACTAGAATATTATCTACTGGAAAGAGAAAATATTTAAAGTCTTATCCATCTATATCATCACAGAGTAATGACAAATGACAACAGGAAAGCAAATTGTTAGGACACTTAATATAAGGTAGGAGGGGAAAATAGGATAAAATAACACAATTATATGCAATAAAATATAGCACTATAGTCCCTCCCTGTGGCAAGTTTTGAGGACTAAGTTGGTAATCATGGTTCCTTCTTCAATTATACATTTGTAGTTACCTTTACCTTCTGCTAGCACCTTAGCTAGATTGGCTAGATTTTACTTAGTGGATTAAAAAGATCTTCATTCTAGCAGGATCTAAGTTCTTATTGGTTTTGTGTTTATTCAGTTGCCATAACATTCTGTTGATTAGAATTGTTGGGCAAGAAGATATAAGAGGTGCTCCAGTGGGCTGGTCATGGTGGCTCACTCCTCTAATCCCAGCACTTTGGGAAGCCAAGGCAGGCAGATCACGAGGTCAGGAGATTGAGACCCTGGCTAACAAGATAAAACCCCATTTCTACTAAAAATAAAAAAAATTAGCTGGGTGTGGTGGCATGCGCCTGTAGTCCCAGCTACTCGGGAGGCTGAGGCAGGAGAATCTTGAACCTGGGAGGCGTACGTTGCAGTGAGCCGAGATCGCACACTGCACTCCAGCCTGAGCAACAGAGCAAGACTCTGTCTCAAAAAAAAAGGAGCCCCAGTGAACCCTGGACTCCAAATATATTTCTCCTTGTTCCTATTGTGTTGTAGCAACCCAATTTCTCCATGGTAATTTTAACAAGTCTTCTAAGCAAACATAGTAATTGTTTTTCTGCATTTTGTTTCATTGGCAAGATGAGCTTAACATGGCCATCAGTCAATCTCAGCTTCCAGTTTACAGTCAAGCATAACAATGTTTCCTGATGAAAGCGTTCATCCTTGGATACTAGGGCATCTGAACGCATTGAGATAAAAATCATGAAAATGTAAATAACAAGGCCTCCTCCATCCTATTTCTTTATTCCTGGATCAGCTCACCTTGGTTATGAAAAAGTTAATAAGAAACTCAGTTCTGAATTTTTGGGTCTCATTACTGCAAGGTGGATCCCTAGAAGGATCTAGTTATTTTTTATTTGATTTTTTTTCTTGTAGGAAATTATATAAGTAGACTGGGTTTTATGTATATTGAGTTTGAAAAAGGATATCTAGATAGAAAAGTATAGCACATAGTAATATAGGTAACTGAAGCTCTCAAGACTAGACAGATATCTAAGTACAGATTTACAATTTGTCTACAAGGATGAAAATAATCTAATCAGAGAAAATCAGATATCTCGATAAAATAAAATAAAGTAAATGAAAAGTTGACCAAAGGGACTTGTAACATAATCATGTTTAAGTTTTAGGGGAAGGGAAAAGAGCTAACAAAATAGGCAGTGGAGTAATCTGAAAGATGGAAGAATCAAGAAGATGGAGTGTAAAGCCAATCAGAAAAACAGGATTATCATTGAGGATGTGATCATGTGATATACTGTAGAAAAAAAGACATGAGATATCCTTGGGCTTGTTCTTTTGGAGTTCATTCAGGATCTTGACAAGAGAGGTTTTGCTACATCACCTCAACAGAAAACCTCTAGGTTTTAATAAAAAGTGTACATGGTAAGGCATTAAGTGAAACTATGGAAGTAGTAAAAATAATATTCTTTTAAAACTTGAGTAGTTAAAAAGAGAGTTGATTGTAAGAATATTATTTTTCTAAGCCAAATGAAGTTTTGTACCATCCAGACTGAAAAGGCCAACTGATAGCTGAGAAGAAACAATTAAAAATATTAATACAATAAATAAGTATTGATGTATTCTAATGAATTTTCAAGACATCAGTGATGAAGAGGACACGTTGGAAAACTGTCAAAACAAAACAAAGAATGTTTTGTATGATAAGCACAAGCAGCACATTAATTTCAGACTGTAATTTGCAATAATCAATACTTGAAAATACATGTCTAAGGAAAAATAATAAATTTATATCTAATCCATGCATAATTCAAATAAGAAAATAAAATTAATGTTTTCTAACATTCAAGGAGTGGGAAAGCTTACACATTTTTAATATTATTATTTTTGTGGTGACGCGGAATCCTTTGAGCAGCCATTTATGTTTGGAGAAAGTCTCATAAGTTCTTCTTTTCTAATGGGAAAGTTGATATTTACTCTCCACTTTTCCCTTTATTCTGGAGACTGGAAACATGTGATTTCGGAACTGCCAAGCAAATAGAGTCGGTGATATTTTAATTAAGAAATAAGCAACTTGAAAAATAAAGCACTGAAAAGTCTCAATCTTTAGATGATGTAACACTGGAGGCCTTTTAAAGGCAGCAGTTGCAAAGCTTCTGAACACGTTAATGTATTGTATTGTGTGTAAACAACAGTTGTGTGCTCACTAAATCAGCTTTTGAATTTGAACTCCTGACTGTATCACAGATTTCTGGGATATCCTTCAACAAATAATCTGTATTCTTAAACTAACCAGAGTGTATAGTGTTGTGGCAAGTATTAAAACTGATATAGTATTTGGTGCCACATTGAGGCAACAGAAAATGGAAATCTTTCAGTAAGGTTGTAGCTAATAGTACAAAAAGATGTTACTCGAGCAGCCCACCGTGTTTAGAGGCTGAATGGTAATAAAATTAGTGCATTTGATCAAGAATCATAAAACTCCCAGTGAAGGCAAAGCTTTGAGGCATCCAGTAGCCACTGGCACCAAACAGTATGATGAGCATGAAGAACTGAAAGAAGGTAGAATGGCTTGTGGCTTCTAATTACACTGTGAAGTTAAACAAAATTTCAAAATCCTTGGCTCAATATATGTTAAGAGATCTGGGAGAAAAAAAAATCTGTGATTTCTTATAGGTTAAGATAACATAAAATTTGATTCAATGGCTTTCTAATTTATGACAATTTTTGTTGGGAATTTTTTTCTAATATGAAAATTAGAACATAAGTTTGAAAATATAGAGTACTATATTGTAAGGGAAAACTATCGGATGCTTTTGATGGCTCAAAGAACCTAAAAAAAAAAAACCTGATGTTTTATTAAACAGCTCTTGTGGTACAGTGGGAAGAGATAAAGTTGGAAACTGTATGACATTGATTTCTATGAGTAATGAAATATAAAATATTGTGATGAGAAGTGTCAAATTGAAGTCCATGAAGTCCTCTCTTTATAGAAAATCCAAAGTTTTCTCACATTCTGAATAAATCAAAGACATTAACGCAATATTTAGGACTTGACCAATTTTGGAGACATCCTCATGACACCCAGAGGCATCTTGGTGGCATTAAGAGCTTAGTTATATTCACAATAGCAAAGACTTGGAACCAACCCAAATGTCCAACAATGATAGACTGGATTAAGAAAATGTGGCACATATACACCATGGAATACTATGCAGCCATAAAAAATGATGAGTTCATGTCCTTTGTAGGGACATGGATGAAATTGGAAATCATCATTCTCAGTAAACTATCGCAAGAACAAAAAACCAAACACCAAATATTCTCACTCATAGGTGGGAATTGAACAATGAGATCACTTGGACACAGGAAGGGGAACATCACACTCTGGGGACTGTTGTGGGGTGGGGGGAGGGGGGAGGGATAGCATTGGGAGATATACCTAATGCTAGATGACGAGTTAGTGGGTGCAGCACACCAGCATGGCACATGTATACGTATGTAACTAACCTGCACAATGTGCACATGTACCCTAAAACTTAAAGTATAATAATAAATAAATAAATAAATAAATAAAAAATGCAGGAAAAAAAAGAGCTTAGTTAAGGGAAACAGACACACTAATTCAAATTTTAAGTCTACCACTTACTATTTGCATTTTCTAGGACAATTTTTTTTTTAATTTTCTATACCTGCATTTTCTTATTTGTAAATGCAAAGAAAAAGTACTGTCTACCTGCTAGAGTGATTTATTGTAAGCATTAAATGAGATAATTGCAAAGTCTTAGAACAGAGTTTGAAATAATGTGTGTGTTAAAATTAAAAGATATGTTTGGCCAGTCTGGAATTCAAATAGACTTCGAAAAATGACAATAATTTATTGCACGTGAAGTTGCTTGTTAAATTCAGCGTTTCATTTGCTGTGCCAGATTGGCCACTTTATTGGAGGAAATAAACAAGAGAAAAAAAAGCCTTTGGTACCTATTATTTCATTCTTGAGCTGTCAAGGGATTTATCTCCTGTATTTCAAAAACCTGGAAAACTAAAGGAGCCATTGTCATTCACTTGGCACATGAAGCAATACACTTTCATTACCTGAACTTAGGTCGGTATCATTTTTATTTATATTTCATAGATATTGGTATCTTTTCATGTAACAGGATAAAAACCCATCCATTATAATGATGCTAAGATAATAATAGTGCTGTCTTACTGAAGAATAGGTGTCCTGTATTTCTTGCAAAAATCAAATTACTGTAGGTAGGTGAGAGAGAAGTTGGTTAAAATAATACATGTTATCTTAAGTACATTATAATGTAAAAAATGCATTTTCCATTCTTGTTTTAATTATATTTTGACAGATATAATTGATTTTTTGTGCATTTATTCTGCTTTGTTAATTTAATCTATCAGATGGACTCTGCCTTTTAATGCTATAAATTAACTCATTTATATTGTTGTTAAAATTGAAATGATTTTTATGCTTAAAATATTTGTGTATTTTATAATTTATAACTTCCTATATTTTTAAACTTTACTCCAGTTTAATTATTTTTCCTTTGTTCATCATTTGTTTTAGCCTGTGTTTTGAAAAGCACTGAACATATTGTTCAGGTAACACATTAGTGTATTGTTGCAAAGAGCAGATCCTACACTTCCTCCTCTATCACAATGAAGCTGACACTCTTTATTGAATACTCCTGCTAGATCTGCAACCTATTTGATGGTTCTCTGTGGAAATTGATGCTATTTCCTCATTCCTGCTACCTCCACTGGATTAAATTCTCTATGATCTCTATTGATTCAATAAAAATCTACAGGAGGTTTATATAATTAATGGAATTTACAACCATGCTTTCAGTTCAAAGGATTTGGGGTTTTTAGCATTTATGATAAGACTTCTGCCTCATAAGACGGGAGGTGCTCCAAAAGTAGGAGAGAGGTTCAGCGGTTCTGTTGCTGGATGACTAAGAAATTGGCAAATATCTTTCAGTATCCCCTTTTTTGGCTGTACATTATCATAAAAAGGGAGGGGGGCCAAACCCCCTCACAACTTTATTTATGACTGATATTAAAAAATATATGTAACTATTTTCCCCAAAGAAAAACCCTATGTCTCTTCAACCTTTGCATATCAAATTCTGAGCCCTTTAAGTGATATACTTTCCTCTTGCTTTGTTTTTCATGATTTTCCATAGATATTCTGTAATCCATGGACTAAATGTTAAAGCAAACGAAAGCCAATACATTCCTATATAAAATGGTGTAGGAGAAGAAAATTAAGAAATAATAAAAATACATGATTTCCATCTCATAGCAAGTGAAGACATGCCAGTTAATGATATATATCCAATTCTACAATTAATACTGATTCTATTGTTACTATTTATAAAGGATCAAAAATAATTTGTGTTAATTTCCTCAGTGGTCACAAAAGGAGATTCTAGATTCTGAAAACTAGAGAAAAATAAATTGTAATATACCTTCAGAAATTTTTGAAGTTACTACAAAAGAATAAAAATTTATTTTAAAATTTTACTTTATTACTTGAAGAAGTGGAAAAATAAAGCAAAAAAGTCAAAGAAAGGCAAGGAAATATAAAAGTCATAAGAATAAGTATATCAGTATAATAATGTAAAAGGGCTAGATTTCTGAATCATAAAAATTAAGGATATGCATGGTAGTTTGGAAAAGCACATAATATATATTATCCTGGGAACAGTGCATAAAATACTTTTTCAATACATCTCAAAGAAAAACAAAGATGCCTACTTATTAAAGTCATAACAATAAGATTTAATATAAAACATTTTAGATGGGGCAAAATGTTCATCTTACATTGATAAAATGTAAACCCATAAAGACATAACAAGTATAAACCTCAATATTTTTATTTTAAGCAAAATATTTGGTAATATTTCCACTGAACCGTTTGTTTTCAGGGAACTTTCAGCTCCTCCTATCCCACCACTGATCTTATTTTCACCGTTAGCATTCTTTGGAAGCTCAACTCTCTGCAGAATGGTATTGGTTCAATATTCTATCAAAATTTATACTCTTTATACATTTTTTATTCTTCTAGCCAGTTTATTTCAAATTTACAACTCTCTTAATGTCCTCATGTACTTTTGAGGCAGGATATTTCCCTGACCCCTTCACAGAACTCACAACGGGGTGCCTCATTTACTCAGCTCACAGTTCTCAACTCCTTGAGAGAGGGAGCGCACAGGCGAATGAGGTGGGAATTGGAGTGCAGGAGTGCTGGAACTAGCCAGATACTTCGGCACTGTTTAGGGGCAAACTCCACTATGGGACTCACTGCATTTCACCCCTCCAGGGAGGGAGCACAGAGATGAGTTGGTGCGGAAGCTGGGGTGAGCACTTTTGGGCACCAGCAGGAGGAAACTCCATGCGGACTCTGTGGCAGCATCTTGTAGTGGATGCCCAGGACCCCTGAAGCCCTAGAGGGAGAGTTACAGTGCTCTTTTAGCTCTGCCTTCCGTGTACACCTTAAATGTTAAAAGCTCAGTGGGCCCTTTTGTCTCTGCACTCGTGGCTCCTGAGCTCTTGTCGGGCATCCATGAAAAACGAGGTCACATGAATGAACTGAAGAATGGTAAATGCGGGAGATTTTACTGCTGATGGAAGTGGCTGTCAGTGGGAAGGGGGACTAAAAAGGGGATGGGACAGGAAGGTAATCTCACCCTGACGTCCGCCCATCTGGCCGAATTCCTCTCTGAGGTTGCTGTAAAGCTGTTACTCTGACGTCAAGCAGCTTCTCTCTGAGCTCCAGCTGTAGTCTCTGACATAACAGCTGCTTCTCCTCTCTGCTGGCTGAGTCTGAGGTCTTTATATCCACAAGATGGGGCAAGGCGGGTCATGGGTAGTTTAGGTAAAGGCAGCATTTGATTGGGAAAACAGGTATAGAAATGCTCAGTTTGGGCTGCGGTCTCAGGCTTTTCAGCTTGAGAGTGGCACTTTTGCAGGGACTGGCCCCCATCAGCCAATAATTTCTCTGCCCCTGTCCCTATCACTTTTATTTTATACTTTTTTCCTCGTGTATTTTTAAAGTTTATATTTTTATCTCCAGTATTGTTATAAGTTTTAGGCATTAAGTAAGAATAATATGAATGCTAATAATGATAAAATTATAACCATGTAGACAATATTGATGAAGGTAGTAATGATGGCAGTATAAAGACATACAATCAAACAGTAAAAATGAAGGCCTGTTTTTGAAAGGAAATAAAATATTTCTGGTTCTAAGACAATATATCCCAGAAAATTTTGCTATTTTTGTTTATAGCTTATGCCCCCATTCTTTTTCTCTTGTTTTCTTTTATTACCTGCAGTTATATTTGATTAATTTAATTGTATACTGGCTTATTTTCTATTCATCTCTACTGTGATGTTTGGAATTTGAAAGTTGGAATAATTTTTAAATGAACTTCCCTTCATTCTACGTGCAAATATTTCGCAGAGTAGCTCTTGCTTTTCTTGTGCCCTAACTTCTTTGAAATAGATTCACTCACAAGAGATGAATAATAAAACCCTTCAAATAATTATTTGTAGCATTGATTATTGATGGTAAATGTTTATAACTTCAGGCTCTCTAGTGCTTCAAAGCAAAGACTATCTTGGTTTGCTGATTGGAAGCTTATAAAACTGTTTTAGTTGGACATGGTTATGTCTTAGGTTTTCTCAGTCTCATGCAAACAGTACAAGCTTTCAGTAGGCTGTACTGCTTCTGCATATTAAAGTTTTTTATTACATATTGATACTTTAGTTGCATCCTCAGAGTTTGACTTCATTGCCAAGTCCTGGAGATCAGTTCTCTAGCTTTCTATAGAAAGATTACTGAAGCCTATAGCTGTATTTCTCTAAGATTAACTAGTTACTCAAGACATTTTTGGTGCTCGCAATGTGTAAGCTCTCCTCCCATTAACACATCCGAGATCTTATTTAATTGCATAGCCATAGGCATGATGAGAGAGAAACCGTCTTTGAAAAGCACATCTGCTTTTAAATAAGGAAAATATCTTATTCTTGGTGCTTTTTTCCTCGCATTTTCTATCTCTAGGGTGGAATATCACCATTTTTAGAAGAGAACTCTAAAGAGAGAGCTTGCATATGCATATGGTATTCAGTGTGACATTAGCAGGTGCAACATTGCTTTAAAGACAGCAGTTAGGCATTTTTTAAATGAATGTAAAAAGCTTAGGGAACTCCAATCCATTTGATTTAAGCTAAAGGATAGTTTCCACTTGGGTTATTCTTCCATATTCAAAACATTTTGTAACTTTATCTCTTTCTTCCTTTAATGATACAAAAATAGGCCATTAATATCATAGGCTATATAAAGACACACATCAACTTATATCACTTTAGGACGATATAAGACTGTGAGGTACTTGAATGATTTTCTGGGAACCTGTTTATAGCCTACCTGCTATGGTTGGAATTTCAATCCCCTACATTCTCGTCATTAAAATGTTGGCATAACGGCTCTGAAAAAGACAGGAAATACTAGTTTTCTGTCTAAAGTTTAAAAATATAAGTTCAAGGCCCAATCTTGATTTTCTTATAGCACTAGTCCTGATTGATTCATTTATTTAGCCCATCACTTGTTATGTTGGTCAGTAATGTGTGACATGCTTCATTAATATTATTTGTCTAAAATAATCCCAGAGATAAGTATTAATATCTGACATTTTCATGATTTTCCATAGATATTCTGTACTTCTTATTTTGTACATTATCATTATGAATCATTGGAAATTCCAAGATTGATCACATATGACTCCCAGCACACTCTTGGAATGTTAAGAGGCTTAAAAATTCAAAAAGAAAACTAAACATCTTGATATATAGTTACAAATATAAAGTGGGAATCAGTGAGCATCAAAGCAGCAATATAAAGTATTATGTGAATTGAAAGGGGACATGTTTTAAAACTTTAAGATAACTATGACTGTCATACACTTGAATACAAAACAATGTATCTTTTTTCAGTAATTACATATCATGTGTGTTAGGGTTGAATTTCAACTAGAAGGCAAATGTGAGGAATTAGTGTCGTGGACTGGGCCAGTAATTCTGTGTAACTCAAGTGCTTGTCTATTTACTGCTTGTTATGTTGGTCAGTAATGTGTGACGTGCTTCATTAATATTATTTGTCTAAAATAATCCCAGAGATAAGTATTAATATCTGACATTTACTCATCAGGAAGATGAGTTACAGAGAGAGAACCCTACCTCCCCAAAGTAGTACAGTTCTAGTACAGAGCTCTATGCAGGAGAGGTATATATCACATCCCAGCTTTATTACTTATTTTTGTATAATGTGTGGCAAGTACTTAAACTTTCTGTAACTCAGATCTTTTATCTGTTAACGATGTATACCATTTGTACTTCTGAAAGTAAGCCCAATAACCATGTAGTATTGTTTTTATATATTGCTGTACTTTGTTAATGTTCATGAAAATTATTTTTTATTTACTGTCTTCATTTCTACATCTATTTGTCTTTATTATCTGGCAGTTTCTCTGTGATGTGTCTGGGTAAAATATTCTTCCTTTTTTTCCCTTCCTTTCCTTCTTCTTCCCTGTCTCTTTCTTCCTCTCTTTCTCTCTCTCTTTCCCTCTTTTGTCTCTCTTTTCTCCTGCTTGAGTTCAATGGAGTTCTTTAGTGTGTCAATTTATGTCATTCATAAATTATGCAAGCCCATTACATGGGTGAGTATGAGTTGACTTCTAATTCATTCTAACGTGAGAGTTCTATCAAGCCTGGAACTTAGGGAGAGTTTCCTGTTACTTTTTCTTAACTTTGCAGCCTTTGTACCCCTGTATGTCATCAAATTTAAGATCTTAGTATGCATTGAGAATGCTTACAAGGCAAAGTAGACTTCGGTTTTCTGCTTATCCTTTTACATTTCTTCCTTCAACTAAATGTTGATTTAATAACTCATTATTACATAGGCTCTAAAATAATTTTCTAAATATTTAAAAATGTTTATGCACCATTTTCAGTTATTTGTATAAGGAAAGCTTAATGCTACATATTACCAAAAAGGGAAGTGACATGCAAGATATTATTCTTAGTTGTGCCACACACGTACATCTATTGTTCACCAAATGTATATTTCTTTATCAATTATTTTAAAACACATATTATGTGCAAGGCACTGTTTTGGATATGTGGGTCCCATCAGTGAACAAAAGAAATATTCCTAAGTTCGTAGAGTTTATATTCTACCTTATTTTCTTTTTCTTTTTAAACTAAACTCTATTAGATAATACATTTAGGTAGATAGACTTGAATCCACAGGCAAACACATTAACTATAGTAAGCATTAATTTATAAATATGAAATATGAATTTTGAAAATATGACCTATATGAAAAATGAAAAATAATTTTTCTACCTATTATTGCTTTTTAAGTTTTGTGTAAATATCAGTATACAATCAAATGAGGATTCCAAGTTTAGCTTAGCCATAGTATAATTAATTGATTAATTTAGCTTGCTGAATATTTTTTATTTTTAGGCCAGAAAAATAATTTGATAAAATAGTTTAGGTACAATTTCTGTTAAGATCTGATATTTTCCCAAATCCAAGCTCTTCTTAACACATACAGTATCTTATTTTTCTTTCTCTTCCCTGGAGGCCTGCCAGGATATTTGATATGGAGCTATAATTAAATCTTTTCATTGTTCATGTATTATTCTTTTTTCTATATTTCTGATTTTTAACTGTTCTTTCTCTCCATCTTGTATTTTTTTTCTTTCCTTGACAACAACATTTTAAATAATTATTGGTTGTGGCTATTTGGCCAGGCTAGCGCTTTCTATTTGTTCTTGTATCTTTTTCACTACAATTGATTTTTAACTAGTCAAAGATAAACTGTGACTTCCAACTGTTCTGTGGCTCTAGTTGTTGTAATTCCTTTTTTGAAGTGGCTGAGTGAGCAGGAGATGACTCAAATCATGGGTAGGAAGCAAGTGATTTGTTCCCTCCTGATGCTTTGATTCAGTATTTGGCAAATTCTAGAGATGTTGAGGTATTTCTAGTTGCCTCATTCTTCTACTTCCTCTAAATTGTTCCAGCACTTATGATCAATCAGAACTTCATAGAAATACTCATCTTTTTTCGCAGCTCATTGATAAGAAGCAAGTTGAAAAATCTAGCACTATAGTTGAGACACAAAGGTCGAAGACAAATGTTACTCAAGATAATTTTATCTTCTAACTTAAAGATGATCTGAGGACATATCATTTACAGCAAGCTTTTAGAAGAATTATTTATTAGATAATTAACCACTGTTTTTCATTATCTAAAGTAATATTGTACAGGGAAAACAATTTGATCCAGTGTCAGGAAGCCTGAGGCTTGTTCCAGCATTTATGATCAATCAGAACTCTAAAGGGACTCTCAGTCTTACTAATACATGATTGCATAATTTTAGGCAACTGATGCATAAAATCTAGGTCTAATTTTGATCATGCATTGAATGAAGGGATCAAACTCAATGCCTTCTACGATCCTTTAGAGTATCCTTTGATTAACTAATAGTAGAATTTACTGTCTTATTTTGACATGCGGTCATATGAACTTTGTTACATGAATAGATTTGTGTACCCATCAACATAATCAGGACACAGAACAATTTTTTCAGCCGAAGAAAGTCCTCATGCTACTCTTCTATAGGCACACCATCTGCCTAGCCCCAGTCCATGGCAGTAAATGATCTGATCTCCATCTTTATAGTTCAGTCTCTTAGAAAATGTCACGCATATTGAGTCACATAGCATGGAACCTTTGAAGACTGGTTTTATTCACTTAACATAATGCACCTGAAATTCATCCAAGTTATTGTGTGAACCATAAATTCGTTCATTTTCATTCTCTGAGTAGTATCCTATTTCCTAGATGTACCAGAATTTTTTCATTAATTCATTTGCTAAAGGGCATTTTGGTTGTTTCAGCTTAGGGAAATTATAAATAGAAATTTGATAAACACTCTTGTGCAGGTTTTTATTTAAAATCACTTTTCATTTCTCTAAGATAGAGCCCTAGTAGTGAGATTGCTGGGTAATATGATATGTGTACATTTAACTTTATAAGAAAATGCCAAATCAATTTCTACAATGGCTGTGTCACTTTTCAGTAACACCAAAAACATGCATGATCCAGTGCCTTTTTTTTTTTTTTCATCCTCATCAGCTTTTGGTATTGTCAGCATTTCTAAGGCTTCCTGTTGTAATAGTCACATAGTGGTGTCTCTCATGGGTTCAGTAGAATTTTCTTAATGGTTAATGATGCTGAGTGTCTTCTCATGTGTTTGTCATCTGTATATTCTTTTTAGTGAAATATCTGTCTATGGTTTTTGCCAATTTTCTAATTGGGTTTTTTTTCATTACTGCTGATATGTTTTACTATAAAAAACATATTTTATATATTTACATATATAATACATCCACTATCAGATATGCAGTTTGAACATATTTTATTCTAGAGTATTTAAAAATTTAAAAACCTTTTCAAAATTTGTTTAACAATATATTTTTTTCGGGGTAATTTTTTAAGTGTTGATGACATTTATGTGTAGACTTTCTTTTATGGATGTTTTTGATGTCATGTTTAAGTACTCTTTGTCCTTCCCAAACTCATAAGGATTTTCTCCTATGTTTTCTTCTAGAAGTTTCACAGTTTCATGAAAATATTTTACATTTAGATCTAAGACATATTTTGAGTTTGTTTTTAATTTGGCTTGTGGTTTAGGTTGAAGTTCTTTTATATTTTATTTTATTTCCATATATATGTGTAATTGCTTCAAAATAACTTATTGAAAAGATTTTTTTTCTCCTTTGTTTTTGTATCTTTGTTAAATATTTATTGACCACTTCGTGTGGATCTATTTCTGGAATCTACATTTTGTTCTGTTAATCTATGTATGTGTGCCTTTAGCAATATCACATTGCCTTCATTCTGATGGTTTTATCATAAGTTTAAAAATTGTTAGCATTATGCTCCAATTTATTTTTGTTTTTTTTACACTGGTATTAGCTATTCTAGTTCCTGTGCCTGCTTAGGTTATTAATATTGTACAAATTGTATATTTGTTTTATTTGTTGAATCATGTTTCTACTTTGAGTATTTCTCTATTTTAGCTATATTTAAACATGCCATTATCTTCTTGGGTGAATTTTAACGCTAAAAAATATTAGAGTTTCACTACAAAAGAGCACAAAGTAACAAATTATCACTATAGTAGAGGTCAAAATATGTCTCATATACGGTTCTTTAAGTTTGCTCTAAAAGAGAATAATTTTTAGCGAATGCTACTATGTGAGCATTTAACTTTGAGTATTTGTTCAATTCTCTACCCTGGGGGAAGTATGGATGGATAAGTTTAATTTTTAGATGTAAATAAACATCTTTTTACTTCTTATTCTATTAAACTCTTCTGCAGTATTGACTGTATTTTATTATTTATTCATTTATTCACATAGATTTTTAGTGTTATGTGCTATTCACTGTGATGAGTAAGAGAGCATCTCTTTTTGAAAATCATTTTATTCTTTATATTTCTTTCCCAGGTGTCACCTTGAATGAGTCAGCTTATTTTTCTCAATGTGTGCCTGAACATTCTCACCTTACCTCTCTGACCAACTCACATCTATGAGAATGACTCAAACCCAACTCTGTGATATAATATCGACCTTTCTCCTAAATTCTAGTTTCACATTTCTGACTGTCAAACTGTCATCTGTTTGGATGTTTCAGGAGCTACTCAATTCAACGTTTCCTATCTTAAAACCTTCTGTTCATTCAAATTAGTATATCACCCATTTTATCTTTTCCATGCTACCAACATTTTCAAAGTAGCTAAACCTTAGCCAATCTCTACTACACTTTTTTCCTCAGTATATTCCATAAATTGCAAGGTATAGCTGATTCAGTGTATGCAATGTCTTTATTATCTATCTCCTCCTTTTATTTCTACCACCACTGGCACCCTTTGGGTCAAGACCTGATTAAAAAAAATGACGAAAAAAGGATTTATAATGGGAGTATATTCTAAAAATATTGAATTTTTTCAGTATTCAGAATAAAAGTCTGTGGATATTTATAGAATATTAATTATACCATAAACTGAAATTCATTTAAGAATATACAGAAATCCAGTGTCCATGTGAGTAATAGGGTATAGTATAGTTCATCTGAAAGAAATTTCTGGATTATTGATCACTAAAGGCAGTAAAAAAAAATATTTATGATATAGGTAAATTTAGTTGGAGTTAAATGCTGAATAAAGAAGGAGTTTATAGGATTCTCAGACCTACTGAGTGCACCTTGGACAACTTAGATAATGAGGACATGAAGTTGTTGGCCGATGTGTTTCTACTAATCCCAATAAGTCTAGCAAAGCTGCATAAAACTTTTCTTTGTAGTCTATTTTACCGGTATCTGAAGTAAAATAAATGAGGTAGCTTGATCGTTAACATGTGAGCCAATAAAGTGGATGGGAAACAGATGACTGCCAAGTTAAAGCCAAGTTAGCAATCATGTATAAATTTATGTAAGCCTAAAAGATCAGTAGGAAAACCATTTATTCAATTATCTAATGTAATCTGAGTTTTCATACTGATCTTTTAGTGGTGAGATATAAAGCAGACTTTGAATGTCAGGAATTTAAAATAAATACTGGAGTAAGTCAAATAAGGACATAATTTTGATAGAGCATAGTGCTGTGCTATATGGATTAAATAATAAAAAGGGTTTTCTAACCCAGAATACTAAAGAAAGGAAAGCCTCTGTAAAAGAAGACCGTGAATCTTGGCTTGGATGAATGAGATAGCAAAGAAAAAAAAATAGAAAAGGCATCCAAGTTAGCAAAAGATGAATAAAGTTAGAGGGTACTGCATGTTTCGTTTGTAATGTGTACCATTTGAACCCGGAACAGTTATACAGTCTTGTTTCTTTTTTGCCTCCCTTCCTATCAATCCCTTGGCTAACCCAAGAAATAATCCAGCGTGAGAAATAAACTACCCTTCTCTGATTAACAATTTGTCCTATGCAGACTAGGAATATGAGCAAGAGCTAATTATTGAATAGGAAGCAGATTTATTTTGGGGAAAACAGAATGGCAATCATAAATACCTGGAAACGGGAAAGATAGTATATTGCATCTTTTGTGAATATCAAAGAAACCCTGAAGCATAGAGTCTAAAGAAAAGAAGGAAAGCGGTACAAATGGAATAATAAGTAGTATATTCAAGTGCCTGGACAGGACACTATAAAGCTTTTGTATTGTCTTGAAGAATATGACTAGAATCATATTTTAGAGGGCAGAAAAAGAACCACATATACAATGCCAGGAGGTGAGACAGAGCATGGCACTTTCGAAGAACTACAAAAATTTTTATAGCTTGATACCCTGAGTGCCTGAGTGCTGGTAAATGAGGCTGCAGCAGAAAGTAAAGGCTACCTAAAGCCTCTCTGTATGCTATGCCAATTAATTTGCAACTACTGACAATTTTCAAGCAAAGGAAAGAGGATTCTGAACATTTTGAGCCACATTTAGTATTAATTCATACCTACTTCTTTATAAGTAATGAGTTGTTCAATTATAATGGCTGCTAGAATCTGTTAGAATCAATCTGATTATGTCATTATTTTTATGAATTGTACTTATTGGAGAAATTCCCTATAAATGTATTCACTCTGTTTTCTTTTTACAGTATTATATGAGTCATAACATAGGTTTGAATACAAGTTTCTTTTATACAGTCTTTACAAAAACATTTAACTTAATATTCACAAGGAAGTTGGTAGGATGGATACTTTAATCCCATTTTACAGGTGTAAAAACTGTGACATATTTTAAATACTATGCTTACTATCACAAGGGTAGTCAGTGATACTGCCAAATCCAAATTTTGCCTTGTGGATAGTTTTCATGAGAGCCTACCATGTTTTAAAGATACTCTGGAATTTCTACTTCAGTGATTTGAAATATTAAATGAAGAATCTGGACTTAATTCTACCAAAACAAAAGATTAACTAATCTAGTGGAATCCTCAAACCTAATTGTTCTGATAATATTTTATGACTCTGAACTTTGCTCCTTGGCTATAGTTCTATTTAAAGAGAAGTAAATAGAACTTTTTACATTAACTGCAACATAATTTACTGTAGTGCTCAACAACACTTGCACATGAAATATTTTAATTTTTGTTTGTGTGTATCTACAGCTATCTATATCTATCTATCTATCTATCTATCTATCTATCTATCTATCTATCTGGTTGTATGCCCTGAAACTAAAATCTTTTCCTGGATATTAAGAAGTCTTTCGTAGTACTTATACACAGAAACTGTGAAAGTTGTATGTATACAAATTATGTGTGATTTTCAAATTTTGACCACTGTTGGCTTTCCTATTTAGTTCAATTCCATTACTACTTTTAAAAATATTTTAATTTCATCACTTTTCTTGCTTTTTTATTGTCTTTGAGAATGACTTTATTGCTTTTGTTGAGGGATGTTTCTTTTTCTCAGATTGATTTCAATAAGCATATTTTAAAGATTAATATGTTTTAATGTTATATATTTTTGCTACTCATTATTGCTATCTTAGGAATTTTATTTGCTGTTCGTTACAGAATCTTATTTATCTTTCCTTCCAAAAAATGTACATGACATGGACCTCTTAAGAAGGTATGCTACCCATACAATGTGTTTATAGTGTGTATTCTTTGACTTCCATTAGCTAAGCCTTTTTGCCAGAATGTAACTGTATTATCCAATTTAAAGAACCACTTCATGCCTGCCATTTCTCCCATTATTTCTGTGTAAGTTGGCGGATGAGAATATTTTCTTTGGATATTTTATCCAGCAACTTTGGATGCATGCAGATCTTAAATTATCATCTGTTTTATAAACAATTACCACTGAGAGAATCCAGGCAGCAGTCATTTGCCCCTGACATATAATGCCATTTGTCTACTGGTTAGATTACACCTCAGTTTGGTCAAGTTTTCAATAATATTAATGTTTTTCTAATTGCTTGTATCAGTGACCTCATATGTTCTATTGATTCCAAGAAGTAATAACTTAGAGATAACTCAATGTCTTCAACTATGCAATAAATAATATATGATGTATTGGACATATACACTATATTTCAGAGTATAAAATATGCTATCACATTAGTCATATCCTAGGCAAGACTCTAGCCTTGTTAAAAAAAAAACAAATAAATAACATGAAATAGTAAGACAGAACATAATAAATAATAGTTTACTGATATAGATTGATGAACTTTAATATTAAATACATTGCAATATTTTACAGTACTAGTACCCAATAGTTATATTGGTAGATGAGTAGTAGTGAATTGTTTTAAATTAAAGAATCATGAGACAACAGTATATGCAAAGATAGATTGATTAGGGTAGGATTGCTCAGGTTAACAAAGCAAGGGTCAGGGTAGTGGAAATAAGTACCAGTAATAGATTAAATATTTTAAAAAGAAGAAAATAAATATATATTATCTAAAGTTAATGAGAAATGAATTTCAATATAAAAGCTGTAGGTCACTTCAAAGACTATTATATCATATAGTCTCCATTCTAGACTGAAGTTACATAAGAGAATAAATCAAATAGATAATGTAATCTGTATAAAAGTTCTTGCTAACACATCTGACTTATACTCCAGAAGCATATGAATTTTCTTTTTATCTCTTACCACCCCAAGCCCACTCTTTTTATTACAATTTTGGACATGTTTAAAAAGTCAGTGAGTCGACATGAAGTTAAAATTTCTATATAAATATCTAATGTCACCAAAGGTCTTAAATACTTTAATAATCATGTAACTAATATTTTACAATAAACCTATCTGGTCTGAATTATGTATATTAAGCTAAGTATAGAGTTTTAAACAATTTGGTGAATTTTCTGCAATAATTTTCATGCATATAATAAAAATAACCAGTAAAATGTATAGAAAATTAAGAAACACATAACATGTGCTTGCTATGGTTTAAATAACCCCTTCAGAACTTACATTGAAATTTAATTGTCATTATGATGGTATTTAGAAGTGAAACTTTTAAGACATCATTAAGTCATGAATGCTCTGCCTTCAAAAATGGATTAATGCTGATATTTATGGGAGTGGGTTATTGAGGGAATGGGTTCCTGATAAAAGGAAAAAGGATAAAGTCTGCCCAATTTCCTCTTTCTGTCTCATGCATTCATTTGTCTTTCTGCTTTTCCTGATGGGATGACACATTAAAAAGGCCCTCATCAGATGACGGAGCAGATGCTGGTGTCATGCCCTTGCATTTCCTAGGCTCCAGAACTGTTAGCCAAGTAAATATTTTTTTCTTTACAAATTATCTAATCTGTCATATTATGTTAGAGAAGCAGAAAATGGACTAAGACAATACTGCCTTACCATCTTTACCCCAAATTGAAACATGTTCAAAAGATTGAAATAATGAGATAAAATAGAAAGTCTGAGTTCTAGGGAAATAATATTTGATCTCTGGAAAGATCAATTTTAAAATTACATTGATATCTTTTATGTGATGTTTAAGTGACAAGTAAATTGAAGCAAAGTGAACTGACTTTTAATTAATGGGGCTTCGATAACTTGCAGGACAAGAATATAATCATGTGGCTGGGTGCGGTGGCTCACGCCCATAATCCCAGCACTTTGGGAGGCCGAGGCGGGCGGATCATGAGGACAGGAGATCAAGACCACGGTGAAACCCCGTCTCTACTAAAAATACAAAAAAAAATTAGCTGGGCGCGGTGGTGGGCACCTATAGTCCCAGCTACTCAGGAGGCTGAGGCAGGAGAATGGTGTGAATCCGGGGGCGGAGCTTGCCCTGAGCCGAGATCGCGCCACTGCACTCCAGCCTGGGCGACAGAGCGAGACTCCGTCTCAAAAAAAAAAAAAAAAGAATCATGTAATTCAAAATATTTTATCACATAATCAATATTTCTTGTTGATGTTAGTATATCTATTAATGTTCTTAAGCTTGGAATTTGAAAATTTACAAATGAGAAATACTAGTAAAAGAGTAAGGATATTGAAAAATTTACACCTCAGTAAAACCAGTGAGAACACTTGGTAAACTTCGTCAAAATCAATGTTTTCAGAACTCTCAAATTAACCAAAGGATTTCCACAATTTGTAGAGTTATTTTACTAAAAACAAAAACAAACAAATAAAAAACCAAAAAACCTGAACCTTGGTAAAAAACTGAGCTTGGTGGCTTTTTAACTTGCCCCAATCCCATGCCCCTATCCTCAGCTTCAATTGGCATTGAAAAGCAGCAGCCTCATAAACATAGTAGTTATGAAAACTATTAATAGCAACCTAACAGTTACAGAGGAGGGGAGAAAAGTTTAGAGGTCCCCCAGAGCCCCATACACTGAGGATTGTCACTAATGGACCAGTCTCACAGTTCACTGGAAAAGCTACGCTCACAGGACTTGTCTTATTTGACCTGCTACTGAGCTCAATTATTGATAAGTCTTATCATCACCAGGGGTTTGTTTAAAACAATCAGTGGGGGTAAAGTGTACAGGTTGGGGCAAAGAAAGAGTGGCCAGAAAATTAAGAGAAAAATATGGAGATTGAGATGTCCATAGGGCGATTTGAAAAGCTCCAAAATATTCCTGAGTATCTAGAAGGCCATGCTAATAGGCAGGGCTGTGAAAGTGTCCTGGAAAGTCTTGAGGAGATCCCAATCTATCATTTCTGGTTGACTTTGAGGCGCTGTACAAAAAGTAAATGAAGGCTAAGACAGAGATTTAAACTGCTAGAACATTAAAGGCTTGCCGTACCACACACATACAAAGCCCCATAGTAACAAGTGAAAGATATATTAGTTCAAGATATTTAAGAACACTTTAATATAATCTGTAGCTGACCACTGAGCCAACAGAGAAGAGACTTCCATGGCTGGACACAACATGTAATACAGACTCTAGAGAATTAATTCTGGAAAGTGACTAATCAAACAAATAGCAACAGTGACAACAGCAGCAAAAACTAGCAACACCACCAATCCTGGGTGGAAAGGAATCTCATTTCCATGGTTGTCACCTTATGTTCTTTAAAATGCCCACTTCTTAAAAACAATTATGAGATACACAAAGAAACAGGAAATTATGGCCCCCACTTGAAAAAAAATAATACCTTCCTAGAGAAAACCCAGGTGTTGAACTTGTAATACAGAGGCTTTAAGTCAGTTCTTATATATATGTTCCAAGAGCTAAATAAACTATTTCCAAAGAACAATTCTGAAGTTAAAAAGTACAATCCACTGTAAAGAAAAAATGACAAGGAAGCTCAACAGCAGATTTGATCTGTCAGAGAAGGAAGCATTGAACATGAAGGTGAATCAACTGACATTATTCAATGTAACAATAGACAGAAGAAGAAAAATTAACAGAACCTCAGACATTTGGAAGACATCATCAACCATATTAACATAAATACAATAATAATCTCTGAATAAAAAGCTAGAGAAAAAAAGGTGGAAAGAAAATTTGAAAAAAATACTTCTCAAAGTTGATTTTAAACATTAATGTGTACATCAAAGACCTAGACACATAATAGCCAAATTATTGAAAACCAAAACAAAGAGATAATTTTGAAAATAGCAAGAAAAAAATTATTATTTATGAAGGAACTTTAGTAACAATAATAGCTGACTTTTTATTATAAATATGCAGTCCAAAGGCAATGGGATGGCATATTAAAAGTGCTAATAGAAAAAAGACTGTCAACCAAGAATCATTTTTCTAGCAAAACTATTCTTCAAAAGTTAGGGAGAAATTAATATAGTCCCAGACACACAAAAACTAAGAGAATTCGTAGCTAGCAGACCTGACCTATAAGGGATGTTGAACAGTCTTTCGACCTGAAATTATGGGCCATAGAGAGTAACTTGAATCCACATGAGAGAATAAAGAGTGTTAGTAAAGGTAAATAGATAAGTAAATATAAAAAAATGCAATTAAAAAATCTACTATATATAAAAAGACAACTGCATAAAGCAATAATTACAAAGCTGCTTCTGGGATTTACTGTGTAAAAAACAATGTCATTTTAATGACAATATTCACACAAAGGAGATGAGAGAAAATGGACTTTTTGTATAATATTGAAACTGAGTTGGTATTAATTTTAACTAGATTGTTTTATATTTAGATGTTATGTGTAGGGCAACAGTAAAAAAAAAATAAAGAAAATATTAAGAAATAATTTAAAAGGTGGGTAAAGTTAACTAAATAATGTCTATTTAACACCAAAGAAAGTAGTAAGGGGGATTACAGGAACAAAAACAATATAACGCACATAAACAAAAATAGTAAAATGGAAGATGTAAATCCTACCTCAGAAATTCAATGTAAATGAGTTAAACATTGTAATTAACAGGAAGAGTGTAAAATGGGTTAAAAATAAGATTTGACTATATGTTATCTACAAGAGAGTGACTTTAGGTTTAAAGATACATCAGTATTGTAAACATAAAAAAGATGTATCATACGAACAATGACCATTAAATAAAAAGCCTAAAACCTGGAGAAGCCTTAATTTAGGAAGTGAGCTATAGATATGATAAAGACTGAGTGTTCAAAATGGACATTGTTGAGTGGTGGAATTATGGTTGATATTAAGGTATTCCCTCCATAGTAAACATAATTTATAACTTACAGAAAAAATAAGACCTAAGGTCTAACACCTTTCATGGTTTGAAAGAATGTTTTTGTTTCCCCTCAAATTCTTATGTTGAAATTTGAACTCCCAATGTTATAGTATTAAGAGGAAAAGCCTTCCGTGGGTGATTAAGTCGTGAAAGTAAAGCCCTCTTAATGAAATTAGTTCCCTTAAAAAAAGAGGCCACAGAGAGACCCTTGCCCTTTATTCCATTTGAAGACACAGTGGTAAGGCACTGTCTAGGAACTAGAAAGTGACCCTTACCAGACATGAAATTTGCCAGCATATTATCTTGGACTTTTCAGCCTCCAGAACTGGGAGAATTAAATTTCTGTGGTTTATAAGCTACCCAATGTATGGTATCTTGTTACAGCAACCTGAGTGCTCTAAAATGCCATGAAAATAGGTGTTTGAGGTAAAGAGCCTAACTTATTACTTGAAGCAAGGTCAAGAAAAAAGTCAGGGTGTTAGAAGATCCACTGAGTGGATATAAAAAACATCAATGGTTTTAGCAAGAGAAACTTACGAGAGAGTCAATCCATGCCATAATCTTTATTGAATAAATAAGAGTTTTCAAAAAGAATGTAGATTATAACTAAAAAGAAGAAAGGAAGTGGCATACACTTAGGATATTTATATCAAAAAATTGCTGAGTTTTAGAGACAAGAGATAGTCTGTGGTTTATAAGTGACAAAGAGATACTAAGAAGACACTAACTTTCCCTTATGACTGAATAGTACATTTGATGTGGAAAACACAACCCATATTAAAACAGACACACACACACACACACAAAAACTATGGGAGAAGAAATAGATTTTGGAAATCTTAGGTTTCAGTTATATCTATAAAATGAAGGAAATATGCCAGTGAACATTTGATATAGAAGAGGATTACCCTGATGATAACTTTTGAGTTCCAAAGCTCAGAGCAGATTAGGAAGAAATGGAAAGTTCAGTTATATTTGGAGAAGTTCAGAATCATAAGGAATCATACAGGATCCAGGTTTTGAGAGTTAGAATGAGAGGCTTTGACATCGAGGCTTTGATATCTGAGGGAAGTACCATACCTGGGTAGATTAAACAACAAAAAATTATTTTCCCACAGTTCTGGAGACTGGAAATTCACAATCAAGGTGCCAGCTGCCACAAAATCACTTTTCTGATGATGGCTCTCTCCTTGATTTTCAGATAGCCAGTTTCTTGCTATGTGCTTACATGGCTTTGCTCTGTGAACACCTAGTCATTGTGTCTCTTCTTCCTCAAAGGACACCAATCCTACTGGATTAGAGCTCAATCTTATGACTTCATTTAACTTTAACCACTTTCTTAAAGGATGTATTTCTAAATAGAATCACACTGGGGGTTAGGTCTTCAACATATGGATTTTGGGGGAACATCATTTAGTGACAGGGAGTGTCAGACCATAGGAGAGATAATCTGTCTTAAAGTGTTTGGAGCCTTGAAAGATGTAGTTATCTATCTATATATCATCTTTCTATCTATCTACCTGCCTGCCTATCTATCATCTATCTCTATTTCTAAATCAAGACATAAATAATAGGTAAAGATGTATTCATATCATTAACACAAAGCTCTATACACATTAAAGCAGAGTCAAAACACACACAGGCGACTGCAAATTTTCTCTTCTCTTCATCTTTCATAAGTTCTCATTATCAGACTTATAATGTATTAAAACACCAGTTTTGAAAATTGCTTTCCCACAATTCCAATCCATCAGTCACTCTGGAATTATGTCATGATGGAAACATAATGGTATGCCTTTTTGTTAAGAATATTTCTGTATATACTAGTATTCTTGTTCTTATATTAAAATTATATAACTGTGTTTCAAAACACTGAGAACTCACAGAATGCCAGGGAATTTATTTGAAAATGTATTTGCAGACCTCTCTGATTAAAAAACAAGGATTAATAAATTAATAAAATCTAAAGAATATTGTTTATAAAGGCAAATTGTTTATGTAAAATGCAAACATTTACCGCATAATTACAGTACATTTAAAGAAGGTGAAAATATAAAAAATAATTTTTAATAGTTATGGTAACTACAAGCAAAATCACTAGGTTCCATTTCCAATAAACCACTGGTTTGGACATTTTTCTTCAGTGTCCGTAATGATGTCATGTCTCTTCTCCCTTCGTCCTACAGAACAACCATCATTTCTCTTTTCCCTGCCTCTGACAGAACAACCTGTATAAAATCAGTTTACTGTTTGTAACATACATCTTGCACATCAAACAATATTATAACTTTTTAAAAATTTTAGAATCGACAGATAAAATTGTATTTACTATGTACAACATATTTTGAAATATACATACACATTGTGAAATTACTAAATCTAGCTAATATACACATTACCTAAGACAGTTATCATTTTTGTAGTGAGAAACTTTGTCAGGCCTCTGAGTCCAAGCCTGCACGTATGCATCCAGATGGCCTGAAGCAACTGAGGAACTGCAGGAGAGGGGAAAATAACCAATTCCTGCCTTGACTGATGACATTCTACCATTGTGATTTGTTCCTGCCCCACCCTAACTGATCAATTGACTTTGTGAAATTCCTTCTCCTGGACAATGAGTATCAGAAGCTCCCCACCGAGCACCTTGTAACCCCCGCCCCTGCCCGCCAGAGAAAAACCCCCTTTAACTGCAATTTTCCGCTACCTACCCAAATCCTATAAAACTGCCCCACCCCTATCTTCCTTTGCTAACTCCTCTTTTGGACTCAGTCCACCTGCACCCAGGCGATTAAAAAGCTTTATTGCTCACACAAAGCCTGTTTGGTGGTCTCTTCCCACGGACATGCGTGATATTTGGTGCTGAAGACCCGAGACAGGGGGCCTACTTCGGGAGACTGGTCCCCTGTCCTCACCCTCACTCCGTGAGGAGATCCACCTACTACCTTAGGTCCTCAGACCAACCAGCCCAAGGAACATCTCACCAATTTCAAATCGAGTAAGCGGTCTTCTCACTGTCTTCTCCAGCCTCTCTCGCTGCCCTTCAGTCTCCCTGTCCTTCCAATTCCAGTTCTTTTTCCTCTTTAGTAGAGACAAAAGAGACACATTTTATCCATGGATCCAAAACTCTGGCGCCGGTCACGGACTCGGGAAGACAGTCTTCCCTTGGTGTCTGATCATCGCGGGGACGCCTGCCCTGATCATTCACCCACATTCCATTGGTGTCTGATCATCACAGGGACGCCTGCCTTGGTCATTCACCCACATTCCCTTGGTGGCAAGCCAACTGCAGGGACGCCTGCTTTGGCTGCTCACCACCCCCTTCTCCGTGTCTACCTTTCTCTTTAAACTTACCTCCTTCACTATGGGCAAACTTCACCCTCCATTCCCCCTTCTTCTCCCTTAGCCTGTGTTCTCAAGAACTTAAAACCTCTTCAATTCACACCTGACCTAACACCTAAATGCCTTATTTTCTTCTGCAATAGTGCTAGGCCCCAATACAAACTCGACAATGGTTCCAAGTGGCCAGAAAACGGCACTTTTGATTTTTCCATCTTACAAGACCTGGATATTTTTTGTCAAAAATAGGCAAATGGTCTGAGGTGTCTGATGTCCCGGGCATTCTTTACTACACATTGGTCCCTCCCTAGTCTCTGCTCCCAATGCGACTCGTCCCAAATCTTTCTTGTTTCTTTCCTGTCTGAGTCCTTTGAATCCTCCTTTTCTTCAGACCCATCTGACCTCTCCCCTCCTCCCCAGGCTGCTCCTCTCCAGGCTAAGCCAGGTCCCAATTCTTCCCCAGCCTCAGCTCCCCCACCCTATAATCCTTTTATCACCTCCCCTCCTCACACCCGGTCTGGCTTACGGTTTCGTTCCGTGACTAGCCCTCCCCCACCTGCCCAACAATTTCGTCTTAAAGAGGTGGCTGGAGCTGAAGGCATAGTCAAGGTTAATGCTCCTTTTCTTTATATGACCTCTCCCAAATCAGTTAGCGTTTAGGCTCTTTTTCATCAAATATAAAAACCCAGCCCAGTTCATGGCCCATTTGGCAACAACCCTTAGACGCTTTACTGCCGTAGGGCCAGAGGGGCCAGAAGGCTGTCTTATTCTCAATATGCATTTTATTACCCAATCCGCTCCGGACATTAGAAAAAGCCCCCAAAATTAGATTCTGGCCCTCAAACCCCACAGTAGGACTTAATTAACCTCGCCTTCAAGGCGTACAATAATAGAGAAGAGGCAGCCAAGCAGCAATGTATTTCTGAGTTGCAATTACTTGCCTCCGCTGTGAGAGAAACCCCAGCCACATCTCCAGCACACAAGAACTTCAAAACGCCTAGACCGCAGCAGCCAGGATCTTGCTTCAAGTGCCAGAAATCTGGCCACTGGGCCAAGGAATGCCCGCAGCCCAGGATTCCTCCTAAGCCGTGTCCCATCTGTGTGGGACCCCACTGGAAATCAGACTGTCCAATTGGCCTGGCAGCCACTCCCAGAGCCCCTGGAACTCTGGCCCAAGGCTCTCTGACTCCTTCCCAGATCTTCCCAGCTTAGTGGCTGAAGACTGACACTGCCAATCACCTTGGAAGCCTCCTGGACCATCACAGACGCTTTGGGTAACTCGTACAGTGGAGGGTAAGTCCGTTTGCTTCTTAATCAATAGGGAGGCTACCCACTCCACATTAACTTCTTTTCGAGGGCCTGCTTCCCTTGCCTCCATAACTGTTGTAAGTATTGATGGCCAGGCTTCTAAACGGTTGGGAAAAAGCTGAGTGTTGGGAGGGAAACTGAGGCAGGGCTTGCATAATGTCCTCTGGAATGTGTCTAGACTTGCTGGCTCCTTGCTTCTAGGCTTCCTAGGCTCCTATTCCCATTATCTCAAGTAGCAGAACATGTTCCATATAAATGCTAAACCATCACAGCTGTAAATCATGTGCTTAATACAACGCATCCTTTTGACCTCCACATTCTCACCACCTGTTTCTTTGTTGGATTACCAATAAATAGCGTGGGCTCCCAGAGCTCAGGGCCTTCGCAGCCTCTGTGATGGCGATGGACCTCGGTGTCCCACCTCTCTCTCTCAAACTTTTTCTCATTCCTTTGACTCCGCCGGACTTTGTCACCCCCACGACCTGGTGTTGGGTCTGATCACCCCAACATAAACCTCTTAAAACTCCCCAACTCTGGTGCCAACTTGGACAACATTCTTTTATACACTGCTTTTTAGTTCCCCCCTGCCCAGCTCCCTTACTAGGTCGAGATATTTTACCTAAATTATCTGCTTCCCTGACTATTCCTGGGCTACAGCCACACCTCTTTGCTGCCCTTTTCTCCAGTTCAAAGCCTCCTTCGCATCCTCCCCTTGTGTCTCCCTACCTTAATCCACAAGTATGGGATACCTCTACTCCCTCCTTGGTGACCGATCATGCACCCCTTACCATCCCGTTAAAACCCAATCACCCTTACCCTGCTCAATGCCAGTATCCCATCCCACAACAGGCTTTGAGGGGACTAAAGCCTGTTATCACTTGCCTGTTATGGCATGGCCTTTTAAAGCCTACAGACTCTCCTTCCAACTCTCCTATCCTACCTGTCCTAAAACCGGACAAGTCTTACAGGCTGGTCCAGGATCTTCACCTTATCAACCAAACTGTCTTGTGTATCCACCCTGTGGTGCCAAACCTGTGTATTTTCCTATCCTCAATACCTCCCTCCACAACCCATTATTCTGTTCTGGATCTCAAAGATGCTTTCTTTACTATTCCTTTGCACCCTGCATTCCAGCCTCTCTTCGCTTTCACTTGGACTGACCCTGACACCCATCAGTCTCAGCAACTTACCTGGGCTGTACTGCCACAAGGCTTCAGGGGCAGCCCCAATTATTTCAGTCAAGTCCTTTCTCTTTCCGTCCATCTGCTTCTCACCTTATTCAATGTTTTGATGACCTTCTACTTTATAGCCCCTCCTATGAATCCTCCCAACAGGACACACTCGTGCTCCTCCAACATCTATTCTCAAAGGATATCATGTATCCCCCTCCAAAGCCCACATTTCTTATCTGTTACCTATCTCGGCATAATTCTTCATAAAAACACATGTGCTCTCTCTGCTGATCATGTCCGGCTAATCTTCCAAACCCCAACCCCTTCTACGAAGCAACGACTCCTTTTATTCTTAGGCATTGTTGGATTTCTGACTCTGGATACCAGGCTTTGCTATCCTAACCAAACCACTTTACAAGCTCATAAAGGGTAACTTAACTGATCCCATAGACCCTAAGTCTTTTCCCCATTCTTCCTTTCACTCTCTCAAAAAGGCCCTAGAGAGAGCTCCCACACTAGCACTCCCCGACTCATCCCATCCTTTTTCCTTACATGCAGCTGAAATATAAGGCTGTGGTGCTGGAGTCCCCACACAGGAGCCAGGCCCACAACTGCTGCCTTTCTATCAAAACAACTTGAACTCACAGTTCTGGGCTGGCTCTCATGTCTGCATGTGGCAGCAGCCGCCATTTTAATATTTCTAGAAGCCTTCAAAACCACAAGCTATGCTCTACTTAACCTTTACAGTTCTCACAACCTTCAAGCATTAATATCCTCCTCACACCTTTCATGTTTATTGTCTGCCCCTTGACTCCTCCAGCTCTATTCACTCTTTGTTGAAACTCCAACAGTAACTATTACCCATAGGCCTAATTTCAACCCAGCTTCTCACTTAGCACCCAAAACAAGTCCTGAACCACATGACTGTGTTTCCCCAGTACACACAGCATTTTCCCCCTTTCCTCATATTTTTATTCTTCCAATTCCAAACCCAGACCACACTTGGTTTATCGATGGCAGTTCTTCTAAACCCAATCAATTTTCACCAGCTAAAGCTGGATATGCTGTCGTGTCCCACACCTCTATTATTGAAACTGCTGCACTTCCTCCCTCCACCACTTCCTAACAAGCCGAACTGATTGCTTTAACTCAAGTGCTCTCTCTCTCTCGCTAAAGGAATGCACATTAACATTTATACTGACTCCAAATATGCTTTCCACATCCTTCATAACCATGCTGCCATCTGGGCTGAAAGAGTCTTCTTTACCACACAAGGCTCTTCCATTATCAATGCCTCCCTAATAAAGGCCCTCCTTAAGGCTGCTCTCCTGCCGGCCAAGGCTGGAGTCATTCATTATAAATGACACCAGAAACCTACTGATCTTATTGTAAAAGGAAATGCCTACCCATGAGCATGGAATGTTCTTCCATTTGTTTGTATCCTCTTTTATTTCCTTGAGCAGTGGTTTGTAGTTCTCCTTGAAGAGGTTCTTCACATCCCTTGTAAGTTGGATTCCTAGGTATTTTATTCTCTTTGGAGCAATTGTGAATGGGAGTTCACTCATGATTTGGCTCTCTGTCTGTTGTTGGTGTATAAGAATGCTTGTGATTTTTGTACATTGATTTTGTATCCTGAGACTTTGCTGAAGTTGCTTATCAGCTTAAGGAGATTTTGGGCTGAAACAATGGGGTTTTCTAGATATACAATCATGTCATCTGCAAACAGGGACAATTTGATTTCCTCTTTTCCTAACTGAATACACTTTATTTCCTTCTCCTGCCTAATTGCCCTGGCCAGAACTTCCAACACTCTGTTGAATAGGAGTGGTGAGAGAGGGCATCCCTGTCTTGTGCCAGTTTTCAAAGGGAATGCTTCCAGTTTTTGCCCATTCAGTATGATATTGGCTGTGGGTTTGTCATAGATAGCTCTTATTATTTTGAGATACGTCCCATCAATACCTAATTTATTGAGAGTTTTTAGCATGAAGGGTTGTTGAATTTTGTCAAAGGCTTTTTCTGCATCTATTGAGATAATCATGTGGTTTTTGTCTTTGGCTCTGTTTATATGCTGGATTACGTTTATTGATTTGCGTATATTGAACCAGCCTTGCATCCCAGGGATGAAGCCCACTTGATCATGGTGGATAAGGTTTTTGATGTGCTGCTGGATTTGGTTTGCCAGTATTTTATTGAGGATTTTTGCATCAATTTTCATCAAGGATATTGGTCTAAAATTCTCTTTTTTGGTTGTGTCTCTGCCCAGCTTTGGTATCAGGATGATGCTGGCCTCATAAAATGAGTTAGAGAGGATTCCCTCTTTTTCTATTGATTGGAATAATTTCAGAAGGAATGGTACCAGTTCCTCCTTGTACCTCTGGTAGAATTCGGCTGTGAATCCATCTGGTCCTGGACTCTTTTTGGTTGGTAAGCTATTGATTATTGCCACAATTTCAGATCCTGTTATTGGTCTATTCAGAGATTCAATTTCTTCCTGGTTTAGTTTTGGGAGAGTGTATGTGTCGAGGAATTTATCCATTTCTTCTAGATTTTCTAGTTTATTTGCGTAGAGGTGTTTATAGTATTCTCTGATGGTAGTTTGTATTTCTGTGGGATCGGTGGTGATATCCCCTTTATCATTTTTTATTGCGTCTATTTGATTCTTCTCTTTTTTTCTTTATTAGTCTTGCTAGAGGTCTATCAATTTTGTTGATCCTTTCAAAAAACCAACTCCTGGATTCACAATAGCAAAGACTTGGAACCAACCCAAATGTCCAGCAATGATAGACTGGATTAAGAAAATGTGGCACATATACACCATGGAATACTATGCAGCCGTAAAAAATGATGAGTTCATGTCCTTTGTAGGGACATGGATGAAATTGGAAATCATCATTCTCAGTAAACTATCGCAAGAACAAAAAACCAAACACCGCATATTCTCACTCATAGGTGGGAATTGAACAATGAGATCACATGGACACAGGAAGGGGAATATCACACTCTGGGGACTGTTCTGGGGTGTGGGGAGGGGGGAGGGATAGCATTGGGAGATATACCTAATGCTAGATGACGAGTTAGTGGGTGCAGCGCACCAGCATGGCACATGTATACATATGTAACTAACCTGCACAATGTGCACATGTACCCTAAAACTTAAAGTATAATAAAAAAAAAGAAAAAAAAAAAAAAGGAAATGCCTATGCCGACAGGACAGCAAAAGAAATAGCCAATGCCACCACACCCACTAATATTCCAGCTCCCACTCCGACGGGCCAGTATTTTTGTCTCCTCTATCACTCCCGCCTACTCTTCTGAAAACCTGCTCTACCAGTCTTTTCCAACTCAGGGCAAGTGGTTCTTTTTTTTTTTTTTTTTTTTTGAGACGGAGTCTCGCTCTGTCGCCCAGGCTGGAGTGCAGTGGCGTGATCTCAGTTCACTGTAAGCTCCGCCTCCTGGGTTCATGCCATTCTCCTGCCTCAGCCTCCCCAGCAGCTGGGACTACAGGCGCCTGCCACCATGCCCGGCTAGTTTTTTTGTATTTTTAGTAGAGACGGGGTTTCACTGTGTTAGCCAGGATGGTCTGGGTCTCCTGACCTCGTAATTTGCCCGCCTCAGCCTCCCAAAGTGCTGGGATTACAAGTGTGAGCCACCGCGCCCAGCCGGCTCAAGTGGTTCTTAAATCATGGAAAATTCATTCTTCCTGCCTCACAAGCTCAGTCCATTCTTTCTTCCCTTCGTGACCACTTCCATGTGGGATACAAGCCTTTGGCTTGCCTCCTGCAGCCCCTCATCTCCTTTCCTTTATGGAAATCCATTCTTAAGACCATAACCTCTCAATGCTCTATCTGCTATGCCACCAGGCTTTCTCAGATCTCCTCCTTTTCCTATGCATCAAGCTCATGGATTACTCCAACACAAGATTGGCAGATTGACTTTACTCAATATGCCCCGTGTCCATAAATTTAAATATCTCCTGGTTTGGATCGACACCTTCACTGGATGGGTCGAGGCCTTTCCCAGTAGCTCCAAAAAGGCAACTGCAGTCATTTCTTCCCTTCTAAAAGATGTAATTCCCCGATTTGGCCTCCCCACTTCTATTCAATCTGCAGTGGTCCAGCTTTTATTAGTTAAATCACCCAAGCCATCTCTCAGGCTCCTGGTATTCAATGGAAACTTCATACCCCTTACCGTCCTCATTCTTCAGGAAAGGTAGAACGGACTAATGGTCTTTTAAAAACACACCTCACCAAGCTCAACCTCCAACTTAAAAAGGAGGACTCTGTATATTTTAAATGAAGAGTGTTGTTTTTACCTAAATCAACCTGGCCTGGTATATAACAACATAAAAAAACTCAAGGATAGAGCCCCAAACCTCTCCAACCAAGCAGATCATTACACTGAACTCCCTTGTGCACTCTCTAATTGGATGTCCTGACTCCTCCCAATTCTTAGTCCTCTAATACCTGTTTTTCTCCTTCTCTTATTCGGACCTTGTGTCTTCCATTTAGTTTCTCAATTCATACAAAACTGCATCCAGGCCATCACCAATCATCCTATACGACAAATACTCCTTCTAACAACCCCACAATATCACCCCTTGTCCCCAATTCTTTCTTCAGTTTAATCTCTCCTACTCTAGGTTCCCATGCCGCCCCTAATCCCACTCAAAGCAGCCCTGAGAAACATCGCCCATTATCTCTCCATACCACCCCCCAAACATTTTCACTACCCCAGCACTGCACCACTATTTTGTTTTGTTTTTCTTGTTAATATAAGAAGACAGGAATGTCACGCCTCTGAGCCCAAGTCTGCACATATGCATCCAGATGTCCTGGAGCAACTGAGGAACCACAGGAGAGGTGAAAATAGCCAGTTCCTGCCTTGACGGATGACATTCCACCATTGTGGTTTGTTCCTGCCCCACCCTAACTGATCAATTGACCTTGTGAAATTCCTTCTCCTGGACAATGAGTATCAGAAGCTCCCTACCAAGCAACTTGTAACCCCTGCCCCTGCCCACAAGAGAAAAAACCCCTTTAACTGCAATTTTCCACTACCTACCCAAATCCTATAAAACTGCCCCACCCCTATCTTCCTTTGCTGACTCCTTTTTCGGACCCAGTCCACCAGCACCCAGGAGACTAAAAAGCTTTATTGCTCACACAAAGTCTATTTGGTGGTCTCTTCACACGGACGTGCTTGACAAACTTTACATCCACTCTCTTAGCATTTTTCAATAATATAATATGTTCACTATGTTCCCCATGTTGTACAATATATCTCTTGAGGGGTGGGGCTAAAATAGCCAACTAGAAGTAGCAGCTATTGGAGGCTTCCATCAAAAAGAACCAAAACACCTGTAATCCCAGCATTTTAGGAGGCCAAGTGGGGCAGATCACGAGGTCAGGAGATCGAGACCATCCTAGCTAACACGGTGAAACCCTGTCTCTACTAAAAATACAAAAAAATTAGCCTGGCGTGGTGGCGGGCGCCTGTAGTCCCAGCTACTCTGGGAGGCTGAGGCAGGAGAATGGCGTGAACCCTGGAGGCGGGGCTTGCAGTGAGCTGAGATCACGCCACTGCACTCTAGCCTGGGCGACAGAGCGAGACTCCATCTCAAAAATAAAAATTAAAAATAAAAAAAATAAAGAGAACCAAAACAGCCTGAGAATCCTGCACTGGCAACCAGAGTATCCAGGTTCTGTCTTCAGGACTGATCAGGCAGCTGGCGTGACCCACGGAGAGGAAGGAAGAGCAGTGTGTTGGGCTGGCCCACCTGAGAGCCACACGGGGCAGGGGAGTGGCCACCTCCCACCAAGGGAGGCAATGAGTGAGTGCACTACCCAGTCTGGGAAACTGCTTTTTCCATGGAATTGTGCAACCCAGGGATGGGAACATCCCACTCCTGAGCCCACACCACTGGGGCCTAGGGGCCCAACTACAGAGTCATGTAGATTCTCAACAGCCACTCACGAGTGCCTAAGCCTGGTGAGTCTAAGCTGCAGCTGCCTGCGGTCTAAGCCCTCTGAGCTCCTTGGGAAGGAGCAGGAGCCAACACTGGGACTACTAGCTGCCTAACACACTAAGCTCCCAGGGTGGGGGAAGGGCAGCAGCCATCTTTATAGCTCGGGGCTACCTTTTCCCCTGCTAGAGGCAGGGAGGCCGGATGGCTTGGCACCAAGAGGTATCCCCCACAGCCCAACACACCGCTGTGGCAGACTGCTGCCAGAGTGCCTCTTCAGGTCTGACCCTGACCCATCCCTCCTCACTGGGTGGGGCAGGAACTCTAGCAACTCCAGCCAGGGGTTCAGGGACAGAACTCTGATCTCCATAGGCCTGAGCCCTTAGGGAGAGGGGTGGCTGCAGTCTCCATGGACCAGCAGACTTAGTCTTTCCTCCTCCTAGTTCTGAGGAATCCAGGCAGCCCAGATGAGGGGGTTTCCTCCCAGTGCAGCAAACCCCCTCCACCAAGGGACAGCCAAAGTGCTTCGTTAAATGGGTCCTGCTCCCAGTGCCACTTAACTGGGTGAGACCCTCCAACAGGGGTTGTCAGACACCCTATACAGTAGCATTCCTACTGGCATTAGGTTGGTGACCCTCGAGATCAGAGATCCCAGAGAAAGGAGTAGGCACCCATCTTTGCTGTTCTCCAGCCTCTTCAAGGTGACATCTCCAGGCATGGGAGTGAACCAGATGAATAGGGCCTGAAGTGAACTCCCAGAAAACCGCAGGATCCCTACAGAAGAGGGACCTGACTATTGAAAGAAAAACAAACAAACAGAAAACAACAACAGCAGCATCAACAAAAGAAGTCCCCACACAGACCCTCTTCCAAGGGTTAGCAGCCTCAAAGACCTAAACTAGATGAACTCATGATGATGAGAAAGAATCGATGAAAAAATGCTGAAAACTCAAAAGGGCAGAGTGTCTCTTCTCCTCCTAATGATCACAATGGCTCTCCAGCAAGGGCACAGAACTGGACGGAGGTTGAGATGGATAAATTGACAGAAGCAGGCTTCAGAAAGTGAGTACTAACAATATATATCTTGAACTTATTCTTTCTATTAATATCTAACTGAAATTTTGTGTTCTTCGATCAACATATCACCAACCTCTCTCCCCAAATAATCCCATGCCCTGGTAACAACTATTCTACCATCTAATTCTTTGAGATCAACTTTTTTAGATTCAAAATATGAGTAATATCATGTGGCATTTATCTTTCAGTGCCTGGCTTATTTCACTTAACATAGTGTCCTCCAGTCTGATTCAAGTTCCTGTGAATGACAGCATCTCATTCTTTTCTATGGCTGAATAGTATTCCATCATATACATATCACATTTTCTGTGTCCATTTATCTGTTGATGGACACTGAAGTTGTTTACGTATCTTAGCTAATGTGAATAATAGCACTGCCATAAACATGGACATGGAGATATCTCTTCAACATCCTCATTTCTTTTACCTCAAATTTATACTAAGTAGCAGGATTACTGAACCATATGGTAGTGCTATTTTTATTTCTTTTTAGGAATCTTGATACTGTTTCCCATAATGCCTGTACTAATTTATATTTCCACCAACAATTTGTGAGGGTTCCATTTTTTTCCTATCCTTACCAATTCTTGTTTTTGTTTATTTGATTATAGCTATTCTGACAGGTGCAAGGTGATATCCAATTGTGGTTTTAATTTGCATTGGCTGGTTGATTAGTGATGTTAAACATTTTTTATATATCTGTCTGTCATTTGCATGTCTTCTTTTGACAAATGTCTATTCAGGTCATTTGCCCATTTTTAAGTTGGGTTATTTATTGTCTTGCTATTGTTTGTATTTTATATGTATTTTGGATATTAACTACTTATCAGATATATAGTTTTCAAGTGTATTCTTATGTAGGTTTTCTCTTCACTCTGTTGATCGTTTCCTTTGATGTGCAGAAGCTTTTTAACTTGATGCAATCCCATTTGTCTATTTTTGTTTTTGTATCCTGTGCTTTTGGAGTCATATTCAAGAAGTCATTTCCCAGACCAATGTCATAAAGCTTTTCCCCTATGTTTTCTTCTAGTAGTTTTATAGTTTTGGGTCTTATGTTTAACTTTTTAATCAATTTTGAGTTAAATTCTGCGTATGGTGTGAGGTAAGAATCCAGTTTTATTCTTCTGCATGTGGATATTCAGTTGTCTCAAGATTATCCTGTCTTCATTGTGTGCTTTGAGCATAAAGTCTAAACTCAGCAAAAACTCTGGCTGAGAAATTGAATGACATTCAGCCAGAGGATATAACAATTGTACATATATATGCACCTAACAATAGGTACCCAGATATATAAAGCAAATGTTATTAAATCTAAAGGGAGAGATAGATCCCAGTACAATGATTGGTGTCTTCAATACTCGAATCAGCACTGGACAGACTGTATAGACAGAAAATCAATAAATATTTTATTTAAACTTCAGCACATATCAAATTAACCTAACAGACATTTACAGAACATTTCATCCAACAAATGCACAATATACAGTCTTCTTTTCAGGACATGGAATATTATTTGGAATAGACCATATGTTAGGGCACAAAACAAATCATAACAAATTTTTGTAAAAATTTAAATCATATACAGTATGTTTTCTGACCGCAGTGGTATAAAACTAAAAATCAATAACAATAGAAATTTTGGAAACTGTGTAAGTACATAGAAATTAAACAAAATGTTCCCAAATGACCAATACACTCATGATGAAATTAAGTAGGAAATTTAAAATATTCTTGAAACCAAAATAAAAACAGAACATAACAAAACTTATGCAGCTAAAGCAATACTAAGTGAAGTTTATATAAAAACACACATATCAAAAAATGGAAACTTTTAAATTAAAAACCTAACAATGTACCTCATGCAACTAGAAAAGCAAGAGCAAACCAAACCCAAAATTAGTAGAAGAAAATAAATAATAAAGACCAGAGCAGAAAGAAACAGAATAGCTACAAAAAACCCCCACAAAAACAGCCAAACAAAAAATTGGTTTTTGAAAAGACAAGCAAAATCTGCAAACTATTAGCTAAACTAAGTAAGATAAAAAAAAGAGATGGCTCAGGTCAATAAAATTAGAAACAAAAAAGGAGACATTACAACTGGTACCGTAGAAAGAGAAGGGATCATTAGATGCCTTTATGAACAACTGTACATCAACAAATTGAACAAATCTAGAGTAAGCAGATGAAATCCTAGACACATACAAGCAAGATTGAACCAAGAAGAACTAACAAAAATGAATGGACCATAACCAGTGACAAGACGGAATCAATTAATAAAGAAGTCTCGTAACAAAGAAGAGCCCACAATTAGATGGCATTGCTCTGAATTCTAACAAAATTATGAAGAACTAACACCAATTATTTTAAAAGACTGCAAAATAATAAAGGGGAGGGAATTCTTTCATATTCATTTTACAAGGCCAGCAGTACTCTGGTAGTAAAACCACACAAGGACACAACAAAATAAAAAAAACTACAGGCCAGCATCCCTGAGGAACATAAACACAAAAATCTTCAACTACATATTAGCAAACTGAATCCAACAGCACATTAACAAATTACACACCACGACAAAGTGAGATTTATCCCAGGATGTAAGGATGGTTCAATATATACACAAATCAGCAAATGTGATACAACACATCAACAGAATGGAAGACAAAAACCATATTGTCGTCTTAATAGATGCAGAAAAAACACTTGATAAAATCCAACATGACTTTATGATAAAAATATTCAACAAATTAGTTATAGAAGGAATGTGCCTCAATACAATAAAAGTCATATATGAAAAACATATAGATACCATCATACTGAACAGAGAAAAGTTGAAAGCTTTTCTTCTAAGAAAAAGAAAAAAGACAAGGATGCCCACTTTCACCACTCATATTCAACATAATATTAGAAATTCTAGCCAGAGCAATTAAGAAAGAGAAAGAAATATAGGGCATCTAAACTGTAAAGGACAAAGTCAGTTTGTCACCGTTTTGCACACAACATGAACTTATGTATAAAAACTGCTAAAGGCTACCCAAAAATCTCTGTTAGAACTGATAAATAAATGTAGTAAAGTTGTGGGATACAAAATCAACATACAAAAATTAGTGGCATTTCTACACACCAGTATTGGATATCTAAAAAAGAAATCAACAAAGCAATTCCCTTTTCAGTAGCTAGGAAAAATAAAACACCTAGAAATAAATGTAATGGAGGTGAAAAATCCCTATGTTGAAAATTACAAAACACTGATGAAAAAAAGATGGAAAAGGACACACAAAAAATAAAGACATCTGATGTTCATGAATTGAAAGAATTAACATTGTTAAAATGACTATACTACCCAAAGTAATCCACAAATTCAATGCACTGTCAATCTCATTACCAATGCCATTCTTCATGGAAATAAAAAAAACCTAAAATTTCTATAAAACCACCAAACATCCCAAATAGCTAAAGCAATTCTGAGCAAAAAGAACAAAGCTCCATCATCACGGTATCCAACTTCAAAATATACAACAATGCTATAGTAACCAAAACAGCATGGCACTCACTGAAAAACAGACACCTAAACAAATGGAACAAAATTGAGAACCCAGAAATAAATCTACATGTTTACAACCAACTGATTTTTGACAAAGATGACAAAAACATACATTGGGGAAAGGATTGTGTCTTCGATAAATGGTACTGATAAAACTAGATATCCCTATGTCAAAAAGTAAAACTAAGCCTATATTTCTTATCAAATACAAAAATCAATTCAAAATATGTTGAATATTTAAATGTAATACCTGAAACTACAAACCTACTCCATGAAAACAGGTGAAATGCTTAAGGACATTGATCTGAGCAATTTTTTTTTATAAGATCTCAAAAGCACAGGCAACAAAAGCAAAAATAAACAGCATTATACCAAACTAAAAAGCTTCTGCACAGCACAGGAAAAAAAAGTTAGCAAAGTGAAGAGACACCTGCAGCATGGGAGAAAATATTTGCAATTTATTAGACACAGGATTATTATTCAGAATATATAAGGGACTCCAACAACTCAACAGCATAAATATTTTAAATTGACAATAAAAAAAGTAATTTTTAAATTGACAAACTGAATAGACATTTCTCAAAAGAGTACATGCAAATGATCAATAAGGATATAAAAATGTTTATTTTTATATGCAAATCGAAACCACAGTGAAATGTTAGAATGGCTATTATCAAAAAGATTTAAAAAATAAACACTGGCAAGGATGCAGAGCAAAATAATCCCTTATACAGTATTTGTGAGACTGCAAATTAGTACATTTATTATGGAAAACAGTATGGAGGCTCGCCATGAACTAAAAATAGGACTACTATATGATATAGCTATCTCACTAGTTGGTATATATTTAAGGGAAAGGAAATCAGTATGTTGAAGAGCTATCTGCACTCCTATGTTTATTGCAGCACTATTCACATCATCCAAGAAATGGAATCAATCTCAGAGTCCATCAACAGATAAATAGGTAAAGAAAATGTGGTATTTCATACAAGGAATGCTCTTCAGCCATAAACAAGAATAAAATTCTGTCATTCAAAGCAACATGTATGAGACTGGAGGACATTATGTTAAGTGAAATAAGACAGAAAGAGAAATACACACGTGATCATTGATATAAGTAAGCTCTTTTTCTCATAGAAGTAGGAAGAAAAATAATGGTTACTAGAGGCTAGAAAGTGTAGGGGGCAGGGAGGATAGGGAAAGGTTGATTACAAGAGACAAAAGTAGTTAGATAGGAATAAGTTTTAGTGTTTCATAGCTCTTTAGATGGACTATAGTTGACAGTGATTTATTATGTATTTTCAAACAGCTAGAAGAGAGGATTTTGAATGTTTTCAACACAAAAAGAAGATAAATGTTTTAGATGATGGATATGCTAATTATCTTGTTTTGATCATTACACATTGTATACATGTATCAAAATATCTGTGTACCATATAATTATGTATGATTATTATATGTCAATTAAAAAACAAAACAAACTGAGTGACAAAAATAAGTTATAATTTGGGCATCCTGATGATTCATAATGTGTTCATTTCTGATGGAGAACTTACAAACCACTGAAAATACTTTCATATATTCTCTGGACTTACATGCCTATGAAGACGTATCTTAAAAGCTTACAATTTAAATTGGTGATCAAGTTTTCAACTATAAAAGTAATGTCTTAAAGAGACAAGGGGTCTTACAATAAAGGAAATAGGAACAAGACAAGATATAAGAAGTTGGATTACTGGATCAGAGTAAGAAAAAGGTAGCAAGTGGAAACTAGTAAAATTCTCTGAGCTCCTGGGCCTCTAGAGTACTATTAGTATTCTAGAAGGTAGGGACTTAGTAAGACCACTGTATGGGAAAGTGAAAGGAAATATCCTAGGTATTTTTGCCTTTTTTTCTTTTATCCCTTGCTTTTTAAATTTATCATAGACCTGATTACTTGTTGGAAAGGAATGGGTTTCCACAAATTAGTTTGTAAATTTTTTCACATGATTTATATTTTCATAAAAATCCACTGAGATTTTAATAATGCAAGTCTCCGTGTTTTCAAATAAAACAATCTGCAAGTTTGATTATGATAATTTTGTTTGTTGATTTTTTTGGGTAAATCAAACAGTCTACATAACATTCAGCATTCCAATTACTCTCCTTTCACATTTTATAATCATTGCGTCTTTCAGGCACATAGCCATAGCCAGTGTCTCCTTTACTGGGGAAAGATCTCTGAATTCCCTGGAAGCTCTTCATTAGTGAAATTTTTAAAAGTACATGTTCTCATAACCGCTGCATTTTTCCTGTTGATTGGATTTCTTTTCCCCATTTGCCTCTGAAATACACTGGCATGATCTGTTGTCTCAAGGCATATGGATTATGTACATATATGGAATGAGTATTTATATATCTTATTTTCTTTTTTATAAAATGATTCAAAGAGGCCACTTGCTTTTGTTCTTACAGAAGAACTTGGCTTTGATGGCTTATTGTCAATAGGTTAGATTTTTGGGAGAAAGTTAATTAGAGGGTAAAAGCAGTGTCCTTGGTCTTTGGTAGGAAATTAATTCTTCAAATAAACTAATATATACATATATATGTATATATATTATTCTTCAAATAAACTAATATGTACATATATACATATATTAGTTTATACATATATTTGAATTTTAAATATATGTATTTGAATTCATACATATATATACACACATATGAAATAAATATATATATTTCATTCCAGAAAAATGGTGACATTTTTACTGAATCATAGTAAATCAGATAATGTAATATCTGAGTTTTGTATTTCATATTCTTCATCAAAGATAAGAAATTCTTAAGAACAGGGATAAGAGATTTAACAAAAGATGATGGAAGTGAGATACAAGATTGTTTCTCTAAAAATAACACATTATAAACTCATTAAAAATGAGAAGTTAAACTGTATAATCATAGAGGTATTGATATATTTAGTGAATATCTCTCACTTGTATGCAATGTAGCCTAGGCTATTTTTGGGGAAGATTTTTGTCCTTCCAAATACTTGTTAAAAGAGAAACATGAAAAATGATGCAGCACTAAGACATAAAGGTAACAACTTTACAAAGAAGGATGAATCATTGCACATTCAACAATGGATCTCATCAAAATTGTTCTTAGCATCACATACTTTACATTCAATGGTCAATCTATGTACAAACTAGTGACTGAGCTATGGGTTCCCCATCTCATTTATCACAGCAGAACTATATCTTTCGCATTTCAAGAAAATTACAGAAAATAAAACTGCAATAAAACCAAAAAGCTGGAAACAGAGATGACACCCATGACAACATTTAAAAAAGGATACTAAAGATGTGCAGCCATCCGCTCAACTTACAATTAATACAAGACAAGATCGATGTCTGACTTTTCCTGGTGCAATATCTGGCTGAACCTGAAAGAGGACCCAATGGGAATGCACCAAAGATAGGAACAAATGCACGTTTAAATAGGTTATATTATTTATTTTAACTGATGTACACATCAGTATATCCATAGATTTCCCAGTGGCTCAACCTGAAATTCAGTGCAAATATGTACATAAGTAACATTTGTAAATCTGAACCATTGTTAAATCTGTGCTTTTGTTCTGAGCTAATACTATGCATTTCTTTCAAGGTGCTTATTCTTGGCTATAATCACTCCTTATTTGAGATATTTCTATTATGCAGACTTGTCTTGAGTAGCTATTGGGACTAAAAACTTTAGATTACATGTTTGTGTGTGTATATGAATGGGGGAGAAAAGGGACAAATAAAAACAGGGTGAAGAAGGATGCATACCAGGATAAATTCAAATCATATAGAATGTCCTGGTAATGCCCCTGAAACTAATCTGACCTCTACTCTGCAATCCTATTGTTCAGTGGTCTTCAAAATGGGGACACATGCCCCAGGGAACATGAGAAGAAAACTTTTAAGATTTATATTTGTATTTTAGCTTGTACTTTTCCAGTTTACATTTCATACAAATGTAATACTGTAAATAGTATAATTTTAAATTTAAATTTAAAATTAATACTAATTCATATATTGATAGCACATAATCAAGTTTTTTTTTTTTTTTTTTTAGTTTGGGGATCATTGCTAGACTTTACCAACTGGCCTGTATCTGACACTGTTCATAGCAGGAAAGTTGCAGAAAGACATAGGTTTCCTTCCAAGAAAACTTTCAGAGTTAACAAGTTGTTTTAGAAGAATGCATATGGAATCAAAAATCAATGATATGCGCTTATCACTGATAAGGGCATACCAAACCTGCTTTGATTCCCTCTTGTTTATTTTTGAAGGCCTAGCTTCTAAATTTGTAGTACAGTCCTAAATTCTAACCTAAGGGATTCAAATTACATGTAACATTTTCTGTCAGAAATATTGGGATGAGTTATCAAATGATGATTATTAAAATAAAGATGAGGTTAGTGAAAACAACTTTTTGGTCTCCTTTTTCTTAGGATGTCAGCATGAAGTATTAAGAGAAAAAAAACCTGGAATGACATATCTGTTTCCTATGCATGTGAATTTGTTTTCATAAGGCATGTAACAGAAATGAACACTTTATAGCTCATTTGGAATTATATATAAAATAAAATTTATACAAAGAGAGAACAAAGCATGCTTATAAGATACACTTATGAGGCATATTAGTAAAAATTGTTAACTACAAAAAGAATGCAAACTTTCATTGGTTTTACTTTTACCTTAAACATTTAAAAGATGCTGTACATGAAAGAAGCTTACAGGAATCACTTATAGTGTAAAGAATACATAGGAAAGTTGCATTGAAATTCACAATAAAATATCAATATGTTTTTACATTCTCGCTTATTGGAAGACAAAATGTGAATGATATACTTGTACATATGCTCTGATTTGATGTCCATGTTTGTGTGTTTTAATGGCCTTTTATTAATTAGTTTGCATATTTTTGAATTTTGCTTACCACACACCACCCACTTTGAGTGATTCTCCAGGAGAGAGGGCCATGCTTTTCTAGTCTGATTCATCTGAATTACCTCTGAGATGTTCCTCTGCCACCTTCACAACCATTCATCAGCTTTGGCTTAAAATACTGGCTACAGTGAGCCATTTTTACTGATGGGCACACATTTTAGTGGGAAGAGGTCGAGAACTCCTGTGGAGCCAGCATGGCCAATTTTTATTTCAGTACATTTATTTCTATCAAACTTGGATAAGACGCTACCTCTTAACATGTCTTTAGGCAGAATTTCAAGTAAAAATCTGCTCTCCTCTCAATTTTTGGTAGGATTCACACAAATATTTCCCTTTTTTAACTAAGTCAGTAATTGGCCCTACCCCCGCTCTTTGATTATCCTCTTTTATCAGTCAGGGTTCAATCAGAATACAGAAACCACACAATCCATTTGAACAGGGATCATTTAATATAAATAACTATTAACTATAATGGCAAATTGTCTTTGAAGAAGAGAAGAAAACTCAGAAGACTACCCTGGGGAGAGTACCCAAGGAAAAGTCAACTTGGAAGGATGACCCTTCCCAAACCTGGGATTTAGGCCTTGTTGGAGAAAGTATGGTTGCAGCCCACTGCACAACAGAGAAGTTTTCTATGTTGCCTGGATCCGAGCTGGTCCAAAATCACCAGGAAAGGTGGAAACACTTCTCTGGGGTGGAGGTAAGCCAAAGGCTGTCAGTCAGAGAAGTCAGCCAAGACAGGAAACACTTCTCCAGCGTGCAGGTGGACACAAAATTACAGTTGAAATTAGCAAGTAGGAAACACCCCTGCTGGTTGGTTTAGGCTACAACGCCAACAACTAGGGTGCCTGCAAGCCTCCCTGAGAATTTGCTTGCAGTGTTCTGTGGAAACTTGATGGGAAGGCATCCACGAGTCTGATCTCCACTGGATATATCTCATATGCATTGCTGACAGCTACACAGCAGGAGCAAGTACAAGCAAACCAAAGCATACCAGAATCAGAAGAGAAAACTGTTCTTGGTGTTTCTCTATACTCTACTAACAAAAGAAAACACAGTTTCAGCAACGAAGGAGAAATATTTAAAAGGTGCAGCTCGATTTTTGCAAAAACAGTGAATGAAGAGAGGATTTGAACCTGAGAGGCAATAAATTGACAACTTGCACATTTCTTTTAGTTTGGTTCATTACTATCAGTGTCTCCCTCCCTTCTTCTACTACCCACAATCTACGGTGAAGATTATCTTCCCCTCCCTCACCTACAGCAACTAGCACATTTTTTTTCTATAAAGTGAGATATTATTTGTTATTAAAATAAGATTCCATACTCAACATAGCACTATTAGTGTAAAGGCTAAAAGTATGGAGTCTGGAGACCAACTATGAACATGCAAATCTTATCCCTGCCTCATTCTACTTATAGGACTGTGGGATAGTAATCTAAACTATCATTGTCTCGGTTTCCTCATTTGCATTTTGAAAACAATAATTCTACCCTTATTGTTTTGTGGTTTATATAAATGGAAAACATTAGACTAGTGCCTACAGCATAATATGTACAATAATTACCATCAGTTCATATTATTCTTCTTTCTCTTCTTCTATGATTCTCCCCCAACATCCAATAGTAAATACTGTTGAATAAATGAATAAAGATCTATAGATGCTCATACTTTTTTTTGAATCATACATTTAAGGAATGAATGAGAGGAATGAAGGAATTATTCTGGCTTTAGAAAATCCAGTTCATTCTACTGTAGCTACTTCATACTTTGTCTTCATTCTTCAGTACATTAACCCCTAAATAGTTGTGTGAACAACCCAATAGTCCCAACCATTTTATTTGGATTGGAAGACATTGTTTAGTCTGAGATCACACATACCAACGACAACTAAACACAAGTTGGTTGTTCTTACCTTGATTCTATGATAGTGGTGATGAAGCAGGGGGTGGGGTAGGTATGAAGAAGATAAATAATTTGCAATATATCTTAGACTTCATAGTTTGAATTAGATTGCCTGTAGTTCAAAATAAGTACAAAATATTCTTTCTTATATGAGGAGTCACTTCCTAGCTGATTCTCCTTATTTCTAATTTCTCACTTCTGTAGCTCCCCTTATAGGCAGCCACTTTCATTTGGTGCATTCACTTTTAATTATAAATCACGATTCAGGTGGAAATATTTCCTCCTTACTTTTGTTCAGGAATATAATATTTTTTTTAAAAAAGGATATAAATAAAAGCAATCAGATTAATCATTTTTAAGCATTCTTTCCATTATGGCACAACCATATTTAGAGACATATAGGAATATCTTAGTCCCCATTTTACCTTTTATCTTGTATTCATTAATAAATCTTCACTGCCCTGGTATTTTTACATATGTTCCTTCCTTTTTATGTTACCCTCATCTATACTAGACTACTACACTGTTCTTTATAAAACGTTTCCATATGTAATGGGTTGAATAGTGATTTTAAAAAGTGGTTAAAATAGTGGTTAAAAAAAGTTCTAACTGCAGAGCTTTTTAATGGAACGTTCTTTGGAAAAAGGATCTTCACAGGTGTAATTAGTGATCTTGAGATGCGATCATTTAGGGTGGGACCAAAATTCAATGACAGATGTCCTCAAAGTGAAAAAGCAGAGTGAGTATTGGAGAGAGAGAGACAGAGGGAAAGACAATGAGAAGACAGAGGCAAAGTTTCAAATTATATGTCTATAGCCAAGACATATAATTGCCTGCACCCACCAGAAGCTAGGAGAAGGGTGTGAACAGATTTCATTCATAGTCTCCAGAATGAACTGCCAACACCTTGATTTTGGAATTTTGGCTTTTAGAACTGGGATGGAATAAATTTGTTTTCCTAAGACACCAAATTTGCATATTTTGTTACAGCAGCCCAGGGAATTTAACACCTCATTCTTCAAGAATAATTTTATATTTGTAAAAAGTAATAGCATAGAATCTGGAGCTGTACTGCTTGGATTCCATTTCTAACTTCACCGCTTCCTAGATGTTTGGCTTTTTTGTACCTCAGTTTCACAGTCTGTAAAATGAGGTCTACAAGTATTAGCTACACATTAGACTATTGGGAAAATCAAATAAGTTACTATTTATAGTTGGCATATAATAAAACTATGCTTTATTTAATAAATAAATAAATAAATGGATAGCCATAAAGTTGGGCTAAACTACCTAGTCCTTAGTGGCCTCCTTGTGAATTTCTAATACCTTCTCTATCTCTTACTTACTTTACTTTTGAGTAAAGTTTAACATTAACATATAAAAGTGTTCAATTTATAAATGTCCAGCTAGATTAATTTTCACATCGGACACACAACTATGTATCCATGTAACCAGTTACTTGCTATTCACTACTCACTGAAAGAAACCAATCTTCTGACTTGTAGTACTGTAGATTAATTTTCCTATTTTCAAACCTAACATGAATAGAATCTCACAGTATGCTGGGTTTTTTTTGTCTTGCTTCTTTTGTTTAACATCATGTTTGTGAGTTTCATTCATGTTGCTCATTCTCACTGAAGTACATGATATATCACAGTTATTTAAATATATTAAAATGTTTTGGGGCGGGACGCTTGATTTTTTTTTCCAATTTTGGCTATTACTAATGCTACTGTCATAGGTATTTGTTTTCATGCACTTGGGTGAGCAAATTTAATCAGTTTTGCTAGGCATACACTTAGAACTTCAATGTCACAAAATGTGGCCTATTTAGCTTTAATAAGTAATATACTTTGTCAAAGTAGTTGCAGAAATTTGTACTTCGCCGGTAATTTATGAAGCTTGCAATTGTTCTACATGTTCTCCAACACTTGCATTGCATCTACTTCTCATTTTATCATCTACCTTTCATTCCAATGCATGTTGAATTTATATTTTAATTTGCATTTCCCTAATGAATAACGAAGAGGTCCATATCTTCCTTGTTGACTTACATGTTGATCTTTTGACTACTTTTCTAATGAGTTATGCTGTTTTTATGCTATTGCTTCGTTAGCATTGTTTATATATTCTGTATATTTTTGAGACATGAACATTGCAATATCATCTCAGATCGCTTTGCCTTTTCACTCATTTAATTGTGGCTTTCTGTAAACAAATGTTTCTAATTTTAATGTAGTCCAATTTCTCATTTTTTCCCTTTGGAATAAACACTCTGTGCATTGCTAAGAAATTTTACCTGTGCAAAGATATTAAAGGTTTTCCTTTTGTGCTTTACTCCAGAAAACTTAATGTTTTATAATTCACATTTGACTGTAACATTTATCTGCAGTACTTTTTGTACATGATTTGAGGCAAGAGTCGAGTCTCATTTCTTATGAATAGACATGCAGCAAATATTTGAAAGATTATTCTTTTAAATCTGTAATTCAGTGTCAATTTAGAAAACCTCAAAACATCTTGTTTCTACAAATAGATGGTAAGCTTGAGAAGAGAATGGAAATGTTTTATTACTTTCTACTGAGTATATTATTAACACTTAATGATTGATGATTGAAACTGATCAGAGAAGGGTGATTTAGTACACACTGTTTATTACATTAGTATCCGTTTTTTTTTTTTTTTTCTATTTTTGACACAGGGTGTCACTCTGTTGCCCAGGCTGGAGTACAGTGGCATATTCACAGCTCACTGAAGCCTCGACCTCCTAGGCTCAAGGGTCCTCCTATGTCAGCCTCTCAAGTAGCTGGGACTACAGATATGCACCACCATGCCTGTCTAATTTTTAATTTTTTGTGGAGATATAGTCTCACTATGTTGCCCAGGCTGATCTTGAACTCCTGGACTCTAGCAAGCCTTCTGCCTCGGCAGCCTAACGTGCTAGGATTACAGGCGCGAGCCACCATGGCTGGCTGTTATCTTTTTAATTGAATATTCTGCTTGGAATAAACAAACATTTCTCTAATCTGGAAACACATTTTCTTATTCCACTTGGTTAAGTTGATACTTAGAACAACTCATATAATCCTATAACTAAAAAAATGTTCTTTAACTGAATTTATTATTACTTTTATTCTTTGTTGCTGGCTATCTATTAAATTAGTCAAGCATTGATAATACTTGTATACAGAGCCTAGTATATACTAGGTACTTAAGAAAATCTTTTTAATGCATAAATAGAGGCAAACATACTGTTTTCTAGATGCTGCGCTCATAAAAAAGAAAGATAATGTGCCAAAAATCAAAACATAAGATGAGAGAAATATCTCTTAATACTCTAAGATATGTGCTAACTTATTTTATATCAACTTTGTATGTTTGTGCATATTCAAGTATGTATGTCTTCTATATATCTACTATGCAGTCCCTACATACATATTGATTGATAGGGGTGACTTAACACAAAAGTTAGCATCTCTGCAGCTTGGGGATATATTTTCACCTGTCTATGTAGTGCAATAAAAATGTCATTTATTGGCTGGGCGCAATGGCTCATGCCTGTAATCCCAGTACTTTGGGAGGCCAAGGCGGCTGGATCACTTGAGGTTAGGAGTTCAAGACCAGACTGGCCTACATGGCGAAACCCCGCCTCTACTAAAAATACAAAAATTAACCGGGCGTGGTGGCGTGTGCCTGTAATCCCAGCTACTCGGGAGGCTGAGGCAGAAGACGCGCTTGAATCTGGGAGGTGGGGGTTGCAGTGAGCTGAGATCAGGCCACTGCACTCCAGCCTGGACAACAGAGCGAGATTCTGTATCATAATAAGTACATACATACATACATACATAAATTTTTAAAATGTCATTTATCCCGAAAGACAATCCTATAACAAGAGTGGACAACTTTAAATACTACTAAATAGCCTCCCTCTGAGATGGCTTCTACTTGTAAACTGTCACCATGATAAATTCTGAGGACATTCCTGACATACAGTGAAGTTGTTTACCAAAATTTGAGGTGGTACTTTAAAAACACATTACTGAAAAATTTGGTAACATATAATCTAGCAGAAATCATTCATTTCTTCACTCATTCATTCATTCATTCATTCCAGCACAGGGTTAGAAACTGAGGGTACACAATGATAAATGGCTCTGACGTGTTTCCTGCTCTCATATATCACTCTCGCACGGAAAGGAAACTCATTTTGGTTTCTAAGTGACAAGGGAGAGGTAGGCTAATTCTAAGGTCAGGGATGGTAGAGGAATACATATTTAGTTGAAGTTTACACCTTCAGGATGAAGATCCTTCCTCTCTCTCTCAAACATAATTTCTTTCCTTTAGTTCAAGTTGAGCCGACACTTACCTGTGGTGAATGCATACAAATACTAATAAAGTACAACTAGAGGTCTTTTTATTCAGCTTGTTGAATATGCATTGCCAAAACCCAAGTACCATATAGAGTAAAATATAATATCTTTGATATATAGCCCTTCATACTCAAGGTATCCCAAAGCACTTTACAGAGCAATGACTTAGATAATGTAGTGCAGTGATTGTGTTGGCAAACTTTACTGTCATTACTAACTCAGCAATAGATCACACTTTAGCCTTGAACATTATAACCTGTTTGAGTGAGAGAAGCAAGTTAGCAAAAATTTTAAGCATTATATCCTGATAGATTTTTAAGCTGACTTCCTATATCGTGATTTTTTAAGTCTGATGCTGTACTTAACAACTATTGCTTTTGTCAAAATTGTATCTATAAGATGATCCAGGTATTAGTGAAACCATTTCATTAGATTATCTAAAAAAGGGAAAATATTATGATCTAACTGAAATTTAGAATGCAATTTAAGTTTTATAGGTTTAAATCCATTTTTGGAATAAAATTTTCCTGTGTTTCACAGATAAAGTGAAGGAAGTTTGTACATTTTTGGTTTCTGTTGGGGATATCAAGTGCTGAAAAGTATATGCTTATTATAATATTTTATTTTATTAATATCTGTTACACACAGTTCTAGAAATGTATTTTACTTTCAATTTTCATAATAGCCCTGTAAGGTAGATATTATTACCTTCATCATACAGGTGAAGAAACTGGTGCAGAGAGATTAGGGATCTCACTCAAGGTCACACTATTAATAAGCATAAAAGTAGGTTTTAAACCCTGCTCTGTCTTGCACCAAAAAGGAGCAAAAAAAGTATAAACCTTCCTCTCCATCAAGCCTTCTATGAAGTGTAAAGACAAGGAATGTGTTGATTATGTTTCTCTTAAAATTGGAATTTGAAAGTAGTTTGACAGTAATGCAAATATGTCTAAGTTAAGATTATACCTCAGATATAAAACATAAAACTCTAAAGAAGACCTTGTTGCAGTAAAAAAATTTACTTTTACAAATAAAACTATTTTAAAGCTTCAAAAATAATTTCAGCTACCTCCAATGTCCAGAAGCAGTCTCTACCTACTTACCCTAAAGGCAGACTTCTTTAACTGGATGTTAATCAATGGGAGGCTAGAGGCAATGGCTAAGTGTTGTCTTGTCATTGTTATCTGACTTTATGTAGTATTTGGTCATGAAAATAAGATTATAAACTTAAATATTATTCATTGCCTATTACATATAAGATTCTAAGCCATGGACTGTGGAATTACAAATGTGAACTAAATAGAGATACTGCACTCAAGAAGCTCACATTCTAGCCTATTTGTACATACATTTCAAAATGTTGGAATTAATCAATAAGAAGAAAGAACAAAGGAAAAAGTACTGAGACTGCAAACAATGAAAGACTTCCCGGAGTGAAATCAGGGAAGACTAATAATTAGAAGGTATATTAGCTGAACGAGTGTCCGAGTACAATGTGCACTCAGAGCAAGCATTATGCCATCTTTTCTCTCAAAAATTTTCATTCTTCCTCTGTTTCATATATTAACTAAGAACATCATCATGTATTTGGATCCTTATGCAACAAATCTACACTTCACTTCTGACTTATCTTTTTCATCATATAGTCCATCCAAAATAGAATTCTGTCAATTCTAGCTGCTGAATGTATATATTTTCCCACCTGCTGTACCCTAATTTCACCATTGCTATTATAGTTCAGAATTTGTTTATCTCTCACTTAGATTGATTCAAGAGACTATCCATGTATTAACTTGCCACATGTTCTTGTTGTTATTTTTATTTGTTTATTTGAGACAGAGCCTCACTCTGTGTCCCAGACTGGAGTGCAATGAAAGAATCAAAGCTCACTGCAACCTTGAACTCCTGGGCTCAAGTGATTCTCCCATCTTAGCCTTCTGAGTACCTAAGACTACAGGCATGCACCGCCATGCCAGACTAATTTTTTTTTTTAACTTTTTGTAGAGAGAGGGTCTCTATCTGTTGTCCAGGCTGGTCTTGAATTTCTGGCCTCAAGTGATCATCCCACCTGGACCTCCAAAAGTGCTGGGATTACAGGCATGAGGCACCACACCCAGCTGAACTTGTTACATTTTAATCTTCTCTTTACACGCTAGCCAAAATTATCTTTCATAATGTAAATGTCAGTATGTCTTTCCCATGCTTAAATTATCATGTTAGTCCTCCGCTTAAAGTTTGAATTTCTTATTTATTTTATTGGATCTTTATAGCAACTGCTTAGCTCTCTAGCATCATTTCACCACTTCCCATCTTACCTGGTAAGCTCCATTTATCTGAGTACTTGAAATTTTTAGAACACAGTCAGCTTCCTAGTACCAAGACTCCTACAACATGCTATTCTCATTTTTAAAATGCTCCCACGACACATATTTCTGTTTCAGATTTCAGGTGAGCTTTTGCTCCACTTAGCTCTCACATTTAGTAAGTTTTATAGGAAATCACACATAGCTTTATGTACTTTTGCTGTCTTCTTTATGTACCTTGGCTGTCTCCTACAATGGTATTTTCATACTCTGTAACCAGTCTCTGTAAACCTCAATAGACTAAGCATCACAAGAGCAGTACCTAGAATACAGTGGCTGCAAATACCTATGAGTGGGAAGAATTAACAACAAACGTATTAATTTTTCCATCTCTGCTCAATATTTTTATTTGTTTAAGTAGTTAAAACTCAGCTACATAAAGAATAATTTTCAATATCACTTACCAACCTTTTATAATGAATTGAAGAGAAGAGATTTTGTTATTTTTCACTCAATGTCCAACTTCCCTAGATCATAAGCTCACTTGCATAGTGTTGCAGACAGAACAAGGGCCTCACAAAGATGCCCATGTCCTCATCCCTAGGATCTGTGAATATTTACCTTCCATGGAAAAAGGGACTTTACAGATGTGATTAACTGAGGGGTCTTGAGATGAATGATTATCCTGGGTTATCTAGTGGCCCAATGTAATCACCCAGATTCTTATAAGTGGGAGGCAACAAAGTCAAAAAGCAGTTGTAGAACATGTGATGATGAAAGCAAGAAATTGACATGATGCATGAAACAAACCATGAGCCAAGGAATGCATACTACCTCCAGAAGCTGAAAACAGGCAAGAAAGCAGATTCTCCCTTAAGAACCTCAGAAGAAGCCATCACTGCCATCTCCTTAATTTTAGTCCTGCGAGACTGATTTCAAACTTGTGAACTCCAGTACTTTATGGAAATAAATGTGTGTCATTTCAAGCTACTAAATTTGTTGTGGTAATTTCTAGAAGCCATAGAAAACTAATACACGTACTGGCTGTCAGTTAGTAAGAAATAAATAATATTTATTGTATGAATAAAGCAAAATCCTAAAGGCATACCTGAAAAACAGAGAAATGGCAAAGTCAGTGTAAAGAGTCCATGGCCACAGATTATTTATCCACTGTTTTGGGAATGATGATTAGAAATAATTTTAGGAAAAATTGCAGATGTAAACAGAAGTACCTGATGAGTTGAAAAGTGTAGAATAGAAGCTGTGTTTCTCGCAGTTTAGTATGGACCAGAAACAGCTGGTGGGCTGAGCCCCACACCCACATTTTGGATGCAGGAGATCTGTGATGGAGCCTAAAAGTGCATTTCCGCCAACTTCCAAAGGCAGCTACTGCTGTTGATCTGTGCTGATGGTCCACGCATTGAGTCATTTGGATCAATAAATATCCTGTACTTTTGATTATCCTTGTTTTCCTCATCAAATAATTTTAATAGCCTGTCTTTTTCATGTTTTCAAACATCTCTTATATGGCTTTTACGTCCTACTCATTTTCCAAGTCTTTCAAAATATTTTCATTTTCGTATAAATTAGTTTTATTTCATATTATATGTGAAATTTTTATTGACTTTTTAAATTGAAAAATTATTCAAAATTGCATTACATTTTTAAAAAGATCTGCAAGTCTTCAGTCTGACTTCATAAGTATAGATGAATGGAGACATTTGGAGGGATGATGGGCAAACTAACTTTAAAATAAAATAATGAGGAATGATAAATGTCAGGCATAAAAATATATGCTCTATGACTCTATATTACATTTAAAAAGCAGAAACACATAATTTTTTTAAAATAGAAGCTCAGAATAATGGTTTTCTTTGGGGTTCTGGAAGGGGACAGATACTATATGGCAAGGAGGCCAGTTGTGGGGCTGTCATGTTCTGTCGACTGATTTATTTGCATGTGTATTCAACAAGCTATACACTTAAGACTTGTGCAGTTATCGGCATGTATTTTATAACTTAATTTTTAAAAAGACTTTAAAAAGTTTAAAGAACTGTTTCACATGTGTTGGCTGAAGGGTGTTTTGCTTATGATTGGATCTTTTTGTGTATATTTCCTTGAAACAATTTCTCTATTGGCAAAGTGATTTGAAATAGATACTCTGACAGAACCATATCCTGAGATTTTTTTTTTGGAAACAAGTAGTTTTTAAAAAGTGAAAATGTCTATTGCCTTTGGACATGTTCAACAATAAATTTCTGTTGAGTGTTTAACATTTTCATATACATGAATCTTAAAAATCCATCACATATATGTACCTGAGAAGATAATTTATTTGAGCCCCTTTATGTTAAGGAATTAAATAACTCTGTTAATACATGCAATATAAGACAGAACAGTAAGTAAAAAAAAAATTAAAGTTTCTGTTAATTAAACAATATTTTACCGTTTTATGAATAGAAAAATCATTGTGTTTATATTATTTTTTATTTCATTTCTTTGCTTTTCTTGCCTATAATCCATTCCAGAAGCATTGTTTTATAGTTAGCTGAATTATAAAGAGGTGAAGTAATTGGTTATTCAGTCAGTAATTCTACTGGATTAAAAACAGGACAGGTTGGTAATGATCCAGCCAAAGTGAATAAAAAGAGAACAGGTAAGCACATATGGTACAACATCTGCTTTCAAACTTAGAAAATATCTTCTCTAATCCCCAAAGCTTTCTTGGCTTTTCTTCTTAATTCTCTTTCTTTGCAGAAAGCACTGTGAAAACACATCCTGACTATTTTTTACATTTATTATAATTTTTCCAAATATTAAATCACTACAATTTCCATTTCACAGTTTCTGATCCTATCACAAAAGCTTCTGAATACCGAAGCAAATAGATTTAGAATAGTTAAACATAATACTGAATCTGAATCTCAAAGAGAATCTTTCTCTTCTTTAAGTGGATTCAGTCTGTTTCATTCTTTATCTTTTGTGATAGAAAGTATTTTTTATTTTTTGAAAGCCTGTCAACACATTGTAGGAATGTTATGCAAACAAGTGTATTATATATTTACTTGTATTATTCCTCATCTTCACTGAAGATAGCTGAATGCAGCCAGACGTCATTTTGAACACAGTAGTGCTTTGAAAATACAGTTGTCCCTTGGTCTCTATAGGGGGTTGAGTCTAGGACCCTCGTGGATATCAAAATTTATGGAGGCGCAATTCCTTTATATAAAATGGTGTAGTATTTGCAGATAACCTACTCATATTCTCTTTTATGCTTTAAATCATCTCTAGATTATTTATAATTATTAACACAATGTAAATGGTATGTAAATAGTTGTTATAGTGTACTGGTTTTTAGAATTTGTATTATTTTTTGTTATCGTATTGGTATTTTTAATTGTTTTTTTCCAGATATTTTCAACCCATGGTTCATTGAATCCAGGATATAGAACATGTACACTGTAATTGTTCCTTTCCTTGCCACAGTGATTTTAAATTGCTATGCTCTTAAAAGGCTAAATAAGACAGGTTAGTTCTAAACTGCTTCGTTTGATTCCTGATATTCAAAGTTTCTGATAATTCAAAAATTCAACCTGATTTATAAAGTCTTTTTTTCTGTTGACTAAATAAATAAAACAGATCCTACTTAGAAGGAATATTTCTGTTGCACAAATATTTACTCTGTAATTATTTAAAACTTAACTATCAGTAATACTTATTCGTATAGTACACTAGCATCAACAGATGATTTTTTCACAATAATTTCAATACATTTCTGCTTAGTTATTCTACCTCTTATTGAGCACCTACCTTAACGGGAGTTTTCCTTGTCCATTTCATTGATCCTCACAACAATCCTATAAGGCCCCATTCTCACTGCCCAGACTAGAAACCAAGGCTTAGAGCTAGTAAAATGGTGAGTCTGATGTCACAAAGCTGCCAAAGGTGGAAGCTGGCTCTTCTTTTCTATTTTAGTTTCATCCCATAACCTATGTACATCACAGCTTATGTTAACATATTTGCTTCATAATATTTATTAATTTTAATGTCTTTTCTCTCATTTGAATTAAATAAGGGCTAATATAAAATTTCTAAATTTTATATGGAGTGAAGCATATTGCATTTATATTTAGAATGAATGTACAAACCATTCCCCCAGCAACAGCACTGGGCAAATATTGCCTATCAGAAAACTCAGAAAAACGTCATGTATGCCACTTAAGGAATTCTTTCGGGAGATTTAAAATGTTATGGTGGGTTTTCCTTATTTCTAATGATTAAGATGTATTTGTAAGATGCACTAATTATTTTCAGTCCTCAGTTTACTATTAGAAAATCATCTCTTTAGTATTCTAAATGCAGATGGTGTTTGGAAAATAGTCATTTACAATTTCCTGTCTCTCTAAAACAAAACAGATATGATGTTTTAGTTTGCTTCAGTGCTGTTCTTAAGTGTTTCCATAGTTGTGCCTTCTTGTATATTATGGCCTTACACAAGACAGTAAATTTATAAAAATGCATTTCTGATATCTATCTTTATGTTGAATTGACTTTTAAACGTCTGAATAATTTTTTTTCTACTATCAGCCATTTCTTGCTGCATAATAGTTTTTATACTATAAAGGTATAACAACCAGCTTCCCTGTACTTGTACTTTCAACTGGTGCATTATGACCATAGGTTACACTCAACAAATGACCTTAGAATTATTTAATGGTTACTCATGTTATTATTAATAAAAAACATTGTATAATGTCAGCATCTGTTTCAATAGTATCCTTGGATTATGTAATCTGACCTATTGTCTTTAGACACAGATCCTCACTGAAAGTGTAGGCACCAAGCTTTGGAATAACAGGGAAAGGAAGAGACTATTCAGAGAGAAATACAATGTAAGAGAATTTGGTATTATAGCACCAGGTGATATAGTGCTATTGTACTGTATTCCATACTCACAAAAAAATCAATGACTCCTCAAGTGCATTTATGAAAGAGAAAACAGGATGAAAAAGAGAAAGGAAAGGGATGGAAATAATCAGCTCTATTCTCCTTCTGGCAGGCAGGAGTCCAACTAAGCAGGTTTCTTAGGGAGAGAGAATATCATTTTCCTCCCTGACCAGGACTAAAACAGCTACATGCTAGAAATCTATGGCTTTCTTAGGAACTGTCACTTTTGTGGAAGGAAAGATTTAGAGGTCGTATCCAACAGTCAGGAATGCTATATAAGCACCATTTTTATATAGCAGTAGCTCCATAGGATTCCCTTTCTGCATGGCCACAAGCTTGGCCCATGATTGCTGCACATTTATGGTAAAAATGATTCAGCAGCGTGGAGGGGAGGGGTGGCATCTCTCTTTTCGCCTAAAGTAACTCTTCGTTTTCTTTAACATTTTTTCTTGATTTACCTTAAAACAAAAAACACCTTCCCCATTGGGAACAGAATTGATAAGTAATCCATATATAATATATCCAATAAATATTTTTCAACCACAGTGACAGACACACACACACACACACACACACACACATTTTATGCTGATTTCATTTGAGTTAGGAATAAAATCCACTATAGAAAGTTAAAATATCTGCCTGTCTAAAGATGTAGTCCAGAAGCTGCATTTTTAATTGGATTCAGAAATTACATTACTTGAGCACACAGTAGGGCCCAACGTACACAAACTAGTTTATTTCATTTTTTCTAATGATGCTTCTAATGAAAATAATCAATCTAACTATCAAATATGAAGCTATGTCTCTAAATCTCTAAATTTTATAAAAGCTTATAATTTGATTTTTACTTGACAATGCATTTTATTAATTATTTAAATATGAATTTATTACTGGCATAAATATACCTGATTGACAATTAAGTATGCCTTTCTTTGTGCAATAGAGTAATGCATTCCTATCCTATGTTTCAGACACTTAGGATCTTTAAATTTGCAAATAACATTAGTCTACTTCTATTGCTAGATGATGAAGGTGGGTAGTGATGGGTTAATTATCAGTGTCTAGCTTTAAAGTTCTGATTAGTACAGAAGTTCTTTTCTTTTACTTATCTGTTTATTCACTATTAAGTTTTAAGCTTGGCATGCTCTAAGATTAGAAGCACTTTTTTTTTCTGCATTGTTGGTAGCTACTCATGAAAGTCCTCAGAACCATTTAATAGGTCGCAAGCTGATGTGTATAATTGATAGTGGACAGTAAAGCTTTTTGTATTCAGCCTGAGATTAAGAGGTTTAAGTGTAAGATAGTTTACATTACCACTGATTCCTTATCTTTACAATGAAGATCAAAAGTGAAAAAGTATAACTAGAATAGAAAAACAAACCATTTTTTAATCTACGTTAACAATTTATGTTAGTTAATCACTAAATCTCACACTCAGACTGCTAAAACTCTTTTTCTGTCTTGCTTTATTTTCTTCTTTTCCTTCAGGTGCACTCTACTGAATGTACTCAGATAGTTCCTTTCTTCCTGCCACTTAGTAGCATCTAACAGAGTTGTCTCAGGACTTGGAGTCTCTTACTATGTAAATATCCTAGCCACTGATCACCCTTTCACTATTTAGATATTTATATGTAAGGCCTCTTGAGTTCCTATGCATATTACTATTCTTATGGAGGGATGACTGACCTTCTAATTAGTAGGGCTCCTTCCTTATGAATGGCTTTTGCTGCTAGCAGAGAGAATGACACCCCTAATAAGTCTATTCCAGACACTTAATGCTTCATAATTACACTGTAATTAAAATTGCTTGATCTAAGAAAAAACAATGGATTTAGTTTAAAACTAATAATAAAAGTGTGAAAACTTTGGTTTCTAAATTTTACAGTCACTTTCTTTTTGTTATAAAATGAAACTTAAAAGAAAAAGCTTTGTAGAAAGAATGATTTGATAGCACTTTTTTTTCATTTTTTAAGAGCAACCAATTTCATGCATCTTAAAAATATATGCATTTTTTCTGGTATGAAATATAAGAGAAAAAGTGAAAAAGAAAACTTATGGTAATAATATTTATTGATAAAAGCCATGCTCACCATTTTTTCTAGCATATATATAATTAATATAGGCTAGTAAATATAATAGAAGTTACTTGTTCCAAATTTGTAGCATCATTATACATTAATGTTTCACGTGTTTTTGCAATGTTATCCACTACTGGGAACACAGGCAGTTTATCACTCCTTTGTGTTCATATATAATCATGTCTGGATAATAAGTTAAGTTTTTATTTTAAATTTCCTTTCCCTATTTTGATCTGAATAATTATGATGTGAAGAGAGAAATCTATTTTTAAGAAAACATATCAATATTATGTATTTATTGTTTTTCATTTATTTTCATATGGCCTGGCAAGGGCTTTTCTTAGAACAGAAGAAGACGGCTAATACCAGCGTGAAAGTACAATGATAGTGTGCCTCGTGAAAATTTTAAAAATTCAATGTAATAGATATACATTTATTATTTTTAATAGAGCTGTTTTTTTTTTCTATTTCCTTTCTTTCCAATAAATGAAACTTTTACAGTCCATTGGTGGGACAGAGTCGAAACTGGATCTTTGAAGACCTCTATTGTCACCTCTATCATTATTCCTGCTCCAATGACAATGGAGAGCATACTGTCAAAGTCCTCCAGGTAATACCCTTATTACATGTGTCATTAGAGGATGTTTGCCATATCTGCTTTAACACCACAGACATTTTAAGTAGGTTATTCCATCACTTTGCCATTTTGATTATGACAACAAAATGACACCATATTGAAATGGATTTTGGAAAGAAAGGCTAACTGTCCAAAGAGGTCCATGCTCACTCTAATTAAAATTGGCTTAGGTGGCACAACCTTCATAATTCAGAGTATGACTATGAAGGATATGTATGTTGAAAACCTTCTTTGCTCATTAGTGCTATTTCTGTCAGACACCACTACCTGCTCTTTTCTTAATGAATGCTAAGCCATCTCTTTAGACGATTGTGCTGCTTCTCTGAGCTTAAGGAACTGTCTTATTTCCTCCCAAGTTTGTCAGGAGTAAAATCGGGGAGTCACCTCTTTGACATTTCCCAACCTCTGTACTTATTTATCTCTTTGAGACCTTGCGCTCTAGAGATATCACTGTCTTAATTAAGAAGAAGGATGTGACGATGGTAAATTGACTGATTTCATTGATTAAGGACTAGCTGTACAAGTAACATTGATTTTAACAGTGGGTCTACATAAACGTAATTGTTCGAACATGGGGCTGCATAATTATGGTGATGTACGAGAATAGTTGGTTTGTCCTTTTCAACCTTCACTAACATTCTTTTGCATGATAATGTACCTTGTGCAATTAGCAGAAATCTTAAATGTTACAAAATGTCTTTTGTGAAGATGTGAAGTAATAATTATATTCTAATTTAATTCAACAATATCAGTTTTTCTTTTCTTTCTTCTCATTTTTCTTCTTTTTATACACATAAGATCATGTATATGGTAACATGAATACAGAATTTTACCTTCCAGTAACAACAATCAACCCACGCAAATATATAAAACACCTATTATCCTATTATTTATTTCAAAATGAATATACTATATATGTTCTGACATTCAGCAACATTTGCTATTAAATATATTTTTAAGTGGAGTTCTCCATAGCAGGGCTTAAATCCAAAGAAAGTGCTTATTATCTTTCTACATTTTTATGAAAAAATATGTCAAGGTCACTAGTTTGTAAGAGATAAATTATTATTAAATTATTTACATGAAATCATTATTTAATAGAACAAACATAAATTAGAATATAAGATGATATAATCATTGTTATTTATGATTACTATATTTAGATAAGAAGACAAAACTAAAGTTCTATAGGATGTTACTGTAGGGGCCTCATCTCACAGAAACTAAATTTTCAAATAGATAATGTTAGGTCGTAGGCAGTTAAGTATTTTGATAATGAATGAAAGAAAAAAATTCTAATCTTGTACATAAGTGAATTTGAAAAAAAATTAAAGAGAAAGGAGTAAGAAATTTATCTAGACAAAAATTCTTGGTGAGTCCAAATCATTGGATTTTTATCATAAGCCTGCCACTAATTAGTCTTGTGACCTTTTGTAGCTGTGTATCATACATAATAAAATGTAGCTCAAAAAATAATTCAAGGGCTCATTCATCATACGGGTCTATCTTTTTTATCCACTTTTTGGCCAACTGAAAAAGGAATTCTATAAACTACTGTAGAAATACTAAGTCTCCAGGTTGACTGTGACTGCATGTGTGTTTGCTTATTTGTTGATTGCTTGTTTTTTAAGTATGCAGTGTTTGTAGCTTGAACTAAGATAGAAGGTTAATGACAAAACTGATAGCAGTGCTATTATTCCCATATGCCATTAGCATCCAAAGCCTCCCTGCATAATCACATGGTCACCTTTATATAAATTGAGCTCCACTACTTTGCATCCCTATATAATGGAGACAATATTTTTGAAATGTCATTCAATGGGTGTTCCCTTCACAGTAAGACAATTTCTCTTTTTGAATCTAGTCCTTCATTGAAGCTAAACTTAACATTTTCATCTTCCACCTACCACTTCAGAAAGAAGATATAATCCTGCCCAATTCTACTCAATACCTACGCAAACCTACCCAATAGTTACAGGAAGTAGAACATTTATAACCCAGCGAAATATAGGAAGAATAGGGAAAACATAAGTATTTAAATCAAGCAAGCTAACATAAATGTTCTCACTCCCTTCACTGGGCCAGAATTCCTGTATATTGTGGTGTATGTGTGCATCTATATGTTTGTGTGCGTGTGTGTGTGTGTGTGTGTGTGTATAATTTGACGGGTGGTGATAAAAGCCAAAAGCAGAGGGTATTTATTGGAAACATCATTTGAAATGCTGAGGGAAGATTCATATGCAGATGGCCCTATTCTAACTCAGGGTAGCTGCACTTGAGTGAAAAGCGTAGCACAGAATTTTAAAGAGAACAAGCACTCTCATGCTTTTTTGGCTCCCATGAGGGTTGGAAAAGAATCCCATGTGATGTATGCAGGAGGACAAGATCTGAACGGCCTTGATCAACTCAGCTTTCTGTGCCTCCTAATCACAGTTCTCAGAACAATTTTAGAATGTTCCAAGAATGCAATATCTTGAGATAAGGAGGACCTGTCTGGAACAGTCTGGGCTTTGTCTTCGTTGCTCCCAGAACAGGACGTTCCTGCAACTCTTAAACTCAGAGAGCCAAATTGCATGTGGGGTATAAGACCTAGGATGCAACATCTAGGGGTTCTTCAGCTGCAGTGCAAAGTCGGACATGTGCAGAGGAGACTCCATTCACCCTGGGCAACTTTCCTGACCTCAGGAAATTTTCTTTCCATATTTTCAAGGGTCAGGCTTGCCATAGAACTTAGGCTTTTGCCGATTCTTCCTGCCCCTCTGTGAGTAACAAATTCGGTTTGCCTTACTTACTATGTGAGTATTCCTCTGGCTCTGGCAGCTGGATTATAAATAAAATCTCCCTGCCAGACCTAGGAATCTTTGCAATGTATTAGTGTCATAGAGGGAAACAAAAAGTAACTGAGTTGAAAGCTAGCATCCTTAACGGGGACCACTGTAGCATGAGTCAAAATGATCCTGCTGAAAAGGCCACATGTGACCATCTCAGTCACAGCCTGGATGAAGAAGGAAGCTGAGACTCAGGTCTGAAGATCTTTTTGAAGCCAAAAGGAAGCTACTAAAGCAAGGGAATTCCACTGTATACTGATTCAAGAGAACAAGCTGCACATATATTTTTAGCTTCACCTCAATGGCCCCACTGATCAGACCAGAGAGACCCTCTGCTACAGAGAAAGCAGAGCTCTAGAGGACAGTTTGGAGACAATAAGGAACTTGAGACTCACTTTCCCTTTGCCTTGAGGCCACAGAAAGTCCAAAGCATCTGGACATTTTCTTGGAGGCATTTTCCTAAAAGAGGACTATTGAAACTTTAAGAAAAATGTGAAATGAGAAGCTAAATTGAAAATACATCTTTGACTCCAACCCCTATCCCAAGTTAACCACAAGTCTAGTGAGATAAAGGATATCATTTATACAAAATACAGAAGTTATATTTTCTTTATGTGAGCAGAAATATGTTCAATTGTACTCACTAAATATATTTTGTTTTACTACTAGGAATAGCCATTTCTTTGGTCATGGCTTTATTTTATAATTATCTTTATTTAATTTCATATCAGTCTAGAGACTTTCCCATTGGACGAAGTGTTGAACAAAGAGGAAGATGCTTACTATGTTTCAAGTACTGTGCTGAGCATTTGAAACATGTAGTCTCACAGCTGATTTACACACTTACATAGCTTAAGATATACAAATGATTACATATCTTAATCCAGTGTTAATGATAAGATGCATTCCAAGATTTGTTAAGAATATGGGGATAAAAGCCTACCTGATGTTTGAGTTTTTCATGCATACACACACCTATCCTTTTTCCAGTAAAAAGACAGTTCAATTATAGGGAGAAACGCACTAAATATATTTTTTTTAAATCCTTTCACATTCTAGAGACATGTAGTCACTTTCACTGAAGCTGGAGTTAGAGAAGGAGATCATTGCAAAAGTTTGTTCTTGAAATATGAATAGTTTTTCCTTGTCAGGTAGAAGAGGAGCACAGACTAGGGGAGAAGAATAAGACCTGAAAATAAAAAGGAGTTTGGAAACCCGGGAATCATGTAGAAAATCATTTTGCGCATCAATACAAAATGGCAGTGTTGAGAGATGAAGCTAGTGAGTTGTCAGAGCCAAATTATGAGTAATTCATGCTTTATTAGAAGGACTTCAGATTTCATCCCAAAGACAGTGGAAAGCCACTGGAGGTTTGAAGCAGGAGTGTGACATAATCTAAATTGCATTAAAAAGCTTCTCTGCCATCAACGTAGAGTTTGATTTTGATAGAAGACACTAAGAAACAAATATTCCAGTTCAGAAGCTTCTGCAAAAATCGCAGGGAGAAATAGTGTCTATGTGAAATAACTCAGTGACAGGTGGAAGAAGAGGTGGATGGAGCTGGAAAGATAAGAGAAATTCTTATCATCAAGTGACAACTCTACTTGCTTTTTCTACCAAACTCTACAGGAATGGGATAAGTAATTACCACATGAACAACTATACAAACAGTTTTGGGGCCCTGATTTCCCTGATAATCCTTTGATTACTCTTGGGCTCTCCTGAGACTGTATGTCTATGAATTTTTGATAGTCTTGGAAGGCAGTTGAACAATGAATCATAGTCCACTGTGTCAAAGAAAATCTCTGATTTCTTCATAAGATCATATATGTGTGATGCCATGGTCAGGAGCATTTCTTGTTTTATTTAATTATTTTTATGGGTGAAATAACAGAAGTTCAATACATGCTTCATCCCCCTGGAGCAAATATAATATATAAATACTATTTATATATATAATATATAAACATTATATAATATATAAACATTATATAATATATAAACACTATGTTTTATATGTATAATATATAAACACTATGTTTATATATTTGCCCCAGGGTGATGAAACATGTATTGAAACTTTATTATTTTTATTAATTGTTGTTTTTATAAATCTACATATATACACAGTATGTTATATATGTAGATTTTAAAGTATATTATTAATAATTTTATAGATTATTAGATGGAAATATTTAGTTGAGTTATTTTTTCATAGTTTAAGTAGAATTATGTGAATATATATCTCCTTTTTGTAATTGATTTTGGACTGTTGTGTTTCATAAACAATAATAATAATAGGTAACATTTATTACAACTTCCTGTGTGTCAGGAATGACACTAAATGCTCCACATGAATTTTCTCATTTAATCTTCACCTACACAATGAGATAGGTGCTATTATAAAAAAACTAAGATTCATGAAGTTAACTCAAGGTCACGTAACTCAAATGTGGTAGTAGGCTCAATTCAAATCCAAACATTGGGCTCTAAGTCCTCTGGTACAGGTGGGTTTATTTTGCCTGGGATATAGTAGTTGCTTAATAAATATCCATCAGTTTAATAAGCAAACAGATTTTGTGCATCTATACAGAAATGTTAAACTTATATACAGTGACCTAAAATTATCTTCCCTTGGAGCAATGAGTAGACATTGGACAACATAATCTGTGGATTACATGAGGAGATTTGCCTTTTTGGAGGCAAAGTCTAGTTCAAAAAAGAAAAATACTTATGAAAAAGTACAGATTTGAGGTAGTAAATCTAGTAAAAGAGCCATTTTAGTAATTCAGTTGAGAGTTTCAAATAAAACAATGGCAGAAAAAAAATGTGATACACGTTATGGAAGGTGAACTAACAGAAGTTAGTGAGTAAGAGGATAGTATAAATTGGGAGGAGAAACTAGTCAGTTTTCTCCATAATACTATGCAACAGTATCTAAAATTCACAATTGCTTTCCTTTAGTTACATTTATGGGGATATGCCTCATAGAATTTGTTGCACCAATTTTGAAATTTGGTTGAGGACAGGAAACATCATATTCAGAAACTACAAAGTGAGAAAAAGAGAAAAAGCAGCAATTGGAAAAGAAAGTATAAAACTTAAGTGTGTGACATTTGAATTCTAAGATATCCTAATATTTCTCTTTTATGACCTATTTGATTTCACCCTCTATCTGTGTTCTTTTCAAGTCAAGTGCGCAAGTATCACTGGAGTCTATTATGTATATTCAGCCATTTTAGAAATTAGATACCTATAGCTGGCCGGTGCTATGCTAAACACTTCACCTATTTAATTACTTTACAGTTAAATACAAATATATGTCTTCAATTACCAATAAATTTATATAGGCAGGAAAAAATCATGCAAACTCAGGTTCTCTGTAAATTCAGAGGGTGAAATGAAACATCATGGGTTATTGTCAAAAGGAAAGGCCTCAGGAGGAAAGCAAGGTTTGGGTTGAATTTAGGAAGCTGTTATAACTACTTATACCAGGCTTCTTCCTAATCACTCCAAAGGATTACATTTATGAGGAAAGCTGTGTCTGCTTTTATGATGCTTAGAGTCTCTTTGAGAAATGTTTAAAACTTGAATTGGCTGAAAACTGATAGAGAGCACCTCAAAACAAAGAATGGTATCTATAAAAGAATTCTCAGGAAACCAACATATTGGAGTGGAGAGCCCCTACTGGCGAGTAGTAGAAGACTATTGTGAGTAAATAAAACAAGACCATTTTATTGTGAACTCTTCAGGAACATATCAGGTTCTTGGGAAAACTCATCTTTGTATAATTGACACAACATAAGACTACCTGTTCTTTCTTTAAAATGAGTCCTTGGAACACAATCAGTCAAAGAAATGTCAATTCAACTTCAAAAGTCTCTGAGAGTAATTTGAAGCTTACTTCAGTGTTTCTTGAAGGGACAGAAGTTTTACAGTGTATCAGATAGGAAATCTTATAATTTATCTTTAGATATCTTTTTAAATTCTCTAGGTCCCTCTCTACTCATTCACTTCAGAACTGAGGAATTTGTATCCTACCCCTGATAAAAACCCATACACTGTGCGTGGGGACCTTATTAATCTTTTCTTAGACTTCTTTCCCACTCCTTCTACCCCAGAATGAGCAGCCCTTTTTAAGCTCTAATAAATAAAAATATTCATATTAAAACATCATCTTCTGAGAAAGGCAAAACCATTACACAACTTAAGAGTGGAGGTAGAGAAAACATTTTTTTAAAAAGTAAAACCTAAAATTATATGCATTAATAGATGTATTGTGATGTGTGTGTATGTGTGTGTGTGTGTGTCTGTGTTTGCTTTTACTAACAACATACTTTCTTCCCATTTCACTTCTTTTCCTTCTGGATTGGGCATTTAACTTTTTTTGTTTCTCCTGATAATTTTATTGCCTTCATTAAAGAGGTAGAGTTTACTATAATTTGTTCCTAGAAGACATGGTAATTTCTCTAGAAGTAAATGCCATTTCAATGCTTTTTCAGAAGTGTGTTTTGGTCACACAATGCCCCTTCACAGTGCAATGGCAACAAATATGAGAAAGCAAAGTCCTGGACAATTCACCCCTTGTTCCCTTATTAGTATGTTTGCCACTCCACGCTGAAGCAATGGTAGCTGAGAACCTGACTATCCAAGACACCGTTTTTTGTTGTTGGAGTCGTTGTTGTTGTTTTCTAGACCCTCTGATGGAAGCAAATTAGAAGATGGCATTTCCACCAAGAGCCCTGGACTGGTTTAGTCTGAAGAGCCTGCTAGTCTTCATATACTAGAACCTTGCTTTTTCTTTTGCTTTCTTTTTTTTGGAGATGGAGTCTCGCTCTGTCACCCAGGCTGGAGTGCAATAGCGCGATCTCAGCTCACTGCAAGCTCCACTTCCCAGGTTCACACCATACTCCTGCCTCAGCCTCCCGAGTAGCTGGGACTACAGGCGCCCGCCACCACGCCCGGCTAATTTTTTTGTATTATTAGTAGAGATGGGGTTTCACTGTGTTTACCAGGATGGTCTCGATCTCCTGACCTCGTGATCCGCTTGCCTCGGCCTCCCAAAGTGCGCCGCCACGCCCAGCCAGAACCTTGCTTTTTCAACATCAAATTTAATATGGGTTGGCTGCATCAATTCCATTAGCAAAGTCCCGAAAATAATAGTTGCACATTTTTAAGTGTTTGTTTAAAGGAGTAACACATAGTGATACAAATTTTACACAATATATCACACAGGAAAAAAATCTTACAAAAGATTTTCCTTATGCAATTATAATTAATAAATAAACGACTGCGGAAAATGGAAAATCACCTTTAGAATACCACTGCACTAAATGCCTCAGGCCAGATCCACTACTGAATACTGACATTATTGGGCAAAAGTTGGAAGACAAATGGCATATTTGTAAAGCCTCTAATTATCTCTTCCAAAATGTCTATTAATTACTCTTGTGATTTTAATATAGGCCTACATATTCTTTCATTTTTTTCCCAAGAAGTGAAGCTTAATTCCTCTTTCCTTGAATGTGGGCTGGATGTAGGAGTCATGCAATGCGTATGTAATATGGAAAGGGAAAAAATTTTACTTCACAGCAGAGAAACCTGGCAGATGCCACCTTAAATGGTTAATATCAGCAGTAATGAGACATTTTGCTCTCATGTACCCCCAATTTGACACGATAAGAAAAAAAATATCATCTCTGTGGTAGGCTTCTCCAAAATTCATAGCCTCAATTGAATCATGAGAAAACATCAAGCAAACCCATATTAAGAGATATCCTATGAAATACCTAAATAATCCTTTTCAGAAGTGTGAAGGATATGAGAAACAAGTTTTCCATGAGGATCTGTCATAGAGTGGAGAAGATGAAGAAGGCACAGCATTTAAATACAATTGGTATCATAGATTGAATCCTGATGTTGGTGTAAGATTTGGGCAATCTAAACAATGTCCGCATTTTAGGTATGGTATTGTTCCATTGTTAATTTTTTGGTTTGTATAATTCAAGATATTATAGGTTTTATTAGATATTGCAAGATATTAACAATAGATGATGCTATGTGGTGGGTATAGGGGGACTCTGTACTATACTTGCAATTTTTTCTGAAAGTCTCAAAGTATTTCCAAATAAAGTCTACAGCAAAAGTTGAATAAAAGTATATCTGAAATTATCTGTCCCCTCAAAAAAATAAATAAACTCATGGCCCAGTGGGGTGGCTCATGCCTGTAATCCCAGCACTTTGGGAGGCCGAGGCGGGTGGATCACAAGGTCAGGAGTTCGAGACCAGTCTGGCCAACATAGTGAAACCCCATCTCTACTACAAATACAAAAAATTAGCTGGACATGATAGCAGGCATCGGTAATATCAGCTACTCTAGAGGCTGAGGAAGAAAAATCGCTTGAACCTGGGTGGAAGAGGTTGCAGTGAGTCAAGATCGCACCATTGTGCTCCAGCCTAGGCAACAACAACAAGACTCTGTCTCACAAAACAAATAAATAAATATATAAATAAACTCTAAACTCTTTATCCTTCTAAAATTTCACATACATGAATTAGTTAAAAACCCCTGATTTTTCTCTTCATGTGCTTTTCCTCATGACATGATGCTGTTTTTGATCTCCTTTCCCTGATATTTGTTGAGAACCTGTCTATTTATCCTAAGCAAATTAATGCAGGAAAAGAAAACCAAATATTGCATGTTCTGGCTTAGAAGTGTGAGCTAAATGTGGGGGTATGCATGATCATGAAAATAGAAACAATAGACAATGAGAACTACTTGAGTCTAGAGAGAAGGATGGGAGAAAGGACTGAAAAAAACAGCCTGTTGGATATTTTGCTCAATACCTGGGTGATGGGATCATTAGTACCCCAAATCTCAGTATCATGCAATATAGCTATGCAACAAACCCACATATGTACCCCCAGAAACTAAAATAAAGGCTGATGTTTTTAATGAAAATAAATGAGTGAAAGAAAAAGAATAACCCTCTACAGGTCTAACATGTCTTTCCCTATCATACAAAGGAGCCACTTGAATCTTGAGTTTTTAACTGAGTCTTGTGGGAGTAGGAGGGTGAGATTAGAATTATGTTCTCACACTAGTTTTCTCATTCTGGAGTCATCCCTGAAGGGATTTGGAACCTTTGAATCACTTTGCAATGAATGTGGAGTCACAACAACTGGATTCTAATCCTTACTCTTTTGCTTATTCTTGCTCTGTCTCCTCAGAATAATCATTTAACCTCTTTAGCCTCACTGTCTTCAACTACAGAATTGTGACAATTGTGTTACAGAGCAGCTACTGTAATCATGTGTTTGAATATCCTTCAAATTTGTCCACTTTTCGTCTCCCTCCAGCACTCACTCTATCCCAGAATAGATCGTTTCTTCTCTGAACCATTGTTAATAGCGTTTAAACTGATTGACCTGTATCTATACTGCCACTTATCCCATCCATTCCTCACCCTGTGATATAAGCTATCTATCTAAAACATAAGTCTAATAATTCCATCTTTCTCATTCAAACCTTCCAAGCCTTTCCATGGCTTCTGAAATAAATACATTCCTTAAATTGCCTGAAGACCCTACAAGCTTAAATTTATTTCTCTGTTCTTCTCCAGGCCCTTTATGTACCATGCTCCTCCAAGCCACCTTAACTCCAGCCACAGCATTCTTTTTTCAGCCTTTGATGTTCACCATGCACCCCTTCCCCTGACCCAGTGCTTCTCCACATCTCTGCTTCTGTCTGGAGTTCTCTTCTCTTCCTTTAGTGAACTTCCATTTTTACTCCTTTCTCCACGTTTCAGCCCAGTTCACATCCTCAGGAAAGACTCCTCAAGCTTCTTTTTCAACACAATATAAACATTTACACAGCTATGTGCATCTATTCATTATCATGAAATTCAGTAGAATTTTTCAATGTATTTGTGTGATTATTTGACTGATGCCTATAACTTATTCAAGATTAAGTCTTACACCAGAGCTTGTAGAGAATAAGATCATTTATATTTTGGCTTAATACAGTGTTTAATAAAGTGCTTGGCACATGTCAGTACGTGAAAAATACTTGTTTAATATTTTGCCATTATTGGAATACTATATAAATGTATATATTGTCACTACATCACTACCTAAATTGTGTCTTTGTTCAATGCCACCATGATGTTTTCAGAGTTTAAGACTAACTTGAATTTAAAATGGACATACTCTGTCATTGTTGGAAAGAGGTTACTGTGTCTCAGGAAATTAGTAGAAAGAATTAAAAATAAATTACAGCCAACTCTTATTATTCTTGGCATTTATGCTCTGCAATCTGCCACAAACACTGATGAGCATATGTTGAACAATTGCTCCTAGGAGAAATACAGGGCTAGGTTCCTAATAGCTTTTGGTCAAATCTTTACCTCAACTGATCAGGATATAACCTTGTTTTATGCATGTTTCTGTTTTAAAAACTTTAGAATATATCGTTGATTCATTACCATTGAATTCATGGACAACAGGAATCATGTATAACAAAACGTACATAGCCTTCTTGTGTTTAGGAACATTAGACAACACTTCATCACTGTGCTTGGGGGTCTGTTATAAACGTCTAAATCACTAATAAAAGCCATAAAAGTGCAAAAATATTGACATTAAATATATTGCAAAACAGGACACCTATTTATAGTATGATAGATAGCTGAAACAAGAAGCAAAGTGTTGTCTTGTTAGATCTCAGCTGGTGATGTACAAGTCAGGTAACTCATATTTCTCACCAGTCTGCACATGCCCTTGGATGACTGTGCTGCAAATATTAATTTGAGGGTTAAAAATTAAATTTAGTAAGTACATAAATTCACAAAAAAAGAGTCAGGAAAAAAGAAGATTGCCATGTACAGTTGGCCCTCCTTAGGCCAACTATGGGACCTGAACATTTTCTAATTTTGTGATGTAGGTAGGCGGTGTCTTGGAACCAATCCCCTGTGAATCTTGAGGAATGACTGGTATAAATTGCCTCAAGGTAATCTATGGGTGATTTCTTTTGTGTTTTCTTCTAATTCTTTTTTTTTTGAAACTGACATGTAGGCTGAAAATGCTTAAGGACTTTCTTCTTTTTCAGAAATAATCTATTCTGAAAATATATCTTCTTTCTGAAGTATATGATTATCTCCATTGACTTTTTAACTGTTAATACACAGAACCAAACAAAAATGTTGTCTTTAGACAGCAAATATGTTATTAAAGCTATTGTATTACCACATATTCATACGGTATACAATAATTACTTAAGTACATCATAAGCATTTTTAAAAGTGTTTTTATCGTATCTTTAGTTTGGTTCCAAACAAATAGATGTAAAGTTTGACACACTCCTACATACATTTGCCACCGCTAATGTTGAGGTTCTTGTCAGGAACATGGATATATTAAGGATGGTTTCAGCAAAAGTCACATTAGGGAGGAAATAAGGCAAAAGCACTGCCCTCTTTCCAAGCTGAAGTCATACAGATATTACCTTAAAAATAGTATTTTGTACTTTTATTTGCATATATATATACTTTATATTTAATGCATATTTTATCTATTATATTACATATATGGATAGTGCATATATTGTGTAATTTAAACGCTAATTCACTTAATACCATCTTTCTATAGTATATATTGCAAACATCAATAACATATTCATTTTTAAGACCAGTGACAACTATAACATTTCCTGATGCAATTGAAAACATGACAGTTTAGCTTTTTTTTTTTATTAGAAAATGCCTGTTTTAAGTAGAAATGTCCATGCCAAAAGTGGACATTAAAAAAAATAAAATTTTAGCAGGTAAACACTCAGTACTCACATTAAGAATGCAATTTTGTGTCAAAGCTTTAAAGGACTTCAATTTTTTATTTCAGTAAACAACAAGAATGTTGTTATTATGGTATATTTTAATTAGGACATATGCATGCAGCATGTGAAATAAGAAAAAAAAAGCACCAGAGCAAAGGTTAATGGCCACGTATTTGGTTTTAGAAGGTGCTAGCATGCCAATAATATAATTTGAAGAATAATTTTATGTTTTGTAGTGTACACCTGTTCCTATTGCACTGAATAGAATTGAGAACCTTATACAGTTGAATAGTGTCATGAGTTTGCACAGAAAGGGGTAGGAACACCTAAGCATCCAAGCCAAGGTGAAATAATGTGTACTTTTTAAACTTTTAGTCCTTATTCTATTTACACTACTTTTTCCTGAGCTATATAACACTTCTCCAGATATTAGTGACGATACAAAGGAATCGATTTTACCAGGATTTCTAATACTGGCAGTCTTCTGTTCACTTGTGTCATTTTTTTATTTCAGCTTGTTGTGGAGGGAGTGGTACATCAGAGAAGAAATGAGTTGAGAGAACCGGTAAAATTGTTTTGTATTTGTTTGTTGCTCTTGGAACGTCTGAGAATAATCTCAGTCTCCATACATTTGCACTCACTCTCTCTCACACACACTGTCTCTATATCTATATATAGAGATACACATAGACAAATATATATAGATATATGTACATATATTTAGCAAAGAATATATATATACTTTTCATGCCATACTCTCTGCCATATAAAATGATGACCAAAAATGAGGAATTTTATAATACTAGTTTCTGCTAGAATTCTTTTGTCTTACAAACCTCAAACTGTTTGAGGCAAGTGCTAAGTACTATGTTTAGCTGATTGCATGTGCCAAGTAAATGCTAATAAGGTGAATAATAATTTGGAGATAACTAGTGGAATCTGTAACTAGGTATCTTCTCTGGCAAAGCAGACCTAGCAAGGTGACTTTTCACACGCTTGAATCGACCTGTCTCATCTGATGTTAAAGAATTGCTATCCGTCTGCTAATGTCTAAATGAGAAGCTGAGTCTGCAAGTCAAGGCACTACACTTATATTGACTTTTTGGTGTTTGTGAGTAGCTCTGTTTATTTGCCTACATTGTACCACATGCAGACACACCAAAAAGATTTCGGTTTCAGTCATGCAGATCACAGCTGAATCATAGATATCTAGGCAGCCCAAAACACGAACATACTTTAAATGATGAAAATAATAGCATAAGAGTCACAGATCTGGAAAATCATAGAAGTCAAACTCGATGAAGGATATAAGTCAAAGACATGAACAAAATAAATCACTTCTATAACAAAAAGTTTTTTAGAATGCTGTAAAATATAGATGTTGCTAAGTGACGAGAAAACCAAAGTGAATCTCAGAATTGTGCACTTTATATATTTATGCAAAAAGTCATCTAATATTTAGATTTGTTTGTGTCTGGTAAAATGCCTGTAGATTAAAGGTGTTTGAGATCACTGGCTGTAAATCAAATGTGATAAACATATGCAGGGATGGCTATGAGGACTGAGTAGATAGGACCTCATCTACTTACATGGGCAACTTTTTGTGATAAATTAAATATTTTTCTTCTATTTTGGAAGCATGATTTTATTTATCTCAAAATTAATATTATCCTAATACATATATTTATTAAAAATAAAATCTAACCCAGATATTCATATTGCCTATTTAAGGATCACGCAAAACACCATAAAAAAACAATAAAAAGACATTAATACAAGGCAGAAGAAAACAGACATGAGCTAGGGTTAGGTGTGTGGTATCTGTGTAAGTGATACAGAGAGATTCTCAGCTTCGCAGCTCTGTGTAGTTAACACACTAAATGGAGTTAGAACTACCCAAATAATTAGTTGCTTTTCTCAAAAATAACAGTGGAATGACTTTCTTTCTAATTTATTAGAAACTAGAAAGTATTATTAGATGAAATCTAATGATTATCTCCAATTCCTCTAATATCTATATCACCGTTCCACCTGAAAAGTCACCGAGTTTAGAATCAAAGGACAAACTGCTGTCTAAATCTTGAATGATTTTTTTCTTTTTTTCTAGCTGAAAGCTGTAAGTGTAAAGTATACTGGTGACTTTGTTTTATTATCAACTTCTTATTTTTGTTAGGCACTAAAATAAAAAGACTCTTTTACTTTTGACAGTGGATTCACTGCAGCACAAATCACTGAAAATTATTGCAAGTCTCTCTGTGTTAAATACTCTACGCTGAGTGTATCTCAGTATTAAGACCATTAAAACATACATTCATAATAATATGCTTCTTTAGTCAACTCCTCCTTTCAATCGTGAGTTTCTTCAGGCCTGTGCCACTCATTCCCAATCCCTGGTTTTGATTATCACACACAGAAGGTGCTCAATAAATATTTGTGGAATGATTGAAAGTGAATAGTAAAATTTATATTTAAAGATAGTGTACATTCATTAAAATCACTGCTCATTGGTTAGTGCCTTTAATTCAGTTTAAGATTTTAAATAAAAAATAAATCTTACAATTCCTTTTTTCTAGCTATTCCATTAATATCAGCCTCCTTTAAATGCTCTTTGTTTTTCCATAAGCATATGTTCTACATTTTTATGTAATTTGAAAATTTGTTATTCAGCTATGAAATCTTTTGAGTGCATTATATTATTGAAAAGGGTATCAAATATTTACTGTATATATAAATAAGAAAGTTGAATCTGCTGCATTCTTACACCAATAAAATGCAAAATCACCAAACTAACAAAAAAAACTTGAAAAATATAAGTTTAGATGTAAGGGTCTATACAATGATTATAGAATATTTATTGGAAATTAGAAAGTATTATTAGATGAAATCACAATTGTCCACATTTTATGATTTTACTGCAGCCTAGTGAGGCTTTTCTCTTATTATTCTAGAAAATATAGCAATGAGATTTGATTATAATACCTTAAATAAAGATGGTTTCAAAACCTATTTTAAAATTAATAATCTACTAGATTTTTCTAAAAGGATTCTGTGGTTCTTTGCAGGTAACTCACTAGGTTCATGATGAATGCCTGGTACTGCACATGTATCCCTAAAAAATGCAACATTATTAAACTCTTGCAAATAAAACTTTCAAATTTTAATGGGCTCTAAAGCAGTCTTATGTAGATTAGGAAAAGCTTGAAAATATATAATTTTTGAAGTTTTCTCACTCAGAAGCTAATACCTATCTGATTTTTTTTTTAAAAGCAGTATTTAACTTAATACAATAATGACCTTTTTCTAGTAATTTGCAATATGTATTATTCCTTTAGGGGAATATCATGATGCATTCTGATAAGATGAGCTTTCCTATGTAAATGCTACCCTTTTAAGGTCAAAAGCTGTACTCAGCTAATGAAGGCAAACGAGAAATGGTCAGGTGTTCAATATAAACAACATTGAAAACTCAAAGCTTTGTGATAATCCTCTAATATATTTTAAAGCACTTATAGCTATTTCAATCTATCTGTCTATGCATACGTACTTATAAACATAGCTATAGATACAGATATATGCACAAAACTCAATTAGTTTCTACAGAGTAGCACACAGTTAGGCTATCATTTTAAATATCAATTAGAGCCTTAATCTATACTAACAAAATTAGTAAGACCATTCTAAATAGTATTAGCATAATTCACCTTTCAAGGTTCACAATTAGATATTCACCTTTGGAAGAAAAAGAGATTGCATCTTTTAAATAATTCTTCCTTTGTTAATAATAAAAAAATTCAGTGCAGCCATTATTCAGAATCTTTCTCTTGACTGTCTTTACCTAAGTTTGACACAGTGATGCAGTCCAAACAAACTAAATGCCAGCACATTATATTTATTCTGAGTTAAATCAGCTTTCTAAAGTGAAAAATGTTTAAGAATAAAAAACATTTACATGGTGAGAACAATAGAACTTGTGTAGACCAATTTTAAGAACAGCAGTTTCCTGTAAAGCTGTCAGATGGTATTGTTAAATATCACATGTTAATACAGCATGAAAAATAGTGGATAGAAACATTCTTATTAATAAACTACATAGTAATATGACATTTTTTTTGCCACATTTTTTGAAATATCTTAATTTTGGAATTAACAGAGCCTAGAGAATTTCAGTATGTAATTATGACTGTCGATATCTTACTAGTTAGTGCTATAATTAAGATACATTTAATTTTTAATTATGCTATAGGTAGTGGGTTGATATAACACTGATAACTCTGCCCATGAACTCTGTAACATGGATATTAATTTGTCTGCTAGAAAAGCTTCTGCCTGCTTTTAGTAGAAAGACAAACTAGTGTTAAAAGGGACAATTCCTTAGCTGATAATCTACTTTAATAAGTTATTTGGTTAAAATACTTGCAATACAAATAAGTGGGATTTGTTTAGTCTTACAGTGTTGAAAATTCAGTGCTATGAAACAGTTCATTCTCTATTCTGTCTTTCTTTCCCCTTTCTCAATTCCCCACAAAATACATACACACATATAAATAAAATACTGACAATGATGTGTGCTATTAATTTCTTTATTTTTAATTCCTTTTATAAAAGTTATCCTTTGCTACAAGATAATATTTTATAGATATGAAGAAATAGCTTCTTTATTTAGAATTCTTTCTTTCTTTCTAAATATAGAATTCTCTATTGGGAAGCACTTTGGGGACAATTTCCTCTTTCCTTTTATTGTGATTTTTTTCAGCCTGTAATACTCCACTTGATTACTTCTCCAAACATCAATATATAATTAAACTAAAATTATTAATTTAGTGTGAAATGAAAAGTGTTTCAGAATTATTCTTTGGAAAAGGACAATCACTTCAGTATGCTAAATTAACCTACAATGCCGTGATAAAGAGTTACTGAGAGCATGGGATGATAACTTCTGATTTTTATTGGTCTGACAATACTGGGCAAAGTAATGGATTGTACTGGAAACACATAGCTAAATGAGACTTTGAGAGATTGCTAGATTGTGTAAACGTAATTCACCTAAACACTCCCAACGCATGAAAACTTATGGCACATGGGAACATTATTTTAAAAAATGAAACAGTAGTAACCAGTACACTCTTTTTTCATGGCATAAGGGGGATCACTGTTAGCTGTATTGAGTATGGGTAAGGTAGGGTTAGGCAGCAATAAAAAAGTTTTGATTTACTGATTTTAGTGAGCCTGGGATTTCTCTAATACTTCCCGCGAAATAGGGTTTACACCTGAAGGTGACTGATGCCACACCCTAATCCCCTGACAAGAGCGAGCACCTTGCCAGCACTTTTTGCTGCAGCTCATAAGGAGATGCAGTGGCATGCTTGCCCACCAGCGGCTGCTTGACCGAATCATCTAGGCTTTACTATAAATATAGGATGCATTAAATGAAGACAGGGTACATCTCAAAAGAGCATCACAGTATCACAATAGAGAATTAAAAATTTGCATGCCAATTTAAACTTTCCCTTGGTCTTGTAAAGGAAAATGTGGACTTTTGCAAGGACCAGTTTCCCATGTGTATTCAATTAGAATCTGACACTTTTTTTCTCCTCTGTCTCCTCCTAACTTAGTGCAGTCTTCCTTAAGAGTATCAATCTGTAAACCACCCCAAACCCCTTAAAAATGCTCTTATCCCCTCACAGTATTTTTTCCTATCTCATTTCTTCCTGGATTTGAAAATTTTGGCACTTCTTTAGGATTTAGTAAACATCTTTTAATGTTCTCCATAGGGACTCTTGCCTAAGAATGAATGTGGGCACTCTAATTCCTCTGCAGTTGTCCCCAGAAATTTGTGTTACCTGTGAACATAAACCCACCGTTCCTGTAAATAAGCATGTATTTTCTGTAGAGAAAAAAACAAAACAACTTAATGATATGGTTAGGCTTTGTGTCCCCACCTAAATCTCATCTTGAATTATAATCCCCACGTGTCAAGGGAGAGACCAGGTGGAGGTAATTGAATCATGGGCGTGGTTTCCCCGACACTGTTCTCGTGATAGTGAGTGAGTTCTCATGAGATCTAATGGTTTTATAAGGTGCTCTTTTCCCTTCACTCGGCACTTCCTCCTGCTGCCTGGTGAAGAAAGTGTCTCTTCCCGTTCGCCTTCCTCCATGATTGTAAGTTTGCCAAGGCCTCCCCAGCCATGCCGAACTGTGAGTCAATTAAACCTCTTTCCTTTATGAATTACCTAGTCTCAGGTAGTTCTTTATAGCGGTATGAAAACTGACTAATACACTTATAATCCTCCAGGTACAGTTTTTGTCCATAGTTTGTTGTGACCTGTTAACCTCCTCTCCATTATTAAGGAGAGATGAGTTTTGCTCTGTTTTACCCCTCCTGGGAGCAGTTACCTGCTCTGATTACATTTTTATGATTTGTTAAAATCTGTCTTTGAAAAGCAGAATGCCATTTCTTTTTAACCAATTCTACCATTAGCAGCTGAGTAGTAGTAAGACTACAGCTTCTGAGTCAATCTGGCTGACTTCAAACACAGTCATACCACTTACCAACTCTGGTACCTGCAGCAATTTACCTAATCTCTCCGGGCTCAATTTCTTCTTCTGTTAAAAGATTACCAAGCATAGAAAAAGTTCAGAAAATTTAATAAGTTTATGTATATACTTTATATATAGTATATACATAATGTATACACATACATGTATATATGTGTGTGTATGAATATATGGATGCATTCATAAAGAGAGGGAGAGATGTTTAGAATAGTACCTGGCATATAATAATGCTGCTTTCAAAGATCTGGTTGGAGGAGGGAGTGGCTCTACAATGTAGTCCTAAATTTACATGACCCTGCTGACAAAATTTTATAACCTCCTTCAGTAAATCATTATGAGTTTTAATTACACTCATTTCTTTGAATCTTGGAAGTAATGTGAATAAGTAAATCAATTATTTTTTCTGGATCTCTCTTCTCACCAAGCATTTACTACCATTCTGATCAGTGTGAACTTTTTCCGCCAGAACCTTGCTGATAGTAATCTCTTGGACCCTAATATAGTATTGGTTCAGCCCAGCTAGAAATTTCAATACGTTTGATAAGAAGTTTGTTTTTAAATAGTCTTAATTATTAAAACCTTTTCACACATTGATTTAAAATGAAAATTTCAAAAATCAACCAATAATATACTATATAAATTTAAAATTGTACTGAAAGGGCAATATATATAGATACGAGTTTGTGTGTGTGTGTGTTGAGGGGGTAACAGCTGTCACCATTATAATGACTCAGTAATTCAATACCTTTGGGGCAATGCTTAACATAAAATATTTCTAACAGCAGAATAAATTTGAAAATATATGTGCGTTATTACCAATTTAGGGTGTTTCCTCAATCATGCAAGTGGAATTCAGTGTTAATACCCTTCAATATCACATTTACGGATGCGCGTTTACCCATTGTTTAAAAGCAGCAATGTCTGTGTGACTTGCCATAAAAAGAAATTTTGTGCCACCTTTTACAAAATGTGAACGTGTATTTTGATCAGGCAAACGCTACTTAAACAATGCTGGTCACATTGGACCAAAATATGCTTCTACGTAAGCAAAATTTACTGAAGGTAAGGAGAAATGTGGCATCAGAGGACAAACTAGACAGTTTACAAAAGTGTTAAGAGAGTGAGAGGGAGAATGTCCCAGCAATACTCATGAGGTGATATAAATATAAATATTAAGCAGGAGAGACTTTCAAAGAAGAAGCCTCATGTTGTTGCACTCACAGACCAAGCCTGCTGATATGAAGAGTTACTGCTAAGGTTTTCAGGTTATATATTTATTTGTTATTGTAATTAGCATTCTTGTTACTACTTCAGTAAACTTAAAAATATTTCTTAAATGTTTATCACTACCACTTATATCTGGAGGTAGATTTACAATTCAAAAATTAAACATTTTTTTCTATTTTTTTCTCAGTTTTGGAAAATATCTTACATAACATATTTTGCAAAGGCTATTTAAGGGCTTACATAAGAGCAAGCCCTTAAAATTACAGACACATTACAAGAAAAGTCTTATGCTCCGTTTTCATTATAATGAAATTAATATAGCTCCCTTATACTTCTTGTACTTCTTAATAGTGTATATATCAATGCCATGATACCATACTTCTGTAGCAACATACTGTATTCATCATTTCTGAGTGAGCAGAGGCTCTATTTTCATGTTCTTTTCATTTTGTTCAATGTCAGCGTTTGGGTATACAGTGGCCCTTTCTCAATCTCATTGTGTATAAATTCAATGAAGTAAATCTTATTCACATGTGTGGTTAATACATATGCCATCAAGCAAACTATTCTTTACTGAACATCTAGTATAACTTAAAAATTATGTGAGATATTTAAAACTGTATTGTTTTGCCAAATATCTATTGAATTCCTCTTTGTTCCAAGCATTTTGCAGGAAATTGAGGTAATAAGGGTGAAATATGAAACTTCAAAACAGGCCACAGTTTAGCAGATAAATATTATCTGTATATATGTCTGTGCATAAATATATAAGCGTGATGAATGTTAAATATATGTGCATAAAATATAGGAACACAATAATAAAAACTACAATTACTGTGTATTGCGGCATACTACTTGATATCTGTTATGTCATGACATCTTCAGAATAATCGTATGAAGGGAATATATTTGCTTTAGTTTGCTTCTCTGTCCCCCAAACCTCATGTTAAAATTAAATCCTCAATATTGGAGGTGGAACCTAGTGGGGGAGTATTTGGGTCATGGGAATGGATCCCTCATAAATGGCTTGGTGTCATCCTTGAGACAGTGAGTGACTTCTCTATTATTTCCCATGAGATCTGGCTGTTAAAAAGAGCCTCCTACCTCTCTCGCCTCTCTCTTGCTACCTCTCACCATATGATCTCTGCACACCAGCTCCTCTTAACTTTTGCTATGAATATAACCAGCCTGAGCACCTCAGCAGATGTAAAGCAGGTGCCAGCACCATGCTTCCTGTATAGGCTGCAGAAACATGAGCCAATTAAATCTCCTTTCTTTAAAAATTTTCCAGCTAAAGATATTCCTTTATAGCAACACAAATGAACTAATACATTGGTCTTGAGGCATGGGTGTTGCTGTAAAGATACGTGAAAATGTGCAAGTGGTTTTGGAACTGGGTAGTGGGCAGAGGTTGGAAGATTTGGGGGCCCAGAGGAAGACAGGAAGATGAGAGAAAGTTTGGAACTTCTTAGATACTGGCTAGGTGGTTGTGACCAAAATGCTGATAGAAATATACACAGTAAAGGTCAGGCTGACAAAATCTCAAATGGAAAAGAAGATGTTTTAGTAACTGGACCCAAGATCACCCATATTACCCCATAGCAAAGAATTTGACTGCATTTTGACCATTCCTTGGGCTTTTTGGATGACTGAACTTAAGAGTGATGACCTAGGGCATCTGACAAAAGAAATTTCTAAACATCAAAGCCTTCCAGAAGTTGTGTGGCTGCTTTTAACAGCTTACAATCAGATATGGCAGCAATTAAATAGTCTAAAAGTGGAATTTATGACTAAAGAGAAGAAAAAATTAGAAAATTTGCAGTCAGGCCACAAGGTGGAGATGAAAAAAGCATTTTCGGGAGAGAAATCCCAGGGTGCTGTGATGCAACCACTTGTTAGCACAGATAAAAGAGAGCCAGATTCTAATAGTAAAGACAATGTGGAAAATGCCCCAAAGGCACTTCAGAAATCTTTGAGGCTGTCCCTCCCATCACAGGCAGAGAGGCCTAGGAGGACAGGATTCACTGTCCTTCACCACCTCAGGATGAGACTCTATTTCCCTGCACTGCCTCAGGTTGAGGCTCCCTGTATCCCATCAGCTCTGGCTTCAGCTGCAGCTCAGACAGCCCTAGGTAATGATGTGCACTCCAGAAGGCACACGCCTTAAGCTTTGGTGGCTTTTACATGGTGTAAAGTCTGCAGGCACCTAGAATGCAAGAGTAGTGGAGGCTTTGTGGCTTCCACCTAGATTTCAGAGGATGTATTGAAAAGCCTGGGAGTGCAGCGATGTCCCAGGAATGAGGCCACCCCAGAGAGTATGCACCAGGGCAGTGCCCAGTGGAGATGTGGGAGCAGGGCCACTGCTCTCCAGAATTAGAATTACAGAGCCACTGGCAGAATACAACCTGGAAAAACTGCAGGTACCAGATTTTAACCTGTGAAAGCAGTCACATGGGCTGCACCCAATAAAGCCATAGGGGCAGGGCAGCCTAAGGCCTTAGGATCCCATACTCCCACCAGTGTGACCAGGGTGTGGGACATGGAGTCAAAGATTATTTTGGAGCTTCAAGATTTAATGTCTGTCCCGCTGGGTTTCAGACTTGCATGGGACCTATTACCCCTTCCTTTTGGCGTTTTCCTCCTATTTCTCCCTTTTGGAATCATAATGTTTGCCCAAAGCCTGGAAAACAATTGTACCTTGGAAGTAAATAATTTGGTTTTGATTTTGCAGGCTCATATCCATAACGAACTTACCTTGGGTCTCAGATGAAACTTTGGACTTTTGAGTTAACGATGAAACATTTTTTAACTTGTAGAGACTATCAGGATGGAATGATTGTATTGTGTGTGTGAGATGGTCATGAGATTTGGGGGCCCAGGATCAGAATATTATAGTTTGAATGTTTTCTTCCCAAAATCTCATGTCAAAATTTTATCTCCAGTGTTGAAAGTGGAGCCTAATGGAAGGTATTTGGGTCATGAGGGTTAGGGGTGAACCCAGAGTCCCTCATGAATGATTTGGTGCCATCTTGTGACAATGAGTGAGTTTTCAAGCTGTTATTTCCCATGAGAGCTGGTTGTTTAAAAGAGTCAGTCACCTCTCTCCCCTCTCTCTTGCTTCCTCTCTCACCACGTGATCTCTTTACACACCAGCTCCCCTTTGTCTTTTGCCACGAGTAAGCAGCCTGAGGACATTACCAGAAGCCAAACAGATGCCAGTACCATACTTCTTGTAAAGTCTGAAGAACTGTGAGCCAAACAAAACTCTTCCCTTTATAAATTGCCCGGTCTCAGGTATTTCTATATAGCAACGCAAGTGGACTAAGACAGTATTTTAACCTCAATTTTGATCTTGAGAAAATGAACACACACACAGGCTGGAGACTTCCTAAAGGTCACTCAGATGTAAGTGGTACACAAAGAATTAACAAGATCTGTCTAACTGCACACACTGTACCCATAATCACTTCACCAAATCAATTCAATTTGATGTTCTCTTCTTATGTGCAGGTACGTTGTGAAAAAAGCAGGAACAGATGGGGTTGGGGAAGCAAAGGCAGGGTAAAGGTGAGGGAAAAGAAAGCGAAATAGAAATGCCTTCAACTGGAGATAATATTAGAGCTTTGGAGGTTAAAGTTTGTATATGATTTACTAAGACGAAAAGGGGGATCAAAAATGTATTTTGAACAATGATGAATGAAACTAGAACACAGCAATTACAGTGAATGGGAAGAAGTAGTGAGAGATAAAATTGGAAATTTATACTGAGGCCAGATTCTAAAGGGCTTTGAATTCATTAAGTGTTTGCTTTATGCTGTGGGCAGTGAGAAGTTCTGGAAAGTTTGTAAAATGTAGAAATAATCACCTGTGTTTTAGAAAGAGAATTCTGAATATAATATAAAGGATGAATAAGAAGTGAGCAAAAGAAGCAAGAATAGAGCAGTTTTACTAATCAAGTGAAATGTAATAAAGAGCTAAATTAAAACATTGCCAATAGGAATGGGTAAAAAGAAGTACAAGCAACATTTCATTGATAAAACTGTTAGAACCTTGAGGTGAAATAAACATAGGAGATATTTATCAGATATACTGATAGAGACTGGCACATTAGGTTCAGACTACACAGTATGGCAATTAAGGTTGAAAATAAGGAATGGGGTAATTTGTGGTAGGAAAACAAAATAGTCTACATGCGTATATGGCATAATGAGAAAAATAGAAAACAAATAAAGACAATACATGATCTTTAGTACTTTGAGTGATCCATACAGTAAAATGGGAAAGTTGTATTAGAATGGGTGAATGAATCTCGGTGATTTCCTTTAGGAACCCTTTCAGGACTTGACTTTCGCCTTTCCTGCTGCAATAGCTGCTATTCTCTAGGTCAAGGAACCAATATGATGGATTTTGAAAACTTTTAAGCATGCTTTTCTGAATATAATTTTGGGGAATGAATTGAATGTATTGATAGGTTCAATAGATTCATTGTGAAAAAGACCTAGCCTACCATTGGACTTACTACCTGATCGTTAGGGGTCCATACCATAATGGGGGGTGAAAGATGAAAATTCAGGTCCCAGATTTCAGCACAAACTCCATCCTTCTATCAAATAACCCTCAATAGATGTCATTTCGCTAATGTTTGGCCAACAAAGTAAATGGACTTGTGTCTCTTTAGGGAAGGCTTGGAGAAAATATTACTGTAATTATTTTTTTGTGGTGTTGCAAGATTCTTCCTCATGAACATGTGACTTTTTAGTTAATGAGTTCTGAGTCTGAAAACAGATTCAAATCTGGAAACTGAGACTGTGACTTTTTGGGGGGTAATTAAGCCCTGGACAGTCTACTCATCTATTCTTATTCTGTCTCTTTATTTTCCTCTTATGTATGTATGTATGTATGTATGTATGTATGTATCTATCTATCTATCTGTCTGTCTGTCTGTCTGTCTATCATCTATCTATTCAATCTTCTCCTTTGCTACCAGATAGCCCAGTTTTAGCCCAACATTACAACTTTCAGAGCTCTTAGAAATTCCCAGGAACCCTCTCTCCAGAATCTTACCTAACATCTTTGTAAACAATGTCAGGAATGAGGTGATAGCTTAGTGTGGTTTTGATTTTAATTTCTTCGATGATTGGTGATGTTGAGCACTTTTCATATACCTGTTTGCCATTTGCATGTCTTTTATAGGAAAAATGTCTATTCTGGTTCTTTGCCAGTTTTAAATCAGCTTATTTGATTTTTATATTGAGTTGTGTTAGTTTCTTATAAATATTGCATATTAACTTCTTATCAGATGGTTTGCAAATGTCTTCTCCAATTCCATTGTTTGCCTTTTTGTTTTGTGGTTTCTTTTGTTGTATACAGCATTTTTAGTTTGATGTAGCCCCATTGTCTATTTTGGCTTTTGTTGCATGTGCTTTTGGTATTATAGCCAAGAAATCATTGCCCAGTTCAAAGCCAAGAAGATTTTTCTTTATATTTTCTTCTAGTAGTTGTATGGTTTCAATTCATAGACTTAAGTATTTAATCCATCTGGGGTTAATTTTTTATGTTTTGTGATATTTCCAGTTTTTCCAACACCATTTATTGACAAGACAATCCTTTTTCCATTGCACGTACTTGGCACCCTTGTCAAAGACCAGTCAATTGTGCATGCATGGATCTATTTATGGACACTATTCTTTTCCATTGGTCTATATTTTTATTATTATGCCAGTACCATAATATTTTAATTAAGATAGGTTTTTAGTATATTTTGAAATCGCAAAGTAGAATGCCTCCAGCTTTGCTCTTTTGTTCAACTTTGCACAAGAAGTTGGATGCTTTTTTGAGGTCTTCACTCATTCCATATGAATTTTAGGATTTTTTTTCCATTTATGCAAAGAATGCCTTGGAATTTTCACATGCATTATCTTGAAACTTTAGATTACTTGGGTAGTAGAGACATTTTAACAATATTATTTCAATCCAATAATAAGGGATGTCTTTTCATTTATATGTGTCTTTACTTTTCTTCATCAATGGCTTATAGTGTGCAAGGCTTTTACCTATTTGGTTAAGCTTATTCCTAAGTATTTTATTATTTTTGTTCCTGTAATGAAGGATTTTAAAAGTGTCTTTTTTATAATGCATTGTTTGTACATAGAAACATGATTGATTTTTGTATGTTGATTCTGTATCCTGAAACTTCACTGAATTCATTTGTTCTAACAAAATTCAGTAAGCCTTTAAGACTTTTTTTTTTTTTTTTGAAACTGTGTCTAGTTCTGTCACCCACGCTGAGTGCAGTGGCACCATCTCGGTTCACTGCAACCTCTGCCTCCTGGGTTCAAGTGATTCTCCTGCCTCAGCCTCCTGAGTAGCTGGATTACAGGTGCCTACCACCATGCCCAGCTAATTTTTGTATTTTTGGTAGAGACGGGGTTTCACTGTGTTGGCCAGGCTGGTCTCGAACTCCTGACCTTGTGATCTGCCTGCCTTGGCATCCCAAAGTGCTGGGATTACAGGCATGAGCCACTGTGCCCGGCAGCTTTTAAGGCTTTCTATGTACTGGCATACCTTTCTTTATTGTATCTCACTTTATTGTGCTTTGCTAATACTGTGTAGCTTATAACTTGCAAGTTTGTAGCAGTCACTTCATGTCTCTGTGTCACATTTTAGTAATTCTCACAATGTTTCAAAATGATTAGTTGTTACTATACCTGTTTTGGTGATCTGTAATCAGTGATCTTTGACATCCTGATTGTAATTGTTTTGGGGAGCCACAGACTATGCCCATAGATGGCAAACTAATTTGATAAATTCTGTGTGTGTTTGGACTGGTCATTTGGCTAACCATTTCCCACTTTCTCTTCTCCGCAGGCCTCCCTATTCCCTGAGACAAAACAGTATTAAAATTAGGCCAATTAATAACACTGCAAGGGCTTCTAAGTATCCAAGTGAAGGAAAGAATCTGATGTTTCTCACTTTAAATCAAAAGCTAGAAATTATTTTAAGTTTAGCAAAGGAGGCATATGTTAAAGGTTGAGATAGACTGAAAGCTAGGACACTTGATCAAATAGTTAGCCAAGTTGCGAGAGCAAAGAAAAGTTCTTGAAGGAAATTTAACATCACCATTTCAGTGAACAAATGAATAAAAAAGCAAAACAGCTTTATTGCTATGATGGAGGAAGTTTGAGTGGTCTGGAAAGATCAAAACGCCCCAAGTTTCCCTTAAGCCAAAGTCTGATCCAGAGCTAGTCCCCGCTCTCTTCAATTCTATAAAAGCTGAGAGAGGAAAGGATGTTGCAGAAGAAAAATTGGAAGCTAGCAGAGGTTAGTTTATGAGGTTCAAGTAAAGAAGCCACCCCCATAACACAAAAGTGCAAAGTAAAGCAGCCAAGTGCTGATATAGGAGCTGCAACAAGTTATCCAGAAAATCTAGCTAAGATCATTAATGAAGGTGGCTACAGGAAACAACAGATTTTCAATGTAGCAAGACAGTTTTATATTGGAAGAAGGTGGCACTTAAGACTTTTATAGCTAAAGAGGAGAAGTCAATGCTTGACTTCAAAGCTTCAAAGGACAGGCTACTCCCTTGCTGGGGGTTAATATAGCTGGTAACTTTAAAGTGAAGCCAATGCTCATCTATTCTGAAAAGGCTAGAGCCTTTAAGAATTATGCTAAATACACTTTGACTGTGTTTTATAAATGGAACAACAATGCCTGTATGAGAGTGCATCTGTTTACACTATGGTTTAATGAATATTTAAAACCCATTATGGACACCTACTGCTCAGAAAAAAAAAGGTTCCTTCCAAAATTTTACTGCTAATTGACAATGCACTTAGCCATCCAAGAGCTCTGATAGAGACGTACAAGAGTTATAGATTAATTTGTTTTCATGCCTACTGATACAATATCCATTCTACAGCCCATGGATTGCAAAGTACTTTCTACTTTCAAGTCTAATTATTTAAGAAGAAAGTTTAATTTTGTAGGGCTATATCTGCCATACATAGTGATTCCTCTGATGGATTTGAGCAAAGTAAGCTGAAAACTTACTGGAATTTATTCCTTCTCCCTAAGTGAGTAAGTTCGTACCCATTAACCAACCTCTCTCTAGCCGCTCTTCCCCCATACACCCTTCCCAGCCTCTGGTAACTATCGTTCAATTCTCTACATAAGATCAACTTTTTAAATTCCCATGTATGAATGAGAACATGTGATATATGTATGTGACTAGTTTATTCCACTTAGCATAATGACCTCTACTTCCATCCATGTTCCTGTAAATGACAGAATTTCATTTGTATGACTGAATCCTATTCCATTGTGTATGTATATCACATTTTATTTATCCATTAATTCATTGATGGGCACTTTGGGTGATTCCATATCTTAGTGATTGTAAATGGTACTGCAAGAAACATGGGGATGCAGTTATCTCTTTTATGTACTGATTTCCTTTTCTTTGAATAAATATCCAGTAGTGGCATTTCTGAATCATATGGTAGTTTTATTTTTAATTTTTTTGAGAGAACTAAAAATACTGTTTTTCATAATGGCGATACTAATTTATATTGCCACCAACAGTGTATAAAAGTTCCCCTTTCTCTACATCCTTTTCAGTTTTTCTTCTTTGTAGTCTTCTCTGGTTATAGCGATTCCAAGTGGTATAAGATAATATTTCATCATGAATTTTGATTTGCATTTCCCCAATGATTAGTGGTGTTGAATTTTTCAATATAATTGTCAGACATTTTTATGTCTTCTTTTAAGGAATGTCAGTTCAGGTCCTTGCTCACTTTTTAAAGAGATTATTTGATTTTTCTTTTGCTGATGACTTGAGTTTCTAGCATATTATGGATTTTAGTCCCTTGTCAATGAATAGTTTGCAAATATTTTCTTCCATTCTATAGGTTATCTCTTCACTCTTAAAGACTTTCCTTTGCCATACAGAAGATTTTTAGTTTAATATAGTCCCATTTGTCTATTTTTGTTTTTGTTGACTGCGCCTTTAAAAGCCTTAGCCATAAAATGTTGCCTAAGCCAATGTGCAGAAGCATTTCCTCTGTTTTCTTCTAATAATGTCATAATCATAGTTCAGTGTCTTATGTTTATGTTTTTAATCATTTTGATTTAATTTTTTTCTATATGATGAGAGATATACATCTAGTTTCAATCTTCTGCATATGGATATCCAGTTTCCTGGAACCATTTATTTTAGAGGTTGCAATTTCTCCAATGTATGTCCTTGGTACCTCTGTTAAAAATCATCTGGCTGTAAATATATTGATTTATTTTTGTGTTCTCCATTCTGTTCCATGGGTCCATTGTATCTGTTTTCATGCCCACACAATGCTGTTTTGGTTACTCTAGCTCTGTTGTGTATTTGGAAGTCAGGTAGAGTTTTGCCTCCAATTTTGCTCTTTTTGCTCAGTATTGCTGTGGTTATTCTAGGTCCTTTATGGTTCCAAATAAATGTTAGTATTGTTTTTCCTTTTCCTGTGAAAAATATCATTAGTGTTTTGATAGGGATTTCATTGAATCTGTAGATTGCTTTGGTTAGTATGGTCATTTAAAAATAGTAATTGTTCTAATTCATGAGCATGTTGTTAGTTTTCTGTCTCTTTTTGCTTGTCAGTGTTTTGTAGTTTTCTTTGTAAAAGTCTTTCACCTCTTTAGTTAAATTTAATCCTACATATTTTTTGGTAATTATTATCAATGTGATTGCTTTCTTGATTTCTTTTTCAGCTAGTTTTATTATTGGTGTACAGAAATGCTACTGATTTTTTATGTTGATTTTGTATTCTGCAAGTGCACTGAATTTATTTATAAGTCTCAAGAGTTTTTTATTGGATAATTTAGGTTTTTCTATATATAAGATCATATCATCTGCAAAGGAAGACAATTTCACTTCCTTGTTTCCAATTTGGAAGCCTTTTATTTATTTCTCTTGTTGGATTACTCTGGCTAGGACTTCCTGTAGTATGTTAAATAAGAGTGGTAAAAGTGGACAAACTTGTATTGTCCCATTTCTTAGAAGAAAAACTTTCAGCTTTCTACATTTAGTGTGAGGTTAGCTGTGTCATATATGGCATTTATTATGTTATGTTCCCTGTATGCCTAAATTGTTGAGAGCTTTTATTAAGGCATGCTTAATTATATCAAGTAATATATTTTTTCTGTGTCTTTTGAGATGGTCATATCATTTTTGTGCTTTATTCTGTTAATGTGAAGTATCATAGTTTTTGATTTGTGTATGTTAAACCATCCTTAATATGCTGGAATAAATCTTGCTTGATCATAGAGTATTATCTTTTTGATGCATGGTTAGATTTGTGTGGCTGGTATTTTGTTGAGGATTTTTGCATCTATATTCATCAAGGTTATTGGCTGGTAGTCTCTCTCTCTCTATCTCTCTCTCTCTCTCTCTCTCTCTCTCTGTGTGTGTGTGTGTGTGTGTGTGTGTGTGTGTGTGAGTGTGTATGTTCTTGTCTGGATTTGGTACCAGGGTAATGCTGTCCTCATGGAATGAGTTAGAAACAAGCTCTTCCTCTTTAATTTTGGCATAGTTTAAGAATTGGTGTGAGTTTTTCTTTAAAAGTTTGGTAGAATTCAGTAGTAAAGCCACCCAGTCCTGGGCTTTTCTTTTTGGGGAGACTATTTTTTACTGATTCAACCTCTTTACTCATTTTTGGTCTGTTTATGTTTCCTGTTTCTTCCTGGTTCCATCTTGATAGACTGTGTGTGGCCAGGGATTTATTCATTTCCTGTAGGCTTTCTAATTTGTTAACATATACTTCTTTCTAATAGACTCTACTGGCTTGTATTTCTGCAGTCTCAGTTGTAATGTCTTTTTACCTCTGATTTTATTTACTTGGGTCTTCTCCCTTTTTTTTCTTAGTCTGGCTGTCAATTTGTCGATTTTATTTGTGTTCTTATAACCCAAATTTTCTTTGTTACAGGAAAGGGGTCCCGATCCAGACCCCAAGAGAGGGTTCCTGGATCTCACACAAGAATTAAGGGCAAGTCCACAGTGCAAAGTAAGAGAAAGTTTATTGAGAGTAAAGTAATGAAAGAACAGCTACCCCACAGACATAGCAGGATGTCCCCAAAAGTAAGAGGAGGAATATGGCTACCCTAGGTACAATGCTTGTGTATGTGTGTGTATATATGTATATGATAGTAAAAGATCTTGAGGAGATGTGGTCTGCCACAGCATTTGGGATAAAGGATTAATTTTCGTAATTACTATATTTTACAAGAATCAATATTATTACCTTTAAAGCAAAATTAAGGATGCCTTTGTTCTCCAGATATCTGGATATCCGGACACTCCCAAGTCTGGGTCTGTTTAGTAAATATTATTAACTTGTTCCCTCAGCCATAAACATCTAGAGGCTAGGAATGCCTAATTTTCTGGGAATGCAGTCTAGCAAGTCCCAGCCTCATTTTCCTAGCCCTCACTCAAAATGGAGTTGCTCTAGTTTCAATGCCTCTGACATGTCTTCCCCTCTCCCCCTGCGCCTCCAACCCCCGCCGCCCCATTTACAAAAGGACCCTTAATCCTAAGGGTTGCAGAGGGATGAAGATCCATCTTGTGTAACTTCCTCAGGCTGAATAGGGGCAATGATATTCCTGCCTATTAGGGTCTCTTTATTCAGGGTAGAGAGGAGCTCAGAGAACGTTGGTATGATGAAGATCGTTCATAACTCCACGTTCTAACAAAAAATGGTATCTGAAAGATTAATGTGTCCAATTTAAGAAAGTGTTGAGTGAGCTTATCTTGCATTCCTACACAAAGAGTACAACCACAATATATTCCATAACAGCAAAACAAAATCAGTAAAATCATTCCAAGTAAACTAAACAGGAAGGCTTTCCAAGAACTGGGCAGTTGTTGGAACCAAGCTGATATAGGGTCAACTCATAGTGCATTAATGGCAGAGAGATGAGTGTCTAAAGCTTTCATAGCCTGGGTAGTATGTGAATAGTCGGGAACATACACACAACATTTGGTTTTCATCAAAGCACGAGGTCCCCCTTCGGTCACAGTTAAAATGTCCACATACTCAACAGTTTGTCCGATTATGTAGACAGGCTAAAGTCTGTGCCCATTCAGTAAGTGAGTTACTCTCTGCATAAGTCCAACTAATACCCAAAAGTAGAATGCCAATCCATATGTTTATGTTACCCCTCCCTTTCATTTCTTCTGAACAGGAGTTCACTGAACAGGTCACTGATTGGCTCATAGGAATAAATGGGATCAGTCTCTTTTGTTCTGTCAGCCTGTGGGACTTCATAAGAGATAGATTTAATTTGAGATAAGTGGACCCAGCTGTTTATTCCCAGAAGTTTAACTGCAGTTGGGGTACTAAGTAGAACTTGATAGGGTCCCTTCCATTTTGGGGAAAGTTGAGCTGCTGGGGATCTTTCCTTCCAAGTTTTTAATAGGACCCAATCTCCCAGCTGGGTTGTAACAAGATTCTCTTCCTTAGTGGAAGAAGGGAGTCTTTGATTTCTGTATTCAAGGGGTGCGTTTTGTACTTGTCCTAAGTTGATCACATAATTCTGTAGCTTGAAAGTATCTATGTCTGTTAGGAGGTCTGTTGTTAAGAAAGGCCTTCCATACATTATTTCAAAAGGACGGAGCTGCAGATTTTCCTTAGGGGCCACTCGAACCCATAATAAGGCTACAGGTAATAAAGACAGCCAGGTCTCCAGGTCTCTTGGCATAGTTTAGCAAGAATCCTTTTTAGAGTTTCATTAGCTCTTTCTACTTTGCCTGAAGACTGTAGCCTCCAGGTGGAATTCCTAGGGCTGAAGATGTGTTTTGGGTAATTGTCACTGTGAAAGATGGCCATTATCTCTCTGTAAACTCTTAGGCAGGCCAAATCTAGGGATTATTTCCTTTAGTAGTAGTTTAGAAACCTCAATTGCCTTTTCCGACAGGGTAGGAAAAGCCTCAATCCAATCGATAAAGGTGTCAACGAATATTAGTAAATATTTAAACCCTTTACATGGGAGCACCTAAGTATAATCTATTTGCCAATCTTCACCAGGCTATGTTCCCCCATGCTGAACTGGCCTTACTAGAGGAGGAGGTAAAGATTGGTTATTTGGGTTATTCCGAGCATATATTACAGGCCCAAATAACCTGCTTTACTCTTTTAAGTAAGCCTTTTCCTATAAAAAGCTAAGACATTAATTGAAACAGGGAATCTCTTCCTAAATGAATAGAGTCATGCAAATGCTTAACTATTTTCCATTGATTAGCACCTGGTATCAAGAGTTCATCAGGAGTGTCTAGCAGCAAAGCCTGACATTTCAATAAGCATCCCCCTGTCATCCACTGTTGTCCTTTAGCTTCTAGAACTCCTTGTACTTGGTGTGGGGTCAAAACCTCCAAATGTTGTCCTAAAGCCAGTTTATTGGCTTCATCTACTAAAAGAGCAGTTGCTACCACTGCCCTGAGGCATCCAGGCATGGTAAGAAAGGTGTGTGAGAAAACCAAAGTCCCTGAAGGACAGCTTAGAGGATAGGGAAAATGGTGTCTATGCACTTGTCCATCGTTCCCAGTGACCATACAGTTTTGGGGTGACAGAGGCCCATTATAGTGGGTCAAAACAGAGTAAGCAGTCCAGAAGGAAGTTAATATTCTTACCTAGCACGTCAAGGGTTACCTGAGGCTCCTCTGGAGATATGGCTAGTTGTCCAGTGGGAGCAGTGGCGGAAGATCACAGGCCCCATCACTTTTGTGCTTGCCTGGCTATTTCATTCATCATTGGCTTGGGTGCTGATGGCTTCCTTTGGAACGCTGGGCAATCCCTTTTCCAATGGCCAGTTTTCTTACGGTGTGCAAACTGATTTATGCCCAAGGCATGGTGACTCAGATGCCCAGCTTTTCAGCCTCCTTTGTTCAGGCCAACAGCCAGGAGGGCAACCCCATGTGGGAGGTGAGCTTAAGGCTGCAACCAAGAGCTGCACCTTGTGGGAGGTCCTTCTTGCTCTTTCTGCTTCCTCTGCTTTGTCTCTGTTATTAAAAAATAAAAATGCCAAATCCAAAAGTTGTTCCATAGGAGTTTGAGGGCCCATAGCTCTTTTTTGTGGTTTCTTGCGGATATCGGGGCAGACTGGGTTATAAAATATACTCCCAAAAGGGATTGTTTTTCCCTCAAGGCAGGATCAGTGTTAGTACATTTTGTGATTGCCTCGACTAAACGCCCTTGAAACAAAGCTAGATCTCATCTTTGCCCTGAGCAACTTCCTTAACCTTTTCGTAGTTAGCTGTCTTTTTCAAACATTTCTTTGTACCTTCCAACAAACAAGTGACCATATGATCTTTCCTCCCAAAGTTCTCACTGCTCCTTTGATAGTTCCACTGTGGATCTTGATCTGAAACTGCTATACCTCCTGCCTGATATATATTATGGTTCGGGTTACAAGCCAATGCCTCATCTGCATGGGTTCTTGCTGTCCTCAAAATGCATTGTTTCTCTTCTACTGTACAACACAGAGACAACAAACCTGCCAAGTTAAACTATAGGTCAGAGTTAATTTCTCAAACTCATCCATGAATTTTCCTGGATCTTCAGAGAAATGACCAGATTTCTCTTTACATACAGCCAAATCAGATATAGAAAAGGGAACATGTACTCTTACAATGCCTTCTTTCCCACTTGCCAAAGGGACAAAGATTTCCCTTTGGAGATTGATAGGAGACTCCACTATGAGCACTACTCACTGGATTAAGTTCCTCAGGGAGTGGAGGGTATAGAGTGAGACTAGACAGGTAAGGAGGAGGGGACAGAGGGTTCTCAATAGAACTTTCAGGTGGATTCCAGGGAGAAAGGACTGACCCATCTGAACCTTCAGAGCTTACAGAAGGAGGTTCTGCTCCACCCAAAAATGCCCGCTGAACCTGGGGCGGAAGAGGGGTTGCTTTAAAGGATCATCTACTATGTCTAGCTCTTTTTCCTCTCATGAAACATGCACACACCTGCTTCCGGGTTTTATTTCGACTAAGCAGCAAAACTGCTTGAACATATGGTATTTCATCCCATTTTCCCTCCCGCTTACAAAACAAATCGAATTGAATTATAGCATTAAAGGTCATAGTTCCAGTAGGAGGCCTTTTCTCTTGTTTTTCCACATAATATCAAGGCCAAACCATATTACACAGAAACACCAGTTTTCTCTTCTTAAACCCATTCAGTTTAAGTTGGTCCCAATTTTCAAGAATACATACATCCTAGTGGTGAGTTCTTTGGAAATGATGCCATGGTTCCCGTGAAGGAGGCAGGTGATGTTGAAAGAAAAGTTCCAAACCTGCAAGATTGTATTACCACTGGCTGAGTTCCACTAAAAAGGATAAGAGGGGTTTTTAAGTCCAGCTGCATTAATAAGGGGATCCCTGCTAAAGATTGAATTATCTTCTTCACATTTTCCAAATAATATAAGTGAGCTGAGCCATGAATCTTAGATAAACCACAACATGGACTTCAACAAAAATGTTGAATAAGGCAAAAGAAATGAAGAGGATTTAGATGGGAATGACCAGAGCAAGTAGGATCTGGGTAATAGCAAACAAGCAAAGCAAGTAGGATCTGGGCAATAGCAAACAAGCAAAGCTGGTTTGCCCAGATCCAAAAAGTGTGTGTGTGTCTGTGTGTGTGTCTGTGTGTGTGTGTGTGTGTGTGTGTGTATAAAATGAAACGAAACAGCAAGAAGTAAAGTCCCCTGATTTCCATCCTAGTGCTTCTCAATCACACCTAGTTTGCATAGTGGCAACAAAACATAACCACGTCTATTTAACCTTATTGCTTATAGCTGTTAAATACCAAATCCCAATCAGCACTTTTAGAGATGGTGTGTTCAATGCTTTTTGTTCCCAATGTTTCACAAGCAAATGGATGGAAATTGGGAGGCACACAGGAGATGAATAAGTTAAAATTCCCAAGATCATTTAAATGAAGTCTCCAGAAAATGAAGTGAAACAGAGACAGCAACCAAGAAATTGATTCATGCAGCAAAGAGGACAAGGCTGATTAGTACAAAGAGCATACCCTGTGGTGCCAAACCCATTCTTAGCCTAGAAGGAAATTACTAAGAGGGGTCTCTAACCCCCTAAATCTTAAAAGGGACTCTAACCCTCTAACCCAAGTTTAATTTCAAGAGCCTTTAACCCTCTCTGTCTTAGGAGAGACGCTAACTCCTCCAAGTTGGGCCGCTAAGCCAATCCCATTCTTTACCCAGGTATAGGCACCACACTAACCCAAAGTCGCCAGTTGGTGCACACAGATGATTTTCCTTTGGATTGGGTTGGGGGTCTCTTCAGTATCGGCCCTTTTGTGGTTCACCAGAAATGTTACAGGACCCCAACACTTACCCAAAAGTGGCCGTTGGGTCAGAGTTTCTGCACTATAGTCCCTTCTGTGGTCATCAGAAATATGTTACAAGACCCCAAAACTTGATCCTTTCAATGCTATTTTTCTCCCTTCCTTCCTTCCTTCCTTCTTTTCTTCCTGCCTTCCTTTCTCTCTTTTTCTTTCTCTTTCTCTTTCTTTCTCTTTCACTGTCTCTCTCTTTCTCTCGCTCTTTCTTTTTCTTTTTCTTTTAGATCTGCTCTAATCTTTATTATTTTTTTCCTGTGCTAATTTTGGGTTTGGTTTGTTCTGATTATTCTAGTTCCTGGAGGTATGTTGTTAAGTTTTTTATTTGAAATCTGCCTACCTTTTTAATGATAGGTATTTATTGTTGTAAACATCCTTCTTAGCACTGCTTTTGCTATATTGCATGGGTTTTGGTTAGATGTGTTTTCATTTCCATTTGTCTTAAAATTTTCTTAAATTTCATTCTTAGTTTATTAACTCAATGATAATTCAGTAGCATTTTTTTATTTTCATGTACTTGTACATTTCCAGAGTTTCTCTTGTTACCAATCTCTAGTTTTATTCCATTGTCATTTGCTACGAATTCATTAAAAAGAAAAAAAAAACTAGTAGAAATTTATTTTGTTCTCTAACATATGGGTATCCTGGAGAATGTTTTATGTGCTGATGAGATGAACATGTATTCTACGGCTATCACATATTATGTTTGTAAATTCCTGTTAGGTTTATTTGGTCTAATCTGCAGTACAAATTGAAAGTTTCTTTGTTGATCTCTGTCTAGATAATCTGTCCAATGCTGAGAGCGAGGTGTTGAAATCTCCACTTATTACTGTACTGAAGTCTACCTCTCACTTTATATCTAATAATATTTGCTTTATACATCTGGGTATTTCAGTGTTGAGTAAATATATATTTAAAATTGTTATAGCCTCTTCCTGTATTGATCTGTTTATTATTATACAATTATTTATTTGTCTTTTAATACAGTTCTAAAAAAAGTTCTCAACATCTTTTTCTGATATAAGGACAGCTATTCCTGCCACCTTTTTGCTTCTGTTTATGTGGAATATCTTTTCTCATCCCTTCCCTTTATGTCTATATGTGCTATACAGGCGATGTGAATTTCTTGTAGGAAGCATATAGTTGGATCATAATTGTGTGTGTGTGTGTTTGAGATGGAGTCTTGCTCTGTTGTCCAGGCTGGAGTGCAGTGGCATGATCTTGGCTCACTGCAATCTCTGCCTCCCTGGTTCAAGTGATCCTCCTGCCTCAGCTTCCCAAGTAGCTGGATTACAGATGTGTGCCACCATGACCAGCTAATGTTTTTGTATTTTTAGTAGAGACAGGGTTTCACTGTGTTGCCCAGGCTGCTCTTGAGCTCCTGACCTCAGGTGATCCACCTGCCTCAGCCTCCCAAAGTGCTGTGATTACAGGCGTGCGCCACTGTGCCCAGCTGTCTGTGTCTTTTAAATAGAGAATTTAAATAATTTACATTCAAGGTTATTATTGATAGGTGAGAATTCATTCCTGCCTTGTTAATTGGTTTCTTGTTGTTTTGTATATCTTTCATTCTTTTCTCCCTCTTTTATTATGTTTTCATCTTGGTAAATATAATCCTTTTGCTTTCATGTGGACTCCCCTATGCATTTCTTGTAGAGCCAGTTAAGTGGTGATAAATTCCCTCAGTTTTTGCTTATCTGAAAAATCCTCTATTTTTTATTTATGAATGATAGCTTTGCTGGGTATATTATCCTTGGCTGGCAGGTTTTTTTTTTCAGCACTTTGAATATATTATCCCATTCTCTTATGGCCTGTAAGTTTTCCACTGAGAAATCTACTGTTTTTCTGATGGGCATTTCATTATATGTGACTTCACATATGGTGATGGCAAGAGGCGTGTCCTCAGACTCCCCAGTTGTGTACATGAACACCAGTGGCAGCAAGTTGATATGCAAGCTCTCAGAAAACTTGTGTGGGCAGTAGCAGGGACAGTGCTGGCCCCTGCAGTCCTATCCTTATGCCCCCTGATAGTGCATGTGAGCACAGGCTGTTGTGGGCACAGCAGATTGATTTTCAGGCTCCCAGATGGTGTGCTGGGGCACTATGGTGGTGAGGTATGTGGGGCAAGGCTGTACTTAGAATGCCAAATGTTGTGCATTGGGACTTAAGTTGGCAGATGGAGCAGATCAATCTCCAGATGGTGTACATGGGCACTGGCAATGAGTATTGTTGTCTGTTTTCTGGCCTGTGGAGGGTGGACATGTATGCTGGTGAGGTGGATCGGGTCAATTCCCCTTCCCCTGAATGGTGTGCATGGGTGCTTGTGGCAGCAGGCAATCCGGCCTGTTCTGAGGCCTCTCAATGGTATGTGCAAGCACAGGCAGGTTATGACATGTAGGGCAGATAAATCCCCACATCCCTGAATAACATGTATGGGCACCAGTGGTGGGTGGGGTGAACCTGGTGTCAGGCCTCCTGGTAGTGTGTATGGGTACCACAGCAGCAGGCTAGGGAGTTGATTCCTAGTCCCCTGGATGGTGCATGTGGAAACAGGCAGTTGTGGTGGTGGTGGCAATCTGGGTAAGCCTGTCTTCAGGCCCCTGAAGGCAAGTGTTTGCACTGGCAGTGGTGGCTGGGGAGGTCAATCCCCAGGCCCTTAGAAAATGCGAACAGGTGCTGTTAGGCTAGTTGGGCCCATCCTCAGGCACGTGGATGGCATGTGCAGGTTATGACACCACTGGACAAAGTAGGTTTGTCCTTAGGGCCCTGGATGACATACTTGGATGGTAGCAGCGACAGTGGTGGGTAGTACTGGAATTTCTCAGGCCCTAGATCAGCACCCATGAAGAGTGGTCCTCAACACACCTGAAGGCATGTCCATGTGTATGACGACCCTGCTGTGGGAGACAAAGGTAAACACCTCGTAGGCTCTGGGGAGCACACACTTCGGCTGCCTTTTTTTTTTTTTTTTTTTGAAGTGCAACCTTCCCGGTGTGCTTTACTGCCCTTCCACATGGTATAGCCTGGACATGGGTTGTGCTGCAGTGCTGAGGACCTGAACACACAGTTGGGTCCAGCCAGTGTTGTGACACTGCAGCCTTCTGGGTGGACATAATAGGATATCAGTAGGACTTGAGGAGTGTGGAGATGTAGGAGCTGTTGGGCTTTCAGGGAAGGATGTAGTATGGTGAGGACTGGGCTCTCAAAATTGTTCTATGCTATGGCTGCTTAAATTTTGTGATATGCCTAGGACCCAGTGTGAACCTATTTTGTAGAAAAATGCCATTGTGTGGACTCCAGGTAGCTTCCTTTACTACTCTCAAAGCCCCTGGGGGCTGAGAGCTCTCCTGTAGCTAGGATTGCATGAGTGGGGATGGGGATGTGAACAGCTGTAGTTTTCTCATTGGTGTTTTCCCCACAGTGGGGAGTTTCTCCTGGCTTTTAGCCAATCCTGATGAGGCCACCTGCTTTGCTTTCTTCTCCTTCCCTTACTGAGTGGTTGCCTGTCACTTCCTTGATCAATTCTGTTGTTCTCTCTTAGATGCTTTAGTTGACATATGCTTATCTACTCATTGTTTTTAGCTTTCTTTGTACAAAAGGTGACTGACAGGTCCTTCTAGTCAGCCATTTTCAAGGCCCCTCCTGATTATTTTTCTTGTGGTTGTCTTAAGGCTCACATAAAATATTTTGTGGTTACAATCTTTTATTTTAATCTGATGACAATTTAAGCTCATATACAAAAACACTAACTATACTTTTAATCCCACCAACACAATTTGTATTTTTGTACTGTTTTTTTCAATATATACTGTGTGTCCATTAACACTTTTTATCTTTAAAATTCTATGTTTGTAATTAATTTACACACCACCATTACGGTATTACATGAATCTGTATGTGTCTATATATTTACCTTTACCAGTGACATTTATGCTTATATATGCTTTCACATTTCTGTTTATCATGTTTTTATTTCAATTTTAAGAACTCCCTCAGCCTTTTTTGTAAGGTGGGCTTAGTGGTGACATACTTTGTCAGTTTTTGTTTATGTGAGAAATACTTTTTTCATCTTAATTTTTTAAGTTTTGATTTCACAGCCAAAACAGCAGAAAAGATTATCTATTTTATACCTGTCATACTAAGCCACAACTGAAAACATAAGTAATTCAGAGTGTCACAGGTCTAGGACAAAAGACCAAAGGGGACTCTTTTGGTGTGATCAGGGTGGGTCTCTCAGTGGTGGACCTCGTGATCAGAGGGTCATGGAAGTTCTAAATTCTTTGAGAGGAAAATTTGAAACAGTAGCAAACACTTCAGTAATTTGCATCTATATCCTTACATCCTTAGTCTCTACCATTTCATATTTCTGCTCTTGTGACCTTTACAAGTACACAAGCTAGTGGTTTAATTGGACCTCTGACACATCATCTTTTTTTGCACTTCACCCTGCACTTCCTTTTCCACTCCCAAGCTCACCAATAGGGATCACTCACCTTGGCTTTCGTGGCACTATGGTTTCTATGAGGATGGTGCTAAGGCTGAAAGCTCTTCTTCATTAATGAAGTATACTTTTTCTGGGCACAGAACTCTTATATAGCTTTATTTTCTTTCAGAATTTTTAATATATCACCTTATGCTCTCCTTGCCTGCCAAGATTTTGCTGAGACATTCACTGACATTTTTATGGAGGTTCCCTCATGTGTGATAAGTTATTTTCTCTGTTATCAAAATTCTCTTTCTCGTAGATATTCAGCAAATTTATTATAATGTGTTTCTCTATGTTCTTATTTGGATTGATCCTCTGAGGTTTTGTACCTTCATGACTGTGAATGTTACTTTTTCTCCATGAATTGGGAATTTTCAGTTATTACATTACATAATCTCTCTGCCCCTCTTCTCTCTATCTTTTCTTTCTGAAACTCCTATAATGTATATAATAGTTCACTTGATAGTATTTCATAAATATCACAGGCTTTATTTTTACTCTTTTTCACTTTTTCCTCTTATGAGCGAATCATTTTTAAAAATCTGTGTTTAAATTTGCAGATTTTTTGCTCTATTATTCAAGTCTGCTATTGAATGTCTCTGTTGCATTTTTCAATTCATACATTGTACTCTTCAGCTACAGAATTTGTTACTTTCTTTTTTATAATTTTTATCTTTTTAAAACTTCTGGTGCTATGCTGCAGCTGTTTCATTTATGTTGTTTTCCTGAACTCATCGAGTTGTTTTCTGTGCTCTCTTCTAGTTTGCTGAGCATCCTTAAAGCAATTATTTTGAATTATTTGTTAGACAATTCATAGGTCTTAATTTCTTTGAGGTCATTTACTGGAAAATTATTGTGTTTCTTTGGCGGTATTATGTTTTCTCAATTTATGTGTTTCTTGTAGACTTGTGCTGATATCTGTGCATTTTAGAGAGCAGTCACATTTTCCATACTCTACAAAAGGGTTTTGATGGGGAAAGATCTTCACATATGGGTGGCCATGAGGGTGCTGGCTGGGTTGGGGTATCAGAGTTAGTTCCATCTCTGGGAAAGGCACAGTGGGATAATCTATTTGCAGCTCTTTCACTTGAAGTCAGCCTTGGTGAAGACCATGGGAGTCCTCAGCAACCAAGACTGTGGGTCTCCACAGCAGCAGCAAGGACTGTTGAAGTCTTTATTGAGAAAGTCGTCTGGGGGTACTCCCATTCTCTTTTTCCACCACAGAAGGGAGTCATGGCAGAGGGGGTTCCTGTTGCTGCTGCCTCTGGGGTGAAGGCATGTTCACAGTGGTAGTGGTTCTGATGTCTGATGCCCAGGCATATGGGAAATGATCATTGCTCTGGGGTTTGAGGCATGGACAAACCATGCTCCCACCACATGTGTCAACCATGGTTCTGTGGTCCAATGTGAGGAGCACCTGTTACAGCAGCTATGGCACTAATGTCCAAAGTGCAGAAGTGTGGGGTAGCTGTGAAGACAGAGTCTGAATCGTAGGCACACACTAAGTGACTATGATTCTGAGGTTCAGTGTGTGCACATGGTTGTGGGTGGTGGTGGGTCTGACCCCAGAGTGGTACAGCAGATACTGTTTCTCTGGAAGCTACAGTAGCAGCTCTTTGTCTGGTGTGGGGGACATGCAATGGTGTATACTCCAGAAAATTCTATCAACTGGGATCAGCATCAGCAGAGACTACAAGTATCCTTGCTTGAAAAAGTTGAGGATTTCTGTGGTATCGGTGAGGGCTACTGAGGTCCTTTGATTGTCCTTTTTTTTCTTGGCGGGGGAAAATTTTGCCAAGGAGATCCCTCTTGAGGCAAAGTTATGCCAGAGTAGGGGATGAGGCAAGACACTTCTATGCTTTTCTATGCAGTCATCCTCAGCTTTTGCTCATCTGGATAGCTGCAGGTTCTTTACCAAACTCTTGAGCTTTCCAAGAGTTATTTTTCATGGTATTTAGTTTTTCTTAGTTTTATCTGTGTGTATAAAGGAGGAATGGGATGAGCATTGAAACCTTCTAGTCCTCCAACTTGATATGATTCCTCTGTTGTTTCCATAGCCTGAATATTGTAATTAATGCTGCAATAAGAGAATGCAGATCCTAAGTTTATTCCCTTTGGATATATATTAAGAAATGGGATTGCCAGATCAAATGATAATTCTATCCTTAACTTTTGTGGAACCTCTATATTGTTGGTCCTAGAGCTTGCATCATTTTACATTTTCACCCAAAAATGTACAAGAGTTCTCAGTTTTCCACAATTCTGTCCACATTCATAGTCACTTTTTTAAAATAGCCATTCTTACAGGTGTGAGGTGATATATGCATTTCCCTGATGATTAGTGATTTCAAAGACCTTTTCATATATCTGTTTGCCATCTATGTCTTCTTTTGAGTGAATTTTATTTAGGTCCCTTTTCAATTTTTTCATCAAATAATAATAATGATAGTGATATACTTATTAACTATATAATAATTATATTATTAGTTATATAATAATTATACAATATTATTATATAATAATTATAAAATTATACATATAATTGTATAATTATATGTAAAATACATACAATATGTTATATTATATTACTATAATAATATTATTATTATATTGCTATTGACTTACTTAACATATATTGGATATTTACCCCTTATCAGATGTATGGTTTGCAAATGTTTTCTTTCATTCTGTAGGTTGCCTTTTTATTTTCTTGTTTCTTTTGCTGCACAAAAGCTTTTTAGTTTGACACAGTCCTGTTTGTCTGTTTTTGCTTTTGTTGCTTGTGTTTTTGGTGTCATATCTAAGAAATCATTGCCCAGTTCACGTCAACAACCTTTTACTCTGTTTTCTCTTAAGAGTTTTGTTGATTCAGCTGTTATGTTTGATTCTTTATTATATTTTCAGTTGGTTTTTGTATATAGTATGAATAAGGATCCAATTTTACTCCTCTGTATGTGGCTATCCAATTTTCTCAAAACCATTTATTAAAGAAAATATTCTTTCCCCATTGTATATTCTTGTCACTCTTGTCAAAAATCAGTTAACCATGCATACATGTATTTATTTATGGGCTCTGTATTATGTTCCATTGGTCTACATTATTCTTTTTATGACAGTACCATGATGTTTTGATTACTGGGATTTGTAACATATTTTGAAATTAAGGAGCATGACATTTCCTGCTTTGTTTTTGTTGCTCAACATTGCTTTGGCTATTTGGAATCTTCTGTGGTTCTATATGAATTTTAAGATTTCTTTTTCTGTGTGAAAATAAATGCCATGGAAATTTTGGTAGCCATTACATGGAATATATATAAATTGCTTTGAAAGTAATGGGCATTTTAATGGTATTCTTCAAATCCATGAACATGAGATGCCCTTTCAGTTATCTTTGTCTTTTAACATTTCTTTTGTCAATATGTAGTGTGAAATACAGAAGTCTTTCTCTTCTTTGGTTGTATTTATTCCTCAATATTTTATTATTTTTGAAAGTGTTCCAAATAGATAAAAAGAGAGAACATTTCCATACTTATTTCCTGAGGCCGGTATCACCCTGATAGCAAAGCCAGACAAAAACATTACCATAAAAGATAGTTAAAGGCCAATATTCATTATGAAAATAGACTAAAAAATGTAACAAATTACTAGCAAACTGAACATAACAGCACATTAAAAGACTAATGCACTATGATCAAGTAGGATTTACTCCTAGCATGTGGGGATAGTTTAACCTATACAAATCAATCAACATGATACACCACATTAACTGAATGAAAGACACAAATCACATGATTATCTCAATAGATGTAGAAAAGGCATTGACAAAATCAATACCCTTTTATAATAAAAAACCTGAACAAATTAGGTATAGAAGGAAAATATTTAACATAATAATGGCCTTTTATATCAAGCCTATAGCTAACATTGTACTTAATGATAAAAAGTCAAAAGCTTTTTGAGAACAAGACAAGGATGCCCATTCCTGCCTCTCTTATACAACGCAGAACTTAAAGTCCTAGCTGGAGACATTAGGCAAGAAAAAGAAATAAAAGGAATCCAAATAACAAAGAACGAAAGAAAATTATCTTTGTTTGGCAATGTCGTGATTTTTGATGTAGAAAATTAGACCTCACCAAAAAAAACCGATTAGAACTAATAAATTCAGTGAAATCACATGGTACGAAATCAACATAGAGAAATCAGTTGCGTTTTTATACATTAAAAATGACCTATCCAAAAAGGAAATTAAGAAAACAATTCCATTTGTGATAGCATGCTCACTTTCCTTGAGCCTGCTCCCACAGTTGGCCATAGTAGGTTGCATAATGTTTTTCCCAAGTTTTCAAACAGCATGTTAGAACCATATCCAATAATCCATTCCTGTGTGTTAAACCTGTGTCATTGAAGATTGCTCAGTTATCCAGCTTTATATTCTGCACACAATTTTGAAAAGTATAGATTCCTAGTTTCATTGGTATACAGTTGTCAGGTTTTATAGCTTCATTGGCTTATATTTTATTTCTTAGGGGCCTAACACTTATTCAGTCTGGGTGTGATATTTGACACTGTTTGCAGTTAAAGGTCTAGTGACCAAAAGGGAAAGTGATGGCATATCCTGGGGAAGGTGAACATTTACTGATAAGGTATTTATTTCATTTGGAATCTATGAATATTCTCCCACCAAGAGAGTTGGAATCTCTCTTCTTAAAAATAGGGTTCAGGATACTTTTGCCTGCCAAGAGAGTCTCATAGAATCAAGAGATATAACATTCTCAAGTGCATCAATCCAGATGCGATAAGCCTTCCCAAGTTTCAGGTTTCCATTTCTTCTCTATTAGGACCCTGGTTGTGGTATATGAAGTGATCCTTCTATGAATCTGCTACTCTAATAATTATAGGCTTAATCATCACCTGTTTCTCTTCTGCTCTGGAAGATAAAAGTCCCTTTAAATTGTGCCTCAGAGGTGGCATTTTTATCTAAGTCGTTGATTAGTAAACAATGAGCCAGTCATTTTCTCTCTGAAGTGAATCCATGGTGCTTATCAAAGTTACCAGTTCCATGGTTCTTATAGATGCTTTATCCCTTTTATCTCTCAAATGCTCTAGACCAGAATTTGACAAAATTTGGTTCATGGATCAGATTGGAACTGCTACCAGTATTCATAAATATTGTTTTATGGTAACAAAGCCACACCTATTTATGTATTGTCTGTAGCTTCTTTTGTACTGTAATGGCAGAGTTGAGTAGTTGAGACAGACCACATTACCCACATAGATTAGAATTTTACCATTTGGCCTTTTAGAGAAAAAGTTTGCCAACTCTTACTACAGACACTGCTTTAGCTAGTGTACCATTTTTCACTTTGAGTGATACAACTGTGTCACTTACCAACTTTTAATCATGAGCACGTTTTTAAATTTTTCTGAGCTTTAGTTTGCATATCCCTATGTAATCTGAAAATAAAAAGCTGGATGACATTTTTATGGACCTTCTTAGCACTGTGAAGCATGCAAAATAACTCAAATACAACACCTAGTAAAACAAAATGGAAAGGGAATTTGTACCTCTATTGCATTCTTTCAAAGATGCACTAAGGGGGATTTTATGCATGCTACAGAACAAAAACTTTTTTTCCTTTCTTTTAATCATTCCCAATAATGCACCCTTCATCTCCTCAAAACTCTTACCTATCATTTCTTTCTCCCATATTCACCTCATGGTAACTTCCAACAGTGACATCTTTTTCTTTTACTCACCCAATCAATGTTCCTCTTTTCTTCTAGCCTTCTCATTCTATTCTCTCTACCATAAGCAATGCTGTGTTTGTATGTTCTAATAATCAACCAAACCTTTTTCTTCAATTTTTTTAGTTCCATTATTTTACCAGTGAAGCAAGTTAAACAACTCAGATGGGAAGAAGGCTCTTAATACTTATATAAAAAGTGTTTTTCTGTCACTCATTTATTCCAGTAAAATCTGCTCATTCTTCCTGTCATGAACGTATTTAAATCCTAGCCAGAGTCCCTCTTCCTTTTTCTCCAGCTAACTTGATTCCTCCGAGATACCCTAGTTAGTACTTTTATTTCAGCCTGTGTGCATCCAGAGACAAAGTGTCTAGCAACATTTCAAGTACTAGAGAATTTGAAACTATTTTAAATTATTCTGAAAGAAGAAAAATAAATGATAGAATTCAATTCCTCAGGAGTCTGCAGTATAAGAAAGGCTGTGTGTCCACAGAGTCCTTTTTGTAATGCAGCCTAACCTCAATAAAATGGAAAGACATGTAAGATACCTCTGTTGACTGCTGACTTCCCAAAAAGGTGATGAAAATAGGCTTACAATCAAGAAAACTCGATTTTTTATTGCTTTTTTTGCTTACCATAACAAAGAAGATCACAATCTTAACAAAATCTTGCAGAGACTGATTGAAGAGGTCAAAAGCAGATAAAATATTTATAAGACTCTGTGGGTGTGGTTTTCAAGCAGATCATTCCATGAGGATGTCTGATTGAAATGAGAAAAAATTTGTGATACCAAAGTTTAGGATTAGGTGGCATACAAGGGGAGAGTTCAAAATATAAACAGTGATTTAATAAAATGAAATGAACAATTTATTATGAGAAGAACAATAATGGTCTGAGAGTTGAGCTGACTAGTCTTTTTTTCAGATAAATGGATATTTGGCATGTTTCTGGGTTTGCTTTTTAAAAAAAGCTAAGTTACTTAAAGCTTGATCTTACTGGATTTGTTAGACAAAATTGTAAAGACTCCCCCCTACATATTCAACCAATCATTAATCTAAGTACTTCTGTGAAGACGCTTTGCAAAAATAAAGTTAGAACATTAAAATAGTGAGAATAGATTACACATGCAGCCCTGATATAATTACATAAGCCCTTAAAAACAAATACATTTGTCCAATTAGAGTCAGACAGATGTGGTGGAATAAGAGAGAGAAAACAAAGCCAAAGAGGTGGTCAGAGAAACTTAAAGCCTGAGAAATACTTGACCTGCCATTGCTGGCTTTAAAATATGGAGGAATGAGCTTATAAACTATGGATTTTTAGCATTTTTTACAAGCTGAGGATAACCACAGTCCAAGAGACAGCAGGGAAACAACAGAGACCTCCATCTCACAGATCTGTGGTATTGGGTTTTTCCAATAATCTGGAAATGCCTTCTCTCCTACAGCTTCCGGAAAGAAATGCAACCCTCTAAATATTGTGATTTCAGCATTTTCAAGAGTAAATAAATAGGCTGGGCAGAGTGTCTCATGCCTGTAATCCTAGCAATTTGGGAGACCAAGGCGGGTGTTTCACGTGGGGTCAGGAGTTTGAGACCAGCCTGGCCAACATGAAAAACCTCGCCTCTGTTAAAAATACAAAAATTAGCTGGCCGTTGTGGCATGCATCTGTGATCCCAGCTGTTCAGGAGGCTGAGGTAGGAGAATTCACTTGAACCTGGGAGGCAGAGGTTACAGTGAGCCGAGATTGTGCCACTGCACTCCAGCTTATGTGACAGAGCAAGGCTCTGTCTCTAAATAAATAAATAAATAAATAAAACAGTTCAACCATAGTATACCTAGCCTTGTGACCCATAGAACTGTGAAATTATAAATATGTGTTGTTGTTAAGCTGCTAAATTTGTGATAATTCTTTATGGCAGCAATTGAAACAACATGGCTGGGTTGGGGGGAAGATCTCAAGTAGTAAACTCATGTTAATGCAGACTTCAGATTGTGAAATAATTAAGCCATGTTAATGTAAACATAGTTCAGAATCCTTTCACTGTTTGTCTGCAGGTGGTTTCATTTTAGCTCTCACCCCTAAACATCAAAATCTATCCCACATATTCTGAATTATACAAGGCAATAGGAAAGCCAATTCCATACTTACCAATGAAAACTAAATAAAGGTAGGGTCTTCAATCAACACTCTGAGAGTTCTCATAATTGGGTGTGAGGAATTCCCTTATTTCCATGCACAAGAACCTTACCTTGCTTGTCAAAAATCTAATTTCAAAAGATGAAGAATTAATCTGTATTTCTTCCCACTCCCCATACCCACCTTTATATCTTGTCTATGTATTGTTTAATCTTAGCTTCTTTTTAACACTTTTGTCCCTATATGTGTTTCCTAATACAGAAAATTCAGAAGGCTTTTGAGTTTGAAATGCCATTAAAGTTTTCCCTCAACTTTCGGCCTTAATTGCTACCATGCAGATCCGATTCAGAAGTAACTGAACCTCTGCTTTATTCACCACCATTTCCCATTGAATGGCCATCTTCGGGGGTTCCCCATATCTGAACACACATGCCGATTATTTTCCTGATGGCATATTGTTGCGAATTTGACATGTATTTACTCCAATAGCTAGCTATCGATCATGTTGTATATCTAATTTACAGCTGCCGGCATTTTTTTCACAGAACAAAGATATTCAGGAAGTTTTTAAGTGTGCCATATATATATATGTGTGTATATATATATATATGTATATATATATATATGCATGTATGTATATATGTATGTGTGTGTGAGATTTCAAAGACTGTCATTTAATTGTGCTTCCAAGATTGTCTACCTCTTGCTTTTTAGTAGACTTTTCAGTAGACTCTTTGAGTTTTCTTTCATCTCTGGTACAGCACCCTATAAGAATTGCTCCACTTTTGTAATGGAGCATATAGCTTCTACCAACAATTTCAAAGTTGCTTGCTTTTTGTCTTATTGAGGCATCAGAATATCCAGTAGGGATGATCTTTCCCAGTAAACAAGGCAAAATTCTTGAACAAATGCACTCCTGTCTTCCACGTTTTTTCCCTTTCTAGAAATTACCAAAAATTCTTGAGAAATACAAGATAGCAAACGAATAAAGGCTTGCAATTTAGTAAAGAGTCTTATTACACTTCCTCAATTTTGTGAATTCATAATACTTAGCATCAGTTACATTCAACAGTCTCTAAGATGATAATTCTACAAGAGAGCAGGGTAGACAAATTGTCTCTGATTTGTAAGGATATTTTTAAAATCACTGCAACTTCTGCTTTCTAAAACCATAATTCCAAAAACTGTTTAAGGTGAAGCTGCATTTTTAAGTAATCATATATTTTTGACCAAGGAAAGTATTTAAGATAAAGATTGCTTCTCCAGTGTGACCCACATATGGCAGTTCATCTTAGCATTGTACTATATTCAAAAGAAATATCAGGCAACTATTTACCAACTCACTCACTTGCAAATAGAAATGGAAAGAAACTGAAATATATATTACATAACCTTGACCAAAAAAAAGCCTTCAAATCGTATGTGTTATTCAAGTGATGCTATTCATTCAAAATCAAAATCTCTCTCTCTCTGCCTGCCTTTTTCTTATTACCCATGCCATAACTCTGTTTCTGCTGCTTAGTCTCTCATTTACCCCACACCATTTTTTTTTTTTTTTTTTGACACGGAGTCTTGCTCTGTCGCCCAGGCTGGAGTGCAATGGCGTGATCTTGGCTCACTGCAACCTCCACCTCCAGGATTCAAGTGATTCTCCTGCCTCAGCCTCCTGAGTAGCTGAGACTACAGGTGCCTGACACCACACCTGGCTAATTTTTGTATTTTTTGTAGAGACGGGGTTTTGCCATGTTGGCCAGGCTGGTCTCGATCTCCTGACCTTGTAATCCACCTGCCTCAGCCTCCCAAAGTGCTGGGATTACAGGTGTGAGCCACCATGCCTGGGCTTACCCCTTTTTTTCTTCTTTCCAGGAAAGAAATTATATTGTCTCAAATAAATGTGAAAAATAATATCTACCTCATAATACTGCTTTGAAGATTAAATAAAATAATGATTATAAAGCACATAGCAGTCTGCCTATTATTTAGTAAGAGTTACACAGATTTTACCTATTTATCCACCTCATTTGTAATACATATAAATGTTTATTGTCTCATTTTTAAATATATAGTTTTATTTTATTAAATAAATTCTAAATAAGAAAATTTATTATATAATAGTTTTAGTGAAGAAATATTTGAATATATCTCAGTATTTCAGTTACAAAAGAGTAAAATTTATTTTTCTTCCAATCTACAATATTTGCTATATACCTATTATACACTAACTATTATGTTGGATATCATGAACAGATAAAAATGAGATTAAATATCTGCCCACCTGGAGCTCATGGTGTATTGTATGCAATATATGATACATGTTAGCAAACAAACAAAAAAAGTAAGTGCAAAATGCTTAGAAGGCAACATAATTGGTTCTGTGATAGAGAATATGAATTTAAAATGTTCAAAGATGGCCCATTAAGGAGACAGTGTTGAAACTGGCTGCCAAAAAATGGGAAAGGCCTAGTCACACACAAAATCACAAAAGTATAATAGCAGATCTTAAATTAGATTGTTACATGTTCTGTAAGTATTAATATGATTTATTATAATTAAAATTATAGTGTAAACCAATACTACTATCAGTCTAATGACACTGGACACTTTGCTTATAATAAAATTAAACTATTATTCATAACTTATTTCCACATAGCATCTTCAGTCACCAATACTTTAATATTTCCTGTTTAAAGTTACTTTTCTCTTAGAATGAATAACTTGCTGGAAGTTGTTTTATTCCTGGAAGTCACAACTTTTCTGTTCCTCTGATAGCGTTAGATCAATGAGCATTGGTTCATCAAATACATAACATCCTTAAATTTCTGTTCAAAGCATTTCCACCCATATTTTCAAGAAGCAGCAGTCAGCTATCGATTATATCTGATTGTAAAAATACAAGTTAGACAATATAAATGTCCTGAGCAGAAGTTTGTAAATATTTTGAACATATGTACCCCAACACAAATATTGCCTTTTCTTTCAACTTCAAATAAACTTAACAACATTGATTCACATATATATTATCTGTCAATTTCTCTAAATCTTTTAGTTCTACAGTCTTAACAATTAGGCCAATTAAGAAAGCAATAGCTTAGGAAGTATCTGAATATTTACGGTAAAATTTTTGCTTCTGTCACCCATTTCTCCAGTAAAATTCTGCTTAATTCCTCCATTAATGGACTCACCTAATTCCCAGTTAAACCTTTTATTTTTTCCTTTTTTACAGCTAGTTTGATTAAAAAGTAACAGACACAGGTTCTTTGGCTGCCAAACATTAAAGGAAAAAAATTTAATTTTTAAATTTATTTTACATATATGTTACTGTTTTGGGATACCAGAAATATTTGTTACCCCAATTTTCTTTTTTTTTGAAAAACAAGATAGTATTAACCACATGTCTAAGATACAATTTCTTATATTTCTGTGAAAATGCAGCTATAGATGTCATCATGAGTAGGGACCTTTATAGTGTCATAAAAATTCAGTGTCACTATAAATTTATGCTGCTGAAAATGTCGACATTTATGGCAACTTCTACAAGGACATATTTTAGAATGATACTAAAACTTGATACAGCAACTTTTATTTATTTAAAAAGTAAAATTACAAACAAAAACATTTACTCTAATTTTTGAAATTGTCAATACGGATAATTAATTTTTAAAATTCTCAAATCACATCAAGGTTTGAGGGGTACTTAAAAATCATACCAATCAAAATTAAAAAGCATGAAAGCATGTTCATGTATTATTCAAATGTAACAATTGATGCATATAATTAATACTTATTTACAATGTTAATATAGAGTTTTAATACCTGATGATGCTATTAACAATGCAAGCATATGATGATGCTTATTTAAGAATTATACTAATCACAGCTCTATATCAGCAAACTTTTAACTCATTTCATATCCTGGGGCAAAGCACAGTTATTATTTCGATGAATTTAAAAAATATATAAGGATTGTCCCAATTCACCAATTCATGCAGAAGGATGATTCTATGTTTAGCAATAAAAGTTTCTTTGCAATAAGAAGAGTAAGCTCATTGAATGGTCTATTTTTGGCAACTACAGAAGAACCAAAGGAACTTCACATTCAAACTCAATATCTAAGTCAGAAAAGCTGCTAAATAGTTATTAGATATATTTTGACATATTAGACAATATTTGACATATTTTGACAGTGCTGGTGGTAGATGGGAAATTGGCAAAGATTGGAAATTTCAAACCAGGATCCTTTTTCCCCTCTCTCCATAGCTGGGTAACCTGACACCCACCAGGAGGCTCAGCGTTATCATGGAAAAAATGCCATATTTACAATTAGAAATTCAAAGAGCTCTAGTCTACCCCTAGAAGATAGACGCGTTGTACCTTGGGCTCAGACACCATCATACAGTTCCTATGTATAAGACATTGATATATATAGACGTTTCCTGAGGTCAATGCTCATATTTAATTAAGTTATGGTACCTGGATAATTTTATTTTTCCTACATACATATTTTGAAATGTGTTGTTGTAAAATGTGAGTGATTTTTATTTTTTAGATAGGATGTCTGGGCTACAAACTAATAAAATACTATCAATATGTTACAGATATATTTTTACCTAGTTTGTTGTACATCATTGTATTTGAAGGCATTCAGGTATGATCTCTCAAACAAGTAAGTACGTTATTTATTTGGAACAGGTAAGGAGTTGAGAAGTAACTTCTGAAAGCTCATATGGTTGCTCAGACTTCCTGCAACCAATTGATATCTCTCAATGCAATAAAAAGAAATTAGTGATTACCACTTCCAGGAATGTAGAATAGACATGTGTTTCTTTTTTTCTGTCTCTTTTTTTTTTAATTATTACACTTTAAGTTTTAGGGTACATGAGCACAATGTGCAGGTTTGTTACATATGTATACATGTGCCATGTTGGTGTGTTGCACCCATTAACTCGTCATTTAACAATAGGTATATCTCCTAATGCTATCCCTCCCCTCTCCCCTGACCCCACAACAGGCCCTGGTGTGTGATGTTCCCCTTCCTGTGTCCATGTGTTCTCATTATTCAATTCCCACCTATGAGTGAGAACATGCAGTGTTTGGTTTTTGTCCTTGAGATAGTTTGCTGAGAATGATGGTTTCCAGCTCCATCCATGTCCCTACAAAGGACATGAACTCATCGTTTTTTATGGCTGCATAGTATTCCATGGTGTATATGTGCCACATTTTCTTAATCCAGTCTATCATTGTTGGACATTTGGGTTGGTTCCAAGTCTTTGCTATTGTGAATAGTGCCGCAATAAACATGTGTGCATGAGTCTTTATAGCAGCATGATTATAATCTTTTGGGTATATACCCAGTAATGGGGTGGCTGGGTCAAATGGTATTTCTAGTTCTAGATCCCTGAGGAATCGCCACACTGACTTCCACAATGGCTGAACTAGTTTACAGTCCCACCAACAGTGTAAAAGTGTTCCTATTTCTCCACATCCTCTCCAGCACCTGTTGTTTCCTGACTTTTGAATGATCACCATTCTAACTGGTGTGAGATGGTATCTCATTGTGGTTTTGATTTGCATTTCTCTGATGGCCAGTGATGATGAGCATTTTTTCATGTGTTTTTTGGCTGCATAAATGTCTTCTTTTGAAAAGTATCTGTTCATATCCTTCACCCACTTTTTGATGGGATTGTTTTTTTCTTGTAAATTTGTTTGAGTTCATTGTAGATTCTGGATATTAGCCCTTTGTCAGATGAGTAGATTGCAAAAATGTTGTCCCATTCTGTAGGTTGCCTGTTCACTCTGATGGTAGTTTCTTTTGCTGTGCAGAAGCTCTTTAGTTTAATTAGATCCCATTTGTCAATTTTGGCTTTTGTTGCCATTGCTTTTGGTGTTTTAGACATGAAGTCCTTGCCCATGCCTATGTCCTGAATGGTATTGCCTAGGTTTTCTTCTAGGGTTTTTATGGTTTTAGGTCTAACATTTAAGTCTTCAATCCATCTTGAATTAATTTTTGTATAAGGTATAAGGAAGGGATCCAGTTTCAGCTTTCTACATATGGCTAGCCAGTTTTCCCAGTACCATTTATTAAATAGGGAATCCTTTCCGCATTGCTTCTGTCAGGTTTGTCAAAGATCAGACAGTTGTAGATATGTGATATTATTTCTGAGGGCTCTGTTCTGTTCCATTGCACTATATCTTTGTTTTGGTGCCAGTACCATGCTCTTTTGGTTACTGTAGCCTTGTAGTATAGTTTGAAGTCAGGTAGCGTGATGCCTCCAGCTTTGTTCTTTTGGGTTAGGATTGACTTGGCAATGTGGGCTCTTTTTTGGTTCCCTAGGAACTTTAAAGTAGTTTTTTTCCAATTCTGTGAAGAAAGTCATTGGTAGCTTGATGGGGATGCCATTGAATCTATAAATTACCTTGGGCAGTATGGCCATTTTCACAATATTGATTCTTCCTACCCATGAGCATGGAATGTTCTTCCATTTGTTTGTGTCTTCTTTTATTTCATTGAGCAGTGGTTTCTAGTTCTCCCTGAAGAGGTCCTTCCCATGCCTTGAAAGTTGGATACCTAGGTTTTTTATTCTCTTTGAAGCAATTGTGAATGGGAGTTCACTCATGATTTTGTTCTCTGTTTGTCTCTTATTGGTATATAAGAATGCTTGTGATTTTTGCACATTTATTTTGTATCCTGAGACTTTGCTGAAGTTGCTTATCAGCTTAAGGAGATTTTGGGCTGAGATGATGGTGTTTTCTAGATATACAATCATGTCATCTGCAAACAGGGACAATTTGACTTCCTCTTTTCCTAATTGAATACCCTTTATTTCTTTCTCCTGCCTGATTGCCCTGGCCAGAACTTCCAACACTATGTTGAATAGGAGTGGTGAGAGAGGGCATCCCTGTCTTGTGCCAGTTTTCAAAAGGAATGCTTCCACTTTTTGCCCATTCAGTATGATATTGGCTGTGGGTTTGTCATAGAGAGCTCTCATTATTTTGAGATACGTCCCATGGATACCTAATTTATTGCGAATTTTTAGCATGAAGGGTTGTTGAATTTTGTCAAAGGCCTTTTCTGCATCTATTGAGATAATCATGTAGTTTTTGTCTTTGGTTCTGTTTATATGCTGGATTACTTGTATTGATCTGCATATGTTGAACCAGCCTTGCATCCCAGGGATGAAGCCCACTTGATCATGGTGGATAAGGTTTTGATGTGCTGCTGGATTCAGTTAGCCAGTATTTTAGTGAGGATTTTTGCATCAATGTTCATCAGGGATATCGGTCTAAAATTCTCTTTTTTTGTTGTGTCTCTGCCAGGCTTTGGTATCATGATGATGCTGTCCTCATAAAATGAGTTAGGGAGGATTCCCTCTTTTTCTATTGATTGGAATAGTTTCAGAAGGAATGGTAACAGCTCCTCCTTGTACCTCTGGTACAATTCGGCTGCGAATCCATCTGGTCCTGGACTTTTTTTGGTTGGTAAGCTATTAATTATTGCCACAATTTCAGAACATGTTATTGGTCTATTCAGAGATTCAACTTCCTGGTTTAGTCTTGGGAGGGTGTATGTGTTGAGGAAGTTATCCATTTCTTCTAGATTTTCTAGTTTATTTGCGTAGAGGTGTTTATAGTATTCTCTGATGGTAGTTTGTATTTCTGTGGGATCAGTGGTGATATCCCCTTTGTCATTTTTTATTACATCTATTGATTCTTCTCTCTTTTCTTCATTATTAGTCTTGTTAGCGTTCTATCAATTTTGTTTATCTTTTCAAAAAACCAGGTCCTGGATTCATTGATTTTTTTGAAGGGTTTTTTGTGTCTCTATTTTGTTCAGTTCTGCTCTGATCTTTGTTATTTCTTGCCTTCTGCTAGCTTTTGAATGTGTTTGCTCTTGCTTCTCTAGTTCTTTTAATTGTGATGTTAGGGTGTCAATTTTAGATCTTTCCTGCTTTCTCTTGTGGGCATTTAGTGCTATAAATTTCCCTCTACACACTGCTTTGAATGTGTCCCAGAGATTCTGGTATGTTGTGTCTTTGTTCTTGTTGGTTTCAAAGAACATCTTTATTTCTGCCTTCATTTCGTTGTGTACCCAGTAGTCATTCAGGAGCAGGTTGTTCAGTTTCCATGTAGTTGAACAGTTTTGAGTGAGTTTCTTAATCCTGAGTTCTCGTTTGATTGCACTGTGGTCTGAGACACAGTGTGTTATAATTTCTGTTCTTTTACATTTGCTGAGGAGTGCTTTACTTCCAACTATGTGGTCAATTTTGGAAAAGGTGTGATGTGGTGCTGAAAAGAATGTATATTCTGTTGATTTGGGGTGGAGAGTTCTGTAGATCTCTCTCTGGTCCACTTGGTGCAGAGCTGAGTTCAATTCCTGGATATCCTTGTTAACTTTCTGTCTCGTTGATCTGTCTAATGTTGACAGTGGTTAAAGTCTTCCATTATAATTGTGTGGGAGTCTAAGTCTCTTTGTAGGTCTCTCAGGACTTTCTTTATGAATCTGGGTGCTCCTGTATGGGGTGCATATATATTTAGGATAGTTAGCTCTTCTTGTTGAATTGATCCCTTTACCATTATGTAATGGCCTTCTTTGTCTCTTTTGATCTTTGTTGGTTTAAAGTCTGTTTTATCAGAGACTAGGATTGCAACCCCTGCCTTTTTTTGTTTTCCATTTGCTTGGTAGATCTTCCTCCATCCCTTTATTTTGAGCCTATGTGTGTCTCTGCACGTGAGATGGGTTTCCTGAATACAGCACACTGATGGGTCTTGACTCTTTATCCAATTTGCCAGTCTGTACCTTTTAATTGGAGCATTTAGCCCATTTACATTTAAGGTTAGTATTGTTATGTGTGAATTTGATCCTGTCATTATGATGTTAGCTGGTTATTTTGCTTGTTAGTTGATGCAGTTTCTTCCTAGCCTTGATGGTCTTTACAATTTGGCATGATTTTGCAGTGGCTGGTACCGGTTGTTCCTTTCCATGTTGAGTGCTTCCTTCAGGAACTCTTTTAGGGCAGGTCTGGTGGTGACAAAATCTCTCAGCATTTGCTTGTCTGTAAAGTATTTTATTTCTCCTTCACTTATGAAGCTTAGTTTGGCTGGGTATGAAATTCTGGGTTGAAAATTCTTTTCTTTAAGAATGTTGAATATTGGCCCCCACTCTCTTCTAGCTTGTAGAGTTTCTGCCAAGAGATCAGCTGTTAGTCTGATGGGCTTCCCTTTGTGGGTAACCCAACCTTTCTCTCTGGCTGCCCTTAGCATTTTTTCCTTCATTTAAGCTTTGCTGAATCTGACAATTATGTGTCTTGGGGTTGCTCTTCTGGAGGAATATCTTTCTAGTGTTCTCTGTATTTCCTGAATTTGAATGTTGGCCTGCCTTGCTAGATTGGGGAAGTTCTCCTGGATAATATCCTGCAGAGTGTTTTCCAACTTGGTTCCATTCTCCCCTTCAATTTCAGGTACACCAGTCAGACGTAGATTTGGTCTTTTCACATAGTCCCATATTTCTTGGAGGCTTTGTTCATTTCTTTTTATTCTTTTTTCTCTAAACTTCTCCTCTCACTTCATTTCATTCATTTGGTCTTCCATCGCTGATACCCTTTCTTCCAGTTGATCAAATCAGCCACTGAGGCTTGTGCACTCATCACATAGTTCTTGTGCTGTGGTTTTCAGCTCCATGAGGTCCTTTAAGGACTTCCCTGCATTGTTTATTCTAGTTATCTATTCATCTAATATTTTTTCAAGGTTTTTAACTTCTTTGCCATTGGTTCGAACTTCCTCCTTTAGCTCAGAGTAGTTTGATTGTCTGAAGCCTTCTTCTCTCAACTTGTCAAAGTCATTCTCCATCCAGCTTTGTTCAGTTGCTGGTGAGGAGCTGCATTCCTTTGGAGGAGGAGAGGCGCTCTAATTTTTAGAGTTTCCAGTTTTTCTTCTCTGTTTTTTTCCCCATCTTTGTGGTTTTATCTACCTTTGGTCTTTGATGGTGACATACAGATGGGTTTTTGGTGTGGATGTCCTTTCTGTTTCTTAGTTTTCCTTCTAACAGTCAGGACCCTCAGCTGCAGGTCTGTTGGAGTCTGCTGGAGGTCCACTCCAGACCCTGTTTGCCTGGGTATCAGCAGCAGAGGCTGCAGAACAGCAGATATTGGTGAACAGCAATTGTTGCTGCCTGATCGTTCCTCTGGAAGTTTTGTCTCAGAGGAGTACCCGGCCATGTGAGGTGTCAGTCTGCCCCTACTGGGGGGTGCCTCCCAGTTAGGCTACTCAGGGATCAGGGACCCACTAGAAGAGGCAGTCTGTCCATTCTCAGATCTCCAGCTGCATGCTGGGAGAACCACTACTCTCTTCAAGGCTGTCAGACAGGGACATATAAGTCTGCAGAGATTTCTCCTGCCTTTTGTTTGGCTATTCCCTGCCCCCCAGAGGTGGAGTCTACAGAGGCAGGCAGGCCTCCTTGAGCTGTGGTGGGCTCCACCCAGTTCGAGCTTCCCAGACGCTTTGTTTACCTACTCAAGCCTTGGCAATGGTGGGCGCCCCTCCACCAGCCTTGCTGCCTCCTTGCAGTTTGATCTCAGACTGCTGTGCTAGCAGTGAGCAAGGCTCCGTGGGTGTAGGACCGTCTGAGCCAGGCGCGGGATCTAATGCACCACAATAAAACATCAAATAGCAAACTTAGGCTTTAATATGGTAATAATTAAATCAAATTTAAATGGTTACATATACCAATTAATATACAGATATTAGAAAAGTTGATCAAAACGTGTAGAGCAAGAATATATTGTCTGGAAGTAACCCAATTCAATTATATTTGAAAATTTATTAAAAAGTAGATTTTAAATGTTTTCACTGCAAAAAAGTATGCGAGGTGTTATATTTGTTGATCAGCTCGATTTAATTACTCTGCAATGTAAACGTATATTATAAAATCACATTGTAACATAAATATATACAATTATTTTTCAATCAAAAATGAAATTTAAAATATAAAAATATAAGCAGTTTGAAAGTAAGAGAGTAGAACAAACATGTAATGCACACTATCTGACATTAATATAGCAAATCCTGCTTCCTTTTGATTGTCTGCATTTAAGGGCAAATAAAATTACCAAAGACAAAAGGGATATTATATAATGACATCAGCACTATTTTCTGAAAATCCTATCTTTCCTCATGGAATCACCTGGTTTCTTTGCAATATCAATCATAAATGTAAGGTTTTATTTTGGGACTCTTAGTTCTGTTCCATTGACCTGCAGGCTTATCATTATCCTAGGACTTGAATGGATAGGTTACATTTTGCTTTTTCCATTCATCTTTTGATGGACATATTTTTTTATTCTTTGGCTATGACAAATAATGATGCTTTGAATATTAATGTGCAAGTATTAGTGTGAATGTATATTTTCATTTTTCTTGTGTATATAACTAGGAGTGAATTGCTGGGTCATAGGGCAACTATATTTAACTTTCTTTGGAATTTCCAGGCTGTTTTTCAAAGTGAATGCACCATTTAACATTCCAGTAAGCAAAACATGAGGGTTTCAATTTCTTCATATTCTTGTCAGCACTTGTTATTATCTGTGTTTTCCTATATAGCCAATCTAGTGGGTAAGAAGTAGTACCTCACAGTAAATTTTTCTTTTCCCTAATGACTTGTTGAGCATCTTTTCATGTGCTTATTAGGCATTTGTATATTTTCTTTGGTTAAGTATTTATTGAAATTATTTTTTCATTTAAAAAAGATCAGTTTGTGTTCTAAGTGTTTATTACATCTTTTAGATAGAAGTCCTTTAACAGATATGTTATTTGCAAATATATTCTCTCAGATTGTAACTTTTCATATCGTCTTTTGAAGCATGCAAGTTTTATATTTCAGAATTTAATTAATTAATTATAGACCTTTTTTCTCATTTGCACATCATGCTTTTGGTGTTTTATCTAAGAACTATGCTTCATCCAAGATTATGAAGATGTTTCTGTGAGTTTTCTTCTGACAGTGAAACAACTTTAGTTTTACATTTAGGTATATTATCTTTTATAATTCATTTTTGTAGGTGCTGTAAGTTAAGAGTTAAATTCACATTTTTGCATGTACACATTCAATATCAGCATGTCTAGAAGACTGATTTTTACTCATGATTTAGCTTGACACCTTTGTCAAATAATAACCAATCATAAATGTAAGGGTTTATTTGTGGATTCTCAATTACTTTCCATTAGTCTGTATGATTACCATTATTCTAACACAACACTGTCTTGATTACTGCAGCTCTACACAATATTTTAAGTCAGAAAGTATAGTCTTTCAGCTTTTTTATTTTTTAAATTGTTCTGGCTATTTTAGGTCTTTTTGCATTTCCAAGTAAATTTCAAGGTTATTTTGGCAATTTCTGCCAGAAAGTATACTGAGATTGTGATATAAATTGCTTTTAACCTACTATAAATCAATTTGGCGAAAATCGCCATCTTATAAATATTGAGTCCTCCTATACAGAAAAATGTATTGTCTCTGTTTTTAAGTCTTCTTTAATATCACTTACAAATGTACTGTAGTTTTCAGTGTATAGATCTTGAGTATACTTTGTTAAATTCATTCCTAAGCATTTTATTCTATATAATGTTACACTGAATGAAGTTACTCTCAATCTCATTTTTGTAGAGTTCATTGCTACTATATAAAAGTACAATTAATTTTTGTATGTTGCTTACATCCCACTACATTGATGAAATAATTTATTATTTCTGTTATTCTATTACTATTGTTCTAGTAGTTCTTGTATACAACTTTAGATTTTCTATGTACAGAATTATATCATTTGCAGATAAAGGCAGATGTATCTTTTCCTTTCTGATTTGAATGTCTTTTTTTTTATTGCCAAATTATACTGACTGGAAGCTATAGTAAAATGGTAAATAGATGTATAAAGGCTGGGGATCTTTGCCTTTTTCTATCCTTAGAGGGAAAAATTACCAGTAAGTATAATGCTAGTTGTACATTTTTCAAAGATGACCTTCATCAGGTGGAATAAATTTATTTCTACTCCAAGTTTATTGATAGTATTTCATCATGAGTGAGTGGTGGATTTTGTCACACGATTTTTGTGCATCTAATGTAATAGAGAAAAGTTGTTCAGAAAATGGAAACTTTTCTGCATATGAGAGAGTTCTAATTGGTAGATAACTTTTAAAATGTATCTGTAAAGAGATGAAATGCCATTGAAAATGACAAATCCAAACTAATAATTAGAATTAAAATTAGTAATATGAATGGCTGAATACGTACTTATGCGTATTTGGTGATAGTCTGAATTAATCGTTTGAAAAGAGTAGGAACGTGGCGTGAATTTGTGTTTGAAATATTATAAAGTAGAAGAGACATGACTTTTTACTAGTCACCGTATGATAATCGCTTAACATATCAAGAACAGGCAATATGACAGACATATATGATGATAGAAAAATACTCATTATTAGACAAAGGAGGAAAGTACAGATATATCAAAAATACAAAGGGGCAAAAAACCTCAATCCCATTGGAAGATTGCAAAGGGATCTCTTTCTTTTTTTGTTGTTTTTTTATTATTATACTTTAAGTTCTAGGGCACATGTGCACAAAGTGCAGGTTTGTTACATATGTATACATGTGCCATGTTTGTGTGGTGCCCCCATTAACTCGTCATTTACGTTAGGTATATCTCCTAATGCTATCCCTCCCCCCTCCCCCCACCCCACGACAGGCCCCGGTGTGTGATGTTCCCCATCCTGTGTCCAAGTGTTCTCATTGTTCGATTCCCACCTATGAGTGAGAACATGCGGTGTTTGGTTTTCTGTCCTTGCGACAGTTTGCTCAGAATGATTTGGATGAAGCATAGGGATATCTTTCTAAACATTACACAGGTACACACCCACACCCACACACATCTCTAAGTAAAGTATAAAATCAAAAAACTAGAGAAATTAGGTTATAAAACTCTGAAAATATATTAATAACTTGGACAAAAATACTAAAAGCAAAAAGTGAGAATATTACATAAAGTCAAAAAGAAAAAAAAGTATAAGCAGCAATATTTGATACTTTATATCTAAATTCTATGTGTTTCCCAAAATGACTTGAATGATAAATTAAAAAGAGAATATGGAAGGAGTGGACCAATGTAAGGCACATGTGTTTTTTTAATCTTTACGCTAAGTATTCATGGTACATACCTAGAGTGTGATTATAAGGACAGGGCTAAGCTAGCAAGGTCTTACCAGGGCAGGCTAGAGAGCCCACAGGACTGGTACTAGAGGTCCAAGCTTTCTTAGGCAGAGAAATATCATGAAGACTGCCTGGTCATTAGCTAGACTAAGTACCTCTAGCTAGTTTCTAGATGTTCTAGGGAGATTTAGTAAAGCTGGATACTTTGTTTTCAAATCAGCAACTATGAAGGCAGCACATCCTGGTAGCTCAGAAGCCAACTGTAGACCTGGAAAGAACTCAGTACTAGTATTAAGTACACTTAAATAGATATGTGACCTAGATGACTTACAGGATCATTTGTTGAGTCTTAGGTTTTCTTCAACCATAGAAGCATACGGTAGTTTTAAAAGTTGTAGGTATATTCAGAAAAGACAAACAAATGTTGACAATGCAGACGACTTCTCAAACTCAACGTCACATATTGCATGATTTGGTTAGTCATTCATTCAAAGATTCTAGTCCTATCAGAGTAGGTGGGAAAATATTCTCATCATCCTTATTACATTTTTATGTGTTTAAGGATTCCTAGGGCTATTTAAAATCAAACCTAAAAGCAGCTATTTATTAATAAAGAATGTCATATTCATCTCCACTTATGCTAACAATGAGTATCAACATCCTTATTTTCTTATTGATCCTAAAGAATTCCTTATTTCTCATGAACTTATCTATAGCCTGATGATTTTAAAATATTTGCTTTATATATCTTAAGTTCATTGTATTTATTCATGTGACTATGGTTTTATGGCAAGTAATGCTGGATTTCTGTGGATGAGGGTTATATGTATTTTGTTTTTAAATAAATGTAGTGTGATGAATGTAAATAAATGTAAAGAAAAATTTGGTAAAAAGTATAGCTTATAAGTAAGATGAATATGGATAGATATGGCAACATTTTTGAAGATAATATGCTGACTGACTTATGTTTGGGAAGCAATAACAATGTAAAATTAAAGAAAAGAAAAGCAGTAATAACATAAAATAATGTTGAGATAAACACAGATAAAGAAGTTTTCTGCCTTAAGTAGAAATAAGGTACATTGAAGAATATATAACGATAAAAGCTAACACACACATTCATACACATACACATATAATACTCTTTAATTAACAACATAGCTTTAATATATTTCCGTATCCAAACTTAAAAATCTGTATCTCTGTTTACCCTCTTCAGACTTCAGGTGCAGAAAGTTGAGTTAATCATATTCCTCAGTTAATGGCGTGGTATCTTCATTGGTATGTCAAGGCATTTACATTTTTAAAATATCTTACCCGATATTTTCAGTTTTTATTAAATCACTACCATACCCCAATAACACTCGAATATATTTTAAAATATCCCTTGGATATGTATACAGTTTATGTGAAATAAATAGCTTTATGTTCCTGTATGTGATTGTACTTATTTCTATGTAATTTACCAATGAAAATTATATTCTTAAATAATTTTGATATATACTTGTACTTCGAAGTCTCCAAATAGAGAAATATTTTTGAGTGTTTGTCTCCTTGCACTATATTTTTTGAAGTCAATTAGTTTATAGAAGCCACAGTCTCTTAATGCAAATTTGCTTTTAAGCGAAAATATGTACTGCACACAATCTAAAACAGTGTTTTAAAGCAGTTAAAGTGATAACATTTAAATCAGTGTAGGCTGTAAATTTTAATTTTATCCTATAATTATTCTTTTTTAAAATTTATGTATGTTCAGTATGTATTACTTAAAAATTTATCATAGAAAATCTCTTTGTATTTTTACAGTATAACATAAAATGTGGGTATATTAACATTACTGTTTCACATAAGCAAATTATTAACTAAATTATTAAGAAATCATATTTATATTTTTCTTAGTAAGTCACTGGCTCTAGATTCTAGATTTTGAAGCATAGGTCACAAACTTTAGCCTATTGCAATTTGGTCTGGTGAACTGATTTTCCTTTATCAAATGTTTAAACTGGAAAAAAACACCTAATGTCTTTCAGCATTAATTTTTCCATTTCAAAATATGGGGAAGCAATAATACTTTCCTCACAGAACTGTGAAGAGATTGTAATGATGCCTAACACACAGTAGGAGCAAAACAAGTGACAAATATGTTATAATGTTGAAGACTACATGATCATTTGCTTGCAAATGTGCAAATGCTATGTTTATTATTTTTCTTTATATTTCTTCATTTAATGGGAGACGTTATGGTCAAGGACAGATTAAAATCTTTCTCAGTTTTACTTTTTCCTCACTCACACCTAAGTTCCTATTAGAACTTTTAGTCATTTCACATTTTTAATTTTAATATATAAGAACTCTTTCCATTATCTTAAAATTATAAGGGACTTGTCCAATCACTACACAATCTCAGGGCTTATGTTAATCTGAGTCAAATGATGAAGTTAAGAAAAATTACAACTTAAAATTATTAGAGATAGAGAAATAACAATTATCCGAACATTTGTGAATTATAATTGTAACTAATGCCTCACATTGGAGCTCCTATTTTTCAATAGTTTATCCTTTATTTGTAAATTAGACATTATTCTGACAAGAATATTATCCCATATTTTACAGGGGATAAATTTTTAATAGAAGTAAGATATGCCAAAAACAAATTACACTAATTTGTTTCCAGAATATCATGTGGATCAGGCATAAAAAAACACAACCTTTGCCATTACTACTACACACAAGACGCTGTAACCATATGTGTAATTATGTCAGATTGTCACAGAAACATTATCTAACATTAAGAAGAGTGACAGTCTGCAACATCTTAGAGGTGTCATTCCCTGAGATGGGGTATTTTCTTCGTTAGAGCCTGGTAGCTATGTATAATAGGAGTCAACAACCAGTGATTTTATATCTGTTACAATTAATCAAAAGATTGAAATAATTAAACATATATTTAAATAAAATCAGGAATGCTATGTTCTAGTTAATTAAGTTTCTGGCAAATAATTGAAAACATTAAAAAGAGATTGGAAATTATATGAAAAATAAAATAGCTGAGATTAACTCAGTAGATTGTTTTAACAGTCATTAGAAATAACTAGAGAATTATTAATTTATAATGTACCAATTGAAGCATGAAGGAACAAGAAAATGTATAGTACAAAAACAGTGCAAAAAACATAACATAAACTATGAAGAGATCTATAATTGCATGTAATTTATACCTCAAAAAGAAAGTTGAAACAAATGAAGGCAAAATTTAAAGAGATAAGGGTCAAAATTTTACAAAACAAATGAAATGTGTCAAGCACTGATTCAAGAAACTCTAAGAAGCTAAAGAAAATCACACAAAGGCACATTACATAAAACTACATGGATGGTTCAATATGCAAAAGTCAATAAATGTGATATATCACATCAACACAATGAAGGACAAAAACCATATGATCATCTCAATAAATGCTGAAAAAAATAACAAAATTCCACATCCTTTTATAATTTAAAAAAACTCTCAACAAATTAGGTATACAAAAAATGTATCTCAACACAATAAAGGCCATATATGGCAAGCCACAGCTAACAGTATATAAAATGATAAAAAGTGAAAAGGTTTTTATCTAATATCAGGAACAAGACAAGGATACCCACTATCTCTACTCACCATAATAATATGTCAGAAAAAAATAAGAAGTATCCAAATTGGAAGAAAAGAAGTTAAATTGTCTCTGTTTGCAAATGCATAATCTTATATGTAAAATACCCTAAAGAATCCACCAAAAGTTGTTAAAACTGATAAATGATTCAATAGCATTGTGGGATACAAAATCAGCATACAAAAATCATTAGGTTTTCTGTAGACTAAAAATTGACTACCTGTAAAAGAAGTCAAGAAAATCCTAGTAATTATTCTTAAGTATTTTGCTGATTTTGCAGGGTTTCTAAATCCTGAAAAATCAATAATATTTGAAAAATCCTACATTTTAAAAATCCTGCAAAATCAGCAAAATACTTAGGAATAAATTTAACCAAGGAAGTGAAAGATCTGCACATTTAAAACATAAAACTTTGAAAGAAATTGAAGAAGATACAAATAAATAGAAACACATGCCATGTTCATTCATAAACTTAACTAATATTGTCAAAATGGGCATACTACCTGAAATGATTTACAGACTTAATGTAATCCCCACCAAAAGGCAATGGCAGTCTTCTCAGAAATAGAGTAAATGATCCTAAAACTTATATAGAACCACTAAAGCATCCAAATAGCCAGAGCAATCTTGAGCAAAAAGAACAAAGCTGGAGGCATAACACTACCTGACTTCAAAATACACTACAAATCTGTAGTAACCCAAATAGCATGATACTGCCACAAAAACAGACACATAGACCAATGGAACAGGATAGCAAGCCCAGAAAATATCCATGCTTTTATGGTCCCTTGATTTTTCAAGGCAGATGCCAGGAACATTCAATGAGGAAAGGATATGTATTATCTTTAACACTTGATATTGGGAAAAGGATACTTATTCTCTTTAATACTTGATATTAGGAAAGCTCGATATCCACATGCAGAAGAATGAAATTGGACCCTTATTTCACATCATATAGAAAAATCAGCTAAAAATGAATTAAAGATTGAGGATAATATTTGAATATGTGAAACTGCTAGAAGACTACATAGGGGAAAACTCCATGATATAGGTCAGGGCAATGATTTTTAGTATATGACCCCAAAAGCACAGGTAACAAAAACAAATATGGACCAATGGTATTACATTAAATTTATTACAATTTTTTTTGCCACAGGAAACAAAACAGAATGAAGAGGCAGCTCATGGAATGGGGGAAAATATTTGCAAACCACATATCTGATAAGGGGTTAATAGCCAAAATGTATAATAAATAACTTAGTTGCAAGAAAATAAACAGATTTTAAACAGGGCAAAGAACCTGAATATACATTTTTTCAAAGAACACATACAAACGGCCAACAGATATATGAAAAGATGCTCAACATTACTAATCATCAGGAAAATGCAAGTTAAAATTACAGAGATATCCTCTGACACCTGAGATACCAATTCACACCTTGCTATTACCAAAATAAGAAAATATAACAAGTGTTGGCTAGGATGTGGAGAAGCAGGAATCCTTGCACATTGTTGTGGCGAGTGGAAATTAGGAGAACCATTTATGGGAAACAGTGCGAAGGGTCCTCAAAAAATTAAAACTAGAACTAATATATGATCCACAACCCTACTACTGGCTATATAACCAAAGGTAACAAAATTTGTATGTTGAAGAGACACCTGTACTCTCATGTTCACTTCAGCATTATTCACAATAGCAAAAGCTGGCGTTGAGGGATATTGGGGTGACAGAGGATACAAAATTTCAGCTAAGCAGAGGGAATGAGCTCAAGATATCTGTTATTCAACATAGTAACTATAGTTAATAACAATGTTTTGTATTATACTTGAAAATTGCTAAAAGAGTAGCTTTTAACTGTTTTCTCCACAAATAAATATGTGAGGTAATACATATGTTAAATAGTTTGATTTAGTCACTCTTCAATGTATACATATTTTTAAGCCTTATGTTGTATACCATAATTTTATACATTTTTATTTGTTGAATCAATAAATTTAAAAAATTAGGCCAGGTGCTCACAACACAAAAACAAATCAACAAAGCAAAACAAAAAGAAAACTGAGATTATTTTCAAAGCAGCCTGGGAAAAAAGCAGTATATTACTGCTGTCTTAGCAACAATAATGATAGCAGACTTCCCAAAGAAACAATCAAAACCAAAAAGTGCTAAAATTATATCTGGACACTACTGGGGAAAAAAAGGCTACCGATCAATAATTATATACCCAGCAAATATGTTCTTAATAATGCTGGCAAAAATAAAACTATTTCCAGAAGAAAAAAATGTCATAGTTGCTGCTTTCTGTCCCCAGCTTGGCTAAAATTTGCTGGATGTTAAGAATTACAGAATAAAACCAGAGCACATATTTGTAATGGCCAAAATATATGAAAATAGTAATTCATTGGCAAATTGAAATAACAAATGTTCTAACTTTCATCCTCAAAACATCATCTTAAAATGGTACTAGGGGGCACATACCATGGTTGAAGCTCCTTTATTTAAGCATTTGTTTGATTTTGCATTAAATATTTCCGTCTCTAACTAGCTAGGGCGTGACTGCTTCAGATTGGAACTGGCAGTAGTAAAGTGGTTATTTGTTGCTTCTCCAAATCTCTGCTTTGAGCTTCTTTCTTACAACCCTATCCCACCCCCATGCACTGCTGTGCTAGTCATCTTGGAATACCTGAAGAGTCAGAGCAAGAAAATATAAAGAAATGAGGGCAAAGGAAAATCTTTACTTGCATGGTTCCTCTGGCAGATTATTGGTATTCTCTGAAGCTGGCAAAAAGTCCTATTCTATCTCCTCCTTCCCCAGGATTCTTTTACAGAATCTCCAGTGACTCTGTAATTCTCTCTCCCAGATATCCCTTATACAGAAGAGCTAAGAACTACTTTCTGATTTCCTAGAATTTCTCTCCCAGATTCTTCCTTCTAGGTATTTCAGTCCTCTAAGTGGCCCTTGTAGATAGAACCCTAAATGACGCCAAGCCACCACTCCTCTCATATGGCCCACATCCAGTGCATGAAAACACTTGCATTCCTCATTCCAACAAATTCAGAGTGGAGTCCTATAGTACTGAAATGGGAGTCTCCTGACCCTACCACTATAAGGGTTAATATTTTATTTCTAGATTTCTTAGGCATGAGTCAGACCTTGGTTTATGTCCCCAAAATGTAGAATAGAAAACTTCCTGGAAGCAACACATCTTATACCTGGCTAAAGGTTTCTCACAAACCACTTTTCATAAAGTATATTTTCCTCACAAACATATTTGCTTTCCTCTGTTACGACCTGTTTTTAGTCCTTAACATTGCCATTGTTTTCAAGAGTTCTGAAATGTCCTGTGAAAATTGCTATATGACTATTTCTTTTCTATTTATTTTGAAAGTTAACTCTATTGTGTCTTGGCACCTATCAATTTTGATGCCTATTTCCATTGGTTCTCTCGCTATATTTGTGAATGACTGGATGACTATTTTCATTTTGGTGCAAGGATTTCTAACATTTACTTTCTATGTAAAATATAAATTATTTGTATTTTTAACTTCTGATAGCATGCAATATAATCCAGTACAAGTCAAGTATGAAAAGATTATTATTTTAAGACTCAGAAAACAAAGTTATGACTTCTAATTTTACTTACATCCAAAATAAATATTCCCTCTTAAGAATCAGAGTCAAGGAATAGTGAGAAAGTCTTGGGGGAAAAATAAAAATCCAGGTCCTATCAATAATAATGGATTTTTTTTCAGAGAATCTTTACTTGGAAGACAAAGGATAAAGGAGTTTGACAAAGTTGGGTAGTTTAGACACGTATCCTAACTTCTGATGCTTATCCAAAGTTAGGCTATTTTGAGTTTTGTCTATCATTATAGTCAAGTAATTGTGACATAGTCTTGCCAGTAAAGAGCAGCTTTAAGTACAGTAAACCTATTTTTACACACCAGTGCATTAAAGAACTTACCTCTATAAAATATGATTGTCATGGTTGTCATCCTATCAGTGAAAAAAAGTGGAGAATGCCATAAAAGAAAGTTTACTGAGCATATCACAAGGAGTGGGGGAAAGGGAAGATATTGCTTACAACTGAAGACATACCCTACAGCTAGGTATTCAGCCCTTATCTTGTGATCATTTCCTAAACTTGCCTTACACAATTCTGTTTACACCAACCAATTTAGAGGAAAACAGAAAAAATACATATTGCTATAGATTTTCATTTGGGAAACAAATGAACCTCACAAGAAGTTCCTGCAATTCTGTTGTGTCTATACTGACATTCATAACGCCAAGAGGGCTTTGTAATCTGGGGATTCCTGAGTGGATGATGAAATAATGATTTATACATTTAATGCTGCTCTTAAAAGCTAGAAATTGAATGTCTCTACAGTATACAGTCACGGAAGTTTGTATTTTTAGATTATAATTCTCTTCTCTTCTGAATCCCTCAACCCCAGCCCAACATTTCTCTGAAGGAAGGAGAGGTATACGAAACAATTAACATTCAGAAGATTCTCTTGTAATTTTCAGGATACATGCATTGTCTTCTGTATGTATTATGAATTTATTTCAAATGGGAAAGGAGACCTTGCATAATGAGGCAAAGCTTTTAAACAAGATCGTCTTCTGTTATAAGGCATGGTTCTCCTTTTTATTTTTTATTTTGGAAGCTTAGCTCTGTCTTAGTTACACAAAAGAAGATTTAAAAGCGTGTAAACCAATAATAATTATTCAATCTAAGCTGTGAGGGTAACTTACTATGGGCACTGGAGGCTGAGATGGGATATTGTATTTGCATATATACAGTATATGGAAACTATCCTACCATTTTATAGAGCAACAATCATATTTAGTTTAATGTCTTTTAAGTCCCATAAAATGATATTAGAAAATTTTGCTATTTGGATGGTGAGCAATCAAAGCTGTGATGTTAACTCATCATAATACTACTAGTTTGACTCTTCAGGCTTCATTAAATTGGGGACATAAATATGCCAGATCAACCAAATGAAATTGGAATGCTCCTATTTCGGGGTTTAGAGTAGGCTGAATGAGTTTGCTACCTTTTTTACATCTCTAGTTAGGTACTGTACTTGCCTACCTTGTGATTGCATGGCCATTTCAGCAAGGATTAAGATTAATGGATATCGTTAATTCTCAACTTTATGCCATGACTCTCCTGAGGCTCCTATAAAATAGACATGCTCCAAAGAATCTTCTTCACCTATTCCTCATATTTTTTTTTACTTGTACACCTAATGCAAGCCCAAAATGTGTCTTGTGGCTGTTCCAACTTACAGCACTTCAGAGCTAAACTGTGGTAACACTGTGGGTGTATTAGAACACTACCTGAGACTGGGTAATTATAAAGCAAAGAGGTTTAATTGGCTCACAGTTCTTCAGGCTTCACAGGAAGCATAGCTAGGAGGCCTCAGGAAACTTAACAGTCATGGCCGAAGGCAAAGGGGAAGCAAGCACGTTTTATGTGGTGGCAGGAGAAAGGGAGAGAGAGCAGGGGAAATCTCAGATGCTTATCAATTAGATCTCGTGAGAACTTACCATCACAATAACAGCATGGGGGAAACCACCCCATGATACAATCTCCTCCCACCAGGTCTGTCTCTCCACGTGTGGGGATTACAATTTGAGGCGATATTTGGGTGGGGCACAGAGCAAAACCATATCAGTGGCTAATTTCAGAACAGCGTAGGAGTCAAAATATGTTAAATCATCTAATTTATATAAACTGTCTTTTGCTAACTGAGTATTTGAAGTTTAGAGGTTCTGTCTCTGCCACCTCCCTTGGAACTCACTAATTGATTGTCAAAATGAGGAAGAGTGATCTACGATGAAGTTAAAAATATTTAAATCATTTAAACACAGATACCAGGAACAAAGTGAATTGTATTTTATGATTTTTAGCAAATTATTAAAAATATTTAAATGTTGAGACCAATGTTATAAAAATATAGGCCATATTTATACTGCTTCTTGTGGTCCATATTTAATTTTTAATAAATGATCTATGTCTATCCATAACAAGAAAAAACAGTCATTTTGAAATATAATTCTTCCTTATTTCTTTCTGAAAAAATTCTGTATATCTAGTGAATTGAGATTGGTATTATTTGTTCTTATAGAGCTGTCCCTTGGAGGTAAGCCCATGATTTACACAGGATGCTTATGTATTTAAAACTATGGGCATTAAGACTCTCTTCTTACTGCCATAGGCATCAGTGAGATGATCTGAAGGAGAGAGCCGAAAGTGAAAAGCAAATCTTTATTCATTTCTGATAATGTTGAATGGCATAGAAATAATCCCAAAATCCAAAATTGAAACCTAGACAACATTAAAAAAATAACTACTACTAAACTTATAGTTGTAATACCATATGTTGTCTCACGGTAACATTTATCACTCTACTCTTTATAGCAAATGTAAACTTGCTCAGTTTGTTAAAAGATATTTAGGCACTCTAGCCTAGAAATGTAACAAATACTTATTACATTATTTAATAAAAACATATTCTGAGTTCTAAATAAACTCATAAATGCCTATTTATAGATGGGTGATCTAGAATCTATTAAACAAATAGGTATTGTATTCCTATCTGCATAAATTGCTTTTATATCCTTAAAACATTCTAATTATCTCTTTATCCATTACCAAGCCACATGCAAAGGATAACGTCCAATATCATTGAATAATAGTTACTTGGCAATTTTTAAAAATATTTCTTGTTGCTTAAAAGTATTTTGAGCTTGTTTCAAGGTAACTATACTGAAGAAAAACACATATTATATGAAAAGAAAGCTGTTACTGGTTTTGTAGAAAACCAGAAATAGTTAAAATTTATGAACAAAAAAGATTAATTAGTGAACATTTTAATAATTACTGGATTATTTTAAATTATCCAAATTTATCAGAATACAAAGTTCCTCTTTCAACTTGCATGATTCATGTCAGTATTAGCTGTCATATTGCTGCATTATTTTTAAACTAAAATTTCTTTCAATATAAATGGTTCAAAGTTACAGGCAATTACTGAGAAATAAAAATAGACAATTATACTACTTTAATATTAGGGTAGTCTTTTTACCAAACTATTTATTTTACCACTAAATATTATATATCATAAAGAATATGTTCCCCTCATACTTCAGGGTACAGGGAGTTCAAAAACATACATTGGTAGAAAACGTATCTCACCCTTATTTGCTTACAAGGCACATTGTCAGAAGACTCTTTTCACAGCTCAGAGCCATTATATCCCGAATGTCAATTGAAAGTTGTTTGCTTGGTTTCCAGTAGAGAGTTAGTTATTGTCTATCTGTCTGCACTATTCTCATTGTGAGTGACAATCATAGACTATTCTGCTGAATACCACCCCTGTCATTGTTGGTTGGCGTTTGCTACTTGACAATTTTGTCTTTTTTCACCTCACTCCTTACAAGTGGATAGAAAAATCGGGTAAATTCTTCAGAAGAAATACAAAGTCAACTCAGCTTTCAAAACCCTGCCTGCTGTCATTTTCTATAGTTAAGATTTTTACCTGAAGCATTGAATGTCTCACCCTGGCATCAGACTGCAGTAATTAATCATTAAATAGTGATTGAAGCAGTGGACCCCAGAAAATATCTCCATACACTACCATGTGCTGGAGCCAGCTGCAAGCTAGTACTTAGAGAGAAGCAGCACAGAGGAGAACCGTGCCTGACAGTTCCCTGCTGTGAAGTCCAAGTACAGTGTGCTTCTAACTAAGGGCCAGAAACAGAACGCTTGCTTGTGTTGACCTTCATTACCTGACACTGTTTAAAAGACAAAATGTCAGTGTTAATGTACTGGAAGTTTAAACATTTAATCACATTTTAATGAGGACACCAGCACTTTTTTTTTTCACACTTTACATTATTATTTTTCTTCTTTTTTCCCTTAACAAATCACTGTAGCAATATATATCTGTTCACAACAAAAATTAAAATTGACTACACACTAAAAAATAAAAAAGTAATGTATTTTAAAATCTTGTAAAACGTGAAGGAATAGCTAGAGAGATGGATGTTGTCTTCAAATATTTAAAGGACTACTATTGTAGAGAAAATAAATATGTTGTCTGTTTCTCCACAGGGAATTAATAGATCTCATGAGTGTAAATTATTGAAACATATATTTGAATTCAACTTAAGATAGAATGTATCAGCAATTAGAATTGTCTAATAATGCAACAGCCTCTGTCTTAAGAAAATGAGCTTCCCACTACATACATGTACTTAAATGCACTGAGGTTGTAGTAGGAATTCCTTGAGAGAGTAAGATGTTAGAACACATGATTCTATGAAGAGTTTTAAATTCAAGTTTACAAACAATATTGACCAACTAATATATGCTTAACATTGCATTAGATATTTTATTTATTTATTAGATTTAAAAATATGTCAACCTTTCTTGTTTACTGACTATAGAAGGTAACTCTTGTTTACAATAGGGAGTTATTTGTGCTGACATAAAAATTAAAAGTTTGCTTGGTTTGCATTAGATATATTTTATACATCATCTCTATTATCCAAACATACATACATAACTGACATTCATGGATTTTCTTTTTGAACACAACCCTTCAGAGTTGATTGCCAAATTTACAACTGGAGAATGCATTCTAGTCATATTTTTTGTTGCAACTTTGGATAATGTGTTTAAAACAGAATTATTAATCTTATACTAAGAAGATCTACAAAAACTTGTATGATTCACAACTGCCATCTCTAGGTATTGTTATTTTATTCCCATTAAATAGATGAAGCAACCTAATTCAGAATGGGTAAATAACAGTGCCCAAGGCAGTAAATAGAATATCTGAACACAAAGTTGAAGTATTTGAACATGAAAAATTTCCAAGGAACTTCAGTTAATTTCCTGTGAACTATTTTAGCTGTTGTAATATAAAGGTAAAGCTTTGTTCTTCCCAGGTGAGAACACATGAATAGATCAGGGATAAGAAGAGTATTTGCAAGACAGATGAAAGAAAGGGAAAGAAAAAGAAAGAAAGAGAAAGAGGGAAAGAAAAGGAAGGAAGGAGGGAGGAAGGGAGGGAAGGAAGGAGAGAGGGAGGAAGAGAAAAATTTTTATTTGTTAAATCATAGACATTCTAAGTTTACACTTTTTTATTTTATTTAGAAACTGTTATTTTTGTTCCTTTGTTTTCTTGATGCTAATATCAGAAATGTTTATAAAATGACAAAAATATAAATGAGAATATTTACAACTCTGTGTATTTGAGTGGCAGTGTTTCCCTCATAGATGATACTGCATGGCATTTAGTGGTACTTATATTAGTGTGTGTATATGTGCTTTTGGGTGTACAATTCCTTCAAGCAACAATTGAAGGATGGAGGTGAAGGAGATATTTGAGGTTATCTTTTGATTTGCTGAAATGTGGTAGTTTTCCTTTTTGTTATAACTTTGTTATAATGAAATGAGAATTAGAATCAAGAATGGCTCACAAATGGAAATCATCTGATAAGATGTGTGAATACAAGCTTTTTGCCAATTAAAGGTTCTAGTCACGATGACCTTTAATATATTTTTTCTCTTTCTTTAGGATTAAAGTATGTTAATTCCTTATGCATAATTTTAAATCTCAATTCTATTTGAGATCGTAGTGCTCTGTATCTCTACTTCTGCTTTTTAAAATAACAGCTGCTTACTTGAAGACTGCAGTTAGTTGAAAATATATCTATCTTCAGTTTATAGCTTTTGTGCTTTTCTTGGTGGACAGATGTCTTCAGTTTTCTCGTGATTTCCCTCCAAAATTCTATATTAATGCTCAAGACAAAAAAAGAGAATAAAGGGATATTTCCCAAAGCTAGATACCAAGTTTATATTAGTCTTTAAATTTGTCTCAAATTGATTTAGACTTATATTTTATTTATAGGCATCTAATTTCTTTGTCATACACCCTTAAAATATAAGTGTTTCCTGACTTATATTGAAAATATCTTCTAAATAAATTCTAAGCATTAATCTATAATTTTTGAAAAAATAACGCTCTTTCAAGATTAAAGGTAGTACAGTTATCTAATTTAGGACCGAAACATCCATTTTGCTTTCCCATTGTAAACGAAATTTCCTTGAAGTTAAATTTGTCAGTAGCAGCAATTCTTTTTTAAAAATTGTTTTTGTTGCTAATTTGTATCATACAGCTAAAAGTATTCATGGATATATAGTTAAAAAACAAGAAAACCTCAAAAGATCTCTATTTTTAGAAAATTCAGTTTAAATAATGTTGGGCAAATTTGGAGGATCATATATTACTGTTATGAATGAAGCAATATGAAAGGTAAAAACAAAGTTGGCACCTTGTTTCTGAGTCCATTTACTAGGCAAACCCTTGAAATATGTACTGTTTTGTAAAAAATGTACATTTTACTACATCAACTAACACATGTGGGCTAAAGTGGAATTAACATGCCACTGATGTACACACAAATTCAAGCCCTCTGTGTGACATAAATTCAAATAAATACCAATTAATGAAATTTTTAAAATTCAAAGAAAAATGAATGAAGCTATTTGAGAGGTAGTGTACATCTATCTAAGTTAGTTTCATGTAAAGAAGAGTTTCTTGGAAAACATTGTACATCTTTTGCAGTATAAACGTAAAGCAATCAAAATCATTTTTAATTAAAGCTCTTTTTCAGTTCACTAAGGAATACGGAGAGAATGCCAAACTGTGTTAATGTACTCCATTATGACTTTGACTATATTTTACAACTTGAAAAATTTTCATTTTTATGGTGCCATCAGCCTGCTACTTAATAGAAAATGTTTTATTGACATTTATGTTCTTTACCTAATGATGTGTATTTAAATGATGGCTGTCATCTTCATTAGAACTGACTGTTGAAAGAGTAATAAGAATGAGAATACAGAAACCTGGTCTCATTTTAATTGTACAAACTGAGAACATAACATTGGGCTGAACATTTCACCAATTTGACTACAACATTTAATTTAAAAATAATATATATCTCCAATATTGTATGATCATTATTATTGTGATTTATTATGCTTACTGACACATGAAATATATGTATATATGTATATTTATATGTGTTGTTTTCTATTTGTTCTTAAAAATAAATGTGCTGGCCGGGCGGGGTGGCTCACGCCTGTAATCCCAGCACTTTGGGAGGCTGAGGCAGGCGGATCACAAAGTCAGGAGATCGAGACCATCCTGGCTAACACGGTGAAACCCCGTCTCTACTAAAAATACAAAAAATTAGCCGGGCGTGGTGGCGGGCGCCTGTAGTCCCAGCTACTGGGGAGGCTGAGGCAGGAGAATGGCGTCAACCCGGGAGGCGGAGCTTGCAGTGAGTGGAGATCGCGCCACTGCACTCCAGGCTGGGAGACAGAGGGAGACTCCGTCTCAAAAAAAAAAAAAAAAAAAAAAAAGTGCGTATTAATTATTTTAAAACTTTTCATCTGAATGTATTAATTGCATCAATGATTATCAGAAAAATATTAGGCTTGGTATAGAAGTTATTCCAAAGACACAATCTGCTAATATGCCCAGTATTGATTAATATGTATCAATAGAAGTCATTTAGATGTATAATGGATGATCACAAAAATCCTGTTCCTTCAAACAAGTGTTGAATTGTAAGCTATTTTCAGCTTTTATTTAGTTAATTTTTATTAACATTAAACAAGGCAGTAAGAAAATGATTCATTACAGTCACCATTCTATTTCTTGTCAAATTATAATTTGTGGTTTTTTGCTCTTAAAGATATGTTCAGCACTATGTTCTTAAATAAAAAAAAAGTTGTCAAAGTTTTTGTGATCTAGAATAAAGAATCTAAAAAAATTGTACTAAAGAAATTGTATTCAACCTTTACTTCTGTAACTAGCAATACAGTATAGTTTAACTTATTTTTGTAGTGAAGTATTGAATAGAAAACAAATAATATTTACTTCTAAAATGTAACATACATATACTCTATTTCAACTTATTGAGGACATTTATATTTTTCCAGTATAATACCTAATTAGAATTTCTATCATGTCTTCATATTCAGTTATGACTTTATTATTCTGTCCTATGTATTTACCTTACATATAATGCCATTGTTGCATTGATGTACTGTTTTGTAATTATTTGCTTTTGATCCTGTAGTAGAGAGTGTTCAAAATGGCTCCCAATGGTTCCTGTCTCCTGTATAGCCTACTCACATATTGAATCATGGTTGTTCCTGTGTGATAAAATGAATACAAAGTAAATGATAATGTTTCACTTCTTAGGCTAGGTCATAAAATCCAATGTCATTTCTGTTTTGATTTCTTGACTTATCTGCTCTGGGAAAAACCAACTGCCATGTCATGAGGAAGGTCAAGCAGCCCAGTAGAGAGGCCTAGGAGGAAAGAAGCAAAGAACTCCATAAACACCATCATTAACATTTTAGCCATTTACATGGACACTGTCAGACACTTTAGCCTAATCTGACTGTGACTTCATGAGAGACTCCAAGTCCGGTCTACTCAGTGTAGCCACTCTTGATTTTCTGGCCCACAGAAACTATGAGCTACAGTAAATTAATATTGTCATTTTAAGTCATTTTATTTTTGGAGTGAGTTGTTAAACAGCCATACGTAACTAATAAAATGTTTTAATTTCTATAAGTTTTTTGGACATATGGACTGTAATTATTTTCTTTTCTGTATTGCAGATACTTAACACAATGCTAGCCACAAAGTGGAAGCTCACTTAATGTTGGCTGAATTTAAATAAATAAATGTAAATATAATCTCCTTGTTGGTGCTATAGGTTTAGAAGGGGCTTAAAAAAGCAGTAAACATCTATTATTCAAAATTGGCAGAAAAAATTGTCCAACATCAGCTTGGCCAAAAAACTTAAGATTTTAGGCAACAAGGCAATTGATCTAGTTATTCTGATTTAAAAAAATTAACTATCTTAGTAAGCCTAGTCACAAAACGTTCTACTCAAAATTAAATATTTCCTAAGAACTATCTAAAATCTTTAAATGGTCAAGAAAGTTAATTTGTAATGCCTACACTTGATTTTCATCCCCAGTTTTGTTTTGTTTTGTTTTTTCTGATTCTATGGCAGAAATTATTTTTTTGGATCTCAGCTCTTCAGGCATATTAACCAGAAACAAGTAAAAAATAAAAACTATACAAGTAAGGCTTAAATTAATTCTGACAAGCTGTAAATGCTTTTTCTGAATAGATTTTGAGAAAACTGGATTAATTCTACTTAAAAGTAATGACTCTTCATTAATAAAGTTTTAGAATTATTTTTCTTTTATTGAGATGTTCTAAGAATTATTCATATGTAGAATGTTTCTGTATTATAAACATTTTATTAGATACCAATATTAGATATTATATATTATTATAATTGATTCTAGAAGTAGACAATTCTTTTGGATGAAAGAGAAAAACTAAATAATTTTACCAGTTTAAGGTAGAAACAAGATACAAAAAAGATGTGAACCGGGAACAAGAATAAACCTATTATCTAAACACAGGTATAATAATTTTATTTTAAGTGTCTGTCAATCAACTGATGACAAATGATTGGGATTTGATACTAGAATGCCTAATATATCACATACATTTTATCAATTATTTAAATCAAAAAAGGGTTTATCTCTAATATTGTTTGCCTTTCAATGAGTCATTTTTATTGTCATTCTAAATTCTCATGTTACCAAACGACTTCGAATATCTTTAAAAAGAGAGTCCTAAGCTTCAGTGAACTCTGGTAGCGTTTGTTACTGTCCTACAAGAATGAGCCCAGATTGGACGAAGACTTGCATAATTAATTCTCTAACATGGAAGCACCGTTTTGAGTCAACTTTGCATAAATATACCATTGATTTGCAGATTTACTAATTACACCTTCTTATTGTGAATATGTCTGAGGCCTTTTAAAAAAATTAAATTTTGTCCATTTGATACTATAATTTGATTATTTCATAATCAATATAAATAAGACTAAGAAAATAAAGTAATGGTTTCTGTGAAAGAGTAATTTGTTTAATGCCTGAACAGAGGAAAAGACCACAAAGCCAATGATATAAAAACAAAACAACTCACCAATTCATTTTATTGGCTATTAGTAGATGCGGTCATGTTAAGGTGGAGAATGAAACTAGAAGTGAAGAGAATATTATGGTGAACAACAAAGTAAATTGGAGATAAAAATGTAGAGAGATTTAAACATGATCAATAATATATATTCCTTAACTGTCCCCCAAACCAACTTTAACTTTCAGACTTTAAAGATCCCATTTTCTTCCTTCCCTTTTTTCTTTCCTTTTTTTTTCCCTCTTTTTCTTTTTTTTTTTTTTTTTTTTTTGAGCTCTGCTGCCCAGGCTGGAGTGCAGTGGCGCGATCTTGGCTCACTGTAAGCTCCACCTCCCGGGTTCACGCCATTCTCCTGCCTCAGCCTCCCGAGTAGCTGGGACTACAGGTGCCCGCCACCATGCCCGGCTAATTTTTGTATTTTTAATAGAGATTGGGTTTCACCGTGTTAGCCAGGATGGTCTTGATCTCCTGACCTCATGATCCACTCGCCTCGGCCTCCCAAAGTGCTGGTATTACAGGCGTGAGCCACCTCGCCCGGCCTCTTCCTTCCCTTTTTTCTACCATCAAAAATAATAAATTGTCTAAAAGATTTTCTTGGCAGCTAAATACGAATGAAATCCCTCATTTTTGTCTTTTTATTGTTCAGGTGACAATATACAAACTCATCAGTTGCAAGTAAGCTAATTAAATATTAATAATACATATTGATTATTAATGTATATCTCTGAAACTTTTTTCTTAATCTAGTTTAGTCTATTAAAAAAGAACCTTTTCTCTTTGTACTTATTTGTACCTTGGGATAGTTAAATACACTCCTACAGCCACGTTCCCTAATGTGCTTCTTTAATTTTCAAAAGATTCGGCTTCTTATATTCTTGGTAGAGAATATAGCTCAACCCACTATTTAATATATTTTATGATCTTTATGTGAAAGCTACTGCTAGTTAGCTTTAATTAGCTTTGCCAGCCACTTTACACTTCAATGTTGTATTTGTTTTATAATTATTGTGTTAATTTGTTTATTATTTAGTGTCTACCCATTATAGTATCAGGCATATGAGGTAAGAAGCTTTGTCCCAAAACTTACCACAGTGACCGACTTGTACTACGTGCTTAATAAACATTTGTTGAATAAATAAAATCATCAGTACACTGTGAACATAATAAAACCAACTCAACACATTTAGAAGTACAGTGATTAATTGATGTTAAAATATTGGCAGTATAGAATATCTTTATAATGGCTGACATGGGGGGGGTGTCATGTACAATGTGTGACATTTATATCCCTGCAAAACTGTTGATCAGAAACTCAACTCATATTAAAATCACAGAAGTGATTTCCAGACATTGAGTCCAATCCTGGGTAGCCTCAGCCTGGAGGCCTATCCTGCTGATCTTTTTATCTAACTTAACTCCTCTTGGAAAAGGGAGTACAAATAAAATATCAACAAAATGGTTAAGTGATACCTTTTTTTCTTTGTCAAAGTTAAGGGTTGAAAGGTATCAAAATTATCCTCTAACTGTATTTTTAAAATGGAGAACTGGGGCCATGAAATCCTCAGAATGTTATGTGGAAGAGCTGGGGGTTGAAGCTTTTTTGTGCAAATGCTGCTAGCACAATTAAACAATGTGTTTCTGCTTGAACATGGACGATAACGATGTTTTAGAAACAATGGGAAGTGAATAGTTTACATCTTTACTTCCATACAAAAACATATATCTTTGAAAATAATACCTACTAATGAGACATCAGAATGAAGATAAAATTAGTGACACAAAGCATTTTCACACATTTGAGAGAAAAACAGGAAGCAGAAAACACAAATCACATAACAAAATGCAGTACATTATTTTAATATAATGAAACATAATGAGATTCTGGAGTAAAATAATATTAAAAAGTACATACATTAGATATTTTATTTGAACTTTTGACATTAAGGAAATATGCACCTATATATGACTTAATATGCCCCCATGGTTCCTCTTTAATATAACACATAAAGTATGAACATTTTCCCACTGTCTACATACTTTTGCAAAATTAAGTCACATTAGAGTAGGTAAAGAATATAATTTCCCTCGATTTTAACTCCTAAGTTCCTGTGTTCTGGTATTTTGAAGATAATGTTATAATTAATATATTTCAATGTATAAAAGATTTTAAAATATTTATAAGTATGTAATATACTTAATACATAAAGCCTCTCTATTCAACATCTTCCCAAGTGATTCAGGAATAGCAACTTTATTTTGCAATTTTGAAAGTAGAATACTTTTAAAGTATTTAAACTATGTTTCATTATATACAATTTATATGCATGTGATCTCAAAATAATCTAAAATATCTAAAACCCTTGAGAGAGGCCTTCTCATTGTAAGCTTTAGAGAAACTGGCAGATGTCAGGGAAGATACATTGAGGCAGTGAGTTGCTTTCTATTACATTCGATTCAAAATAGAACAAAAAGTCACAGTTTTTTTGTTGTTGTTTTGTTTTCTACAAGACAAAAATCAAATAAAGAACTCCTCTCAGACTCAAAAACACATATTGGAGCTACAAACTAATACACATCGCAGCAAATTAATAATGGAACATGCCTACCAGCAGAAATTTGACATTTGCTACTTCATTCAGCAAACATTTGAGTCACTGAGGTTTCAGAAACACAATCCCAATTTAAAAGAACATATAATGATGAGAAAGACACACAGACATTTGATGGGGCAAACATTATTTACATATGGGTATCTGAAGAGAGGATTCTTACCATTCAGGCTTAACTTTAATCCTTTCTTCTCCCTTTCCATCCTCTACCCACTTCTTACACTTATTGAGACAAGAAGACAAATCGCTGAAGTCAGATACTGCAACAAAATGACAACGGGCATTAGAAGAAGAAAAACGCTCCCTCATCACAATGGAGCAAGAGTGTTGCATAGTGACTAGCTGGAGCCTCCTGGAGGACAAGGCATGTAGAGCAGGAAATAAGCACAATACGGGTAAAATGAGACAATGTCAGAATAGGACACCTTGGTTGAAAGAAAATGTATTTGTGGAAGAAAAAAGAACCTTCTGGGAGATTCTGAAGTCTAGTGGTTGGGTGACGAGGCTGAGGCAGGAGAATGGCTTGAACCTGGGAGGCAGAGCTTGCAGTGAGGTGAGATCGCGCCAATGCACTCCAGTGATTAAATATCTATTTTATTTAACAATGTACTTGTAGCACCTGATATATTTGAAAGAGCTTAAAGATTAAAATATTTTAATTTCTGTTTATTTTGGGCTGCATTGAAGATAACATTGTTCTAAGACTGGACTGGGTTACTGATTTTTAAGCAATAAACAAATGGCAAAATTACCAAAGTTACTTAGATAAGAAATACTGAGAGAAGGCCTGTTTTGGAAAGAAAGATGATGAATTCAGTCTAGATATATGAAGTTGAGATACATTTGAAATGCCAACAATGAGATAGAATACATACTGAATGTAAGGCCTGAAGCTCAGCCGAGAGTTCTAGAGAGATGGACCAACAACAGGTCAATAAACGAAACTTAGGGCCAAGAGAAGAATCCAGTATTTCCACCTCATGGCAGGAATTACATAGTCCTTACCAAATTGATATGTAACACAGAGAAAATTTAATTGGTTTCTAGACTGTGCTTATACTATAGTGATTCTTAATAATTATACCCAAACTTCTGTTAAAGCCTTGAAAAAACCTTTAGAAAATGAAGGAGAAATAACAAATTCCATAAGTAAAGAGACAAAAAAAAAAAAAAAAAAGGAAAGTGGCTAGGATCCATAGGATTCAACACAAAAATATATACTGAAAATTCAGAGGTAAAAGGAATGTAGTGAGATGTAACCATGGAAATTTAAGATTCTAGTTACCCTTAAAAATCTTTTGAGAGAAGGTGGACAATGAATTTCATGTAAGTTACAGGATTAAATACTGAAGCTGTTTTATTTTAAAATTAAAATTATGAACCAATAAAGATAGAGAATTGGGGACATTTTATTTACACATTTTAAAAGGAAAAAAAGGCAATCTAGATGTAAGGGAAACAGAGAAAGTCACAAAAAACTTGAAGCATATACCATGAGAAGGTCTCCAAAATAATCACATATGGTGAAAGCCTGGGTTTTAAGGTGAAAGCACAGTACTAGGGTGACAAAAATTTGCCAGTTAAGTAATTAAAAATATTATTTTACTAACAACAAATGTCACTTGCTACTCTTTAAGCTCCAAGAGATTTTGTCTGAAAGATCCTCGGTTCTTAGAAGCATGATTGGTTTAAGTAGCTGGCACTCATTAAATGCTTCTTGAATTAATATGGGTATATGGATGAAAACACACAAACACACACATACAGGAATATATAAAGAGAGAGAATTACACTCCTTTGTTCTTGCTATAGATTATAAAAGCTGCTGTTAGAAAGGCCCATACTGGAAAGAGGACAGGAGAAGAAGAAACCCTGTAGGAGTAGTGAAAACCATACAAGTAGCACATTGTCTTGAACCAGACAATCCTCTAAGGATTGTATTAGTAGTTAACAATTCACTGGCAGTTTTAAGATATTTGTGCACTGAAAGCTACAACTAAACTAGTAAGCACTGACAATGCTGTGAGGGTGATGGAATAAGACCCATCTTCTAAAATGGCTGGTGTCGATTTGGGAATTTAGCAGCTATGTTCAAGCAGAATTGATTTTTCTCTTATCGTGTCTGCCCTCTGCTGAAGACATAGGGTGCCAATGGAGAATTAATCATATATTCTGATATATAACATTGAAACTTTTAATTAAAATTCAAGTAGCTAAAAGTGGATACAGTAGACAGTTGGACAGACTATTTGGCAGAAGCTGTGTTCTAGAAAAAAAAAGATAGAGAAACAATTTCTCTACATGACTGCTTTGGAGCTCTCTTCTCTCAGCCATTCTTGGTGCGTAAAGTGAAACTTTACCCCAAATGCATACTATTTGGAAACAGAAAAAGCTTTTTTTGTTGAAGGATACAATGGAAAATGCATAAATCAACCTTCTCTATTTGGATGACTTTGGTAATTTGCATTCATCTGTTTAAAGAGAGTTGTCTTTGGAGACTTCTTATTTTTACATAAAAATTACACTCAGCATCTCCCAGCTTCTTTTGTTCACTAAAATTAGATTTGCTCACTTATGCAATTCACAGGACCTAATTTGTTCAGAGGGAAGTCACATGCTATTTACAGCATGTCCTTTCTCACTTACCTTCCTCAAAAAAAAATTAATAATATGGCAGCTCCCCTTCCGTGGCACAGTGCAAGTGCTGGTGATTCACGGGGTGCGCTCCTGTGGGCAAAAGGCCACCTCTCTATTACAAAACAGAAATGAAAAATTGGCAAAAAAAAAAAAAAAATAAGATTTGCAAGTATCATGGGATTTTGTGAGAGTAATTACACTGGCTTTCAATATTAATGAACTTTTGGAGGACCATCCATGAAGCAGTCCATTGAATCTTCAGCTTCAACCATTCTAGTCCTGTGTCTTTGCTGATAATGGAGTCCTAACTGTATACCAATGCTGAAAAACTCAAAGACTGCTCTCGTTATCATAACTGTAGTGCAGTATTCTATCCGCTGAATGTATAACCACACTCTAATTTGGAAAAGTATTAGCAGGGCATTTGCAGAGGGAAGTGTGTTTGCTATGCTATATGAGATTCTCATATATTGATATATATGAGAATATATCAAGAGATGATCAGAAATGAACAGTGTATGAACAGTAAATACATATTTTTAAGATGGTGTATATAATTCCTCTACTGTGCTTTATGAGCCTTTAAAACATATCACCTGCTAAAATAAAACAGGCTATTTTTATATATGCCTGTTTTTGTCGCTTGCATGGTGTGTAAACTTGAGAAAATTATAATAGATATTTCTAAGCTTCAGTTTTCTAACCATAGAAGAGGGATAATAGAATATGCTACAGAGCATTTGTGAGGGCACCAGTGACAAACCATCAGAGCCAGCTTCGTGGACATGGGAACTGCCTACACACACAGCACAGCACCCTGTGCTTAGAGGAGCCCTGCAGTTAGTTTAATGCTCTCCTGTTGCTCTATGGAAATTCTTAATAATGTTTGAATAGGGCCCCCCAATTTTCATTTTCCACGGGGCACATAAATTACATAGTTCTTTCTGCAGTTAATAAGTCGTCTGGCCCAGTGATTGCCATATGTTAAGTGTTCAATATTTATTAGTGTCGTATTTGCCCTCCTCCTAAATGTGCAGGGTCAAAGTCAATCAAAGGGTCTACTGCTTTATACTGGTTTCTCACACTCTTAGGCTCTGGAAATCAGTTTGTTTCATTTCCTCCTCTTGGCCGCCTTTTCCCACATTACGTTTGAGGTCACATTTCAGTACTGGCTGCACATTATCTAACAATTTACTAGGCCCACATGACCTCTTTCCTGGGCCTATAAAGAACCTCATTTAAAGCCTTTGGGAAATAATCACTTGATCACTTTTCACAGTGAGGAACTTGCCCTTAGGGCTAGATTGAAACAGAAAGTTAAGAAAACGGCTAATGGTGCATTGGGATGTAGTTTTAGTTTGGGTGTTCAGCTCAAATCTAGGTTTTTTTTTTTTTTTTTTTAATTGCTTTGGGTCTGGTGTCAGGTCTGGGCTTTGGAAAACCAAATCACAGAATATCTAGTTTATGTCCGTTCTAGCCCCTATGAACTATATTTCATCATTGATGGTACAATCACGTAGGTACTTTTATAGCCAATTAGTATACTAGTGTCAACAATAAAAGCAAGTGTGACATTTTATATATAGTTAATATCTGAATATGCATATTCAAATATAGGCAGGTATTCCAGATCAAATTGAAAGTAAAACTAGTTCTAAGGTACTTTTTGCATTGACATTCTACTAGTTATTGGTTATATATGTTTACTTTTAATTATAATAGAAAATGCTACAATAATTCACAGGGGTGAAGTTGTTAATTGTATGTTCAAAAACAATTAAGGACTTTGAAATAGATAAATAGTGAAATGAGAGTTAATGTGAATACTAAGAAAGTGAATTATATAAAAATCTTTAGAAAGATTATATACTTTTGAGCCAACAAATGTTTATGTAATTTAGATAATACTAGAAAAAAATAAAAATTAGATTATCTCATGATTTTTATTGTTATGTAACTAGGTGTAATAACATTATTAACTTTAAACAACATATAAACTCTACACATTTTAGCTAGTTATTTATACTTAGAGTATGAATCTTTCTAGAAAACAGTTATAACTGATAGTTTTTTAAAACATCTTATGAGGATAAAAAGCAAAGAACCAACTTTCAGTCTCAAAATTTCATTGAGAAGAAAATCCTAAATCATTTAAAAGTAACATTCATGACAAATCATCTTTGAGTCAGATATAATGAACAGCATAGAGAGAATGAAGAAAAATGAAAGTGGCATAGAAAAATTAGATACCTCAAGCAGATACCAGCTCTCACTAATAACCTTCAAAAGAGTATACTTAATAGAAATGCATCATCTTACTCATCATCATTTTAGAAGTAGAATAAAATTGCTTAATTAAATAGAAGACTGAAATGATCTTAAAGTTCTCTTAGTTTAGTTTTGTTGTTGTTGTTTGTATTCAATGCCTTTATTGCAAAATAATGTTGCACAATAGTGGATGCTGACAGAGCAAGCCAACAAAATACTTTTCTTCTCTACCAAATTCATTTGCAAATGAGCATTTATTTAGAATGGCAAATGTGCAGCACATTGATCTAAGGAGTAATCTCAGCTAATGGTACAAATAAATATTTGCTCCTCTACTTCATTCAAATATTGACATTTTAATATTCTTTGTGGTTAAAATTGTATTAAAATTAATAATTGTGAATACCAACAATTTATTTTATTATGATAATATTTTTAACACTGGGTCTTTTGGCATTTGGCCAAAATATATATTCTGGATACAAATACCCTGCAAAATAAGAAACGTTAAAAAGTTACAAAGATGGCAACGTTGATAGCATATTTCCTTGATTATAATTCTCTGTTAGACCTGTTACATGGAAACCCCTGTTGGACCTTTGTTTTTGAATTATATCTGAGAGTAAAGCTCCCACTCAGTCATTTCCTCAGTCATTTATAATGTTAATTTAATTATATTTTATTTTAGACCTTATATTATGTATTTAAACCTTTTTAAGATTGGATACATTTTTTCTTACTATAATAACAATTGCCTGAGATTGGAAAACATTATAATATTAATAGCATTTTACAATAATATCACAAAATAGTATTAGTTTTTTGTAATAAAATATTAAACCTTCATATTTTTGTATAAATTTGAAAAAATAATTTTCATCAACAAATTAAATTTTTAAATTTATGTAGATATAGCTTAAAAATCCTTTATGTTATTTTGAAAATTTGAAATTTTCAAAAAACACGTAACAGCAAATGCATTTGTTTTTAATAACTGAAAGCATTCATCTCTCTTTTCTCTTATTATTTTTTTTTCTCTCCCACCCAACGTTAAAACAAATGGACTCATACTCATCATATACCTTATTTGAGGGAGATAATTTATATATAAATTTATACAAGCACACACATGTATATTTAATATATGTTGTAAATAAACATGTTTATTAGGTGCATTAAATTTCTCATTTTACATATAAATTCAAAAAGAAAATGCTTATTTTTTAAAAATACAAATTATTGATACACCCCAAATTTGGAGGTCAATGCTAGAAAAACGAAAATGGCTCCCTATTCTTTACTTATTGTTAGATGAGTATAAAAGATAAACACAATAGTTTTTCTGAGTATTTAACCAGATTATAGAGCTATTGATCCATTAATTCAGTTGTAGAAGAAAATGACACTAAATGTGTGCTATTCTTCCCATGCATTTGTATACAAATGAAGTCAGCTGAAACCTATTCATTTATTTTTTGATTCATTAATTCATGCCACCTGTCTATAAGCATTATTCTAGAAGACTGGAGATACAGTCATAACAAAGAGAGGCAAAATGCTTGATTTTATGGAGCTTACATCATGATATACTGAATGCCATAGACAATAAATCAAGAAGCGGATAAAGCCGTTGGGAAGGGCTTTCTGATTTGAGGTCCGATTAAAGGCTCATTAGTAACTTTTAAAAAGGGGAAAATGAAAATGACTTGAGAAGGGTAAAAATTTTTAGCATAGCAGATTGTAGGGAAATTGTAGAAAGATGCTGGGTTAGAGAACATCTTTTGTTCTGCTTTAGTAATGATTGGAGACAGGGAGTTATGGCTTGGTTATGCACATCTAAGCCTGAAGTATTATCTCAGCAATAGTAAGACAATGACATTGAGAGATGCCATCCGGAGTGACACAGAAAATGGGCCTGCCATGATTAACCCACATCTAGGAATATGTATTAGTACCCTAACTCCTAGTTTTTAATTGATTCCAAGACAAAAGATATAATGTTTGTCTTTATTCTATAATGGAAACTAAAATTATGTCTCCATTTCTTTCTCATGTCCTTTAAAAAATTATTGAGATATAATTCACATACCACACAAATAATCTATTGAAAGCATATGATTCAATGATTTTCATATATTCATTCAGTGTACAACTATCACTACGTTGAATTCCAGAACATCTTTATCATCCCTAAGAAACCATGTACCATTAACAGTCACTTCCATTCCCACCATCCCCAACCTAATTTTTGTCTCTATAGATTTGGTTATTCTGGACATTTTATGTAAATGGAATCATGTCATATGTCATCTTTTGTGATTGGCTTCTTCCATTTAGCATAATGTTTGCAGGGATTATTCATATAACATGCATCCGTCCTTCATTTCTTCTTTTTTTTTTTTTTTTTTTTTTTTTTTTTTTTGCAGAATAACACTCTATTGTATGGAAATACCACATTCTATTTGCCCTCTCATCAATTGATGAGCATTTGGATTCATTTCACTTTTGACTATAATAAATAATGCTCTTATGCATATTCCTAAACACGTTTTTCTATGGGCAGTTTTAAAATTTCTCTTGAGGTTACACCTAGCAGTGCAATTGTTGGGTTTAACATTCTCAGAAGGTACTATTTTATATTTCCGCCAATACTGTATGAGAATTCTCATTTCTGTTCCTTAGCAAATTAGCACAGTAACAGAAAACTAAATACCACATGTTTTCACTTATTAATGGGAGCTAAATTATGAGAACACAAGCACACAGAGAGGGGAACAACACACACTGGGGCCTATTACAGGGTAAAGGTTTGGAGGAGGGAGAGGATCAGAAAAAACAACTAGTGGGTACTAGGCTTCATACCTGGGTGATGAAATAATCTCTACCAGGTGAAAAAAAAAAGCGTTCTCATTTCTTCATACCACCACCAAGATTTATTTTTATCTATCTTTTTTACTATAGCCATTCTAGTGAGTGTGAAGTGGCGTATTATTTTAGTTTTGATTTGCATTTTACTAACAGCTGACAATGTTCAGCTTCTTTCCATGTGCTTTGTGCTTGTTGGACATTTACATAGACTTTCTGGAAAAAAAGTCTAATCAATTATTTGTCTATTTTAATCCTTTGTTGGTCTTTTATTATGGAGTTGTGTGTTTTTTATGTATTCTGAATGCAAGTGACATAACAAGTACCTGTTTTGCAAATAATTTCTTCTATTCTGTGGTTTACATTTTCACTTTGTGTTTTTTGATGTATAAATAATCTTAATTTTTATGAAGCCCAGTTTATTTTTATTTCATTGCTTGAGCTTTTGGTGTCATATCTAAGAAATCACTGCCTAATTCTAATTCTATGTTTTTTCCCTAAAGTTCCTTATAAAAGTTTTATAGTTTTAGATTTTTGATCTTTTTGAAGTTAACTTTTATATATGATGTGATGTAGGTCTAACTTCATACATGTAGGCTCAGCTTTAATTGCAGAAAACACTATTACTTCCCCATTGAATTGCCATGACACCTGTCTTGAAAATCAATACTGTAAGTGTTCAGATTTTCCTCTGGACTCTCAATTATATAACATCGATATATATGTTGGTATATATGTCACTATGACAGTATATATGTCACTACAACACCGTCTTGTGTCTTACTGACTCAAGTACTGTCTCACTGTAGCTTTGAAGTTTGTTTGGAAATCAAGAAGTACTTAGGGGTTAAATTATAGTTGGAAAAAACATTAAGAAGAAGCGAGGAGAAGGAGGAAGAGAAGAAAAAAGAAAGAGGAGGAAGAGAAGACACTCAAATCGTTAATTTAATTTTCCACCTTACGCTAGAAGAAAAAAGAGCAAACTGAAGGCAAGGACAGGAAACAATAAAGATTTGAGTGAAAAATAATGAAATAGTAAATGGAAAATAATAAAATTACTTATCAAATTTAATCAAAATTGGTCCTTTGAAAAGAATGACAAATTTGAAAAATCTTTAGCTAGATTGACCAAAAATGTAATCAAGTTTCTAAAATCAGGAATAAAGGAAGTGATATTGCTACCAACCTTACAGAAATACAATAGATGATAATATAATGTGTGTAGTTTTTATACTGACAGATTTCTTAGATGACATGAACAAATTCCTAGAAATACACAAATTATCTGAACTGATGCAAGAAAAGCAGAGTAATCAAAAAGACTCATAACAAGAGCTGAAATCAGTAATAAAAAAATTTCCACATAAAAATTTTTCAAGCTCAGATGGCTTCATTGATGACTTCTACCAAATACTTAAAGAAGATTTAATAGCAAGTCTTCACAAGCTTTCAAGAAATAAGAGGGGAACACTTCCCAAATTATATACATTGTTATCTCTACTAAAAATACAAAAAATTAGCCAGGCGTGGTGGCAGGTGCCTGTAATCCCAGCTACTCAGGAGGCTGAGGGAGGAGAATTGCTTGAACCCAGGAGGCAGAGGCATAGTAAGCCGAGATTGGGCCACTGCACTCCAGCCTGGGCAACAAGAGTGAAACTCCATCTCAAAAGAAAAAGTTACTATGCAAAATTATATATACTTATATAGTTATAAAAGACAGCATAAATGCATATTTTACTTCTTTCTTCTCTTAAATGATTTTTAACAACTATATAAACAACATGGGTATAACTGTTGTTGAGACTATAACATATAGAAATGTAGCATATTTAGCAATAAAAACATAAAGGAGAGGGTTGGAACAAAGCTGTACAAGTAAATAAAAAGAAATGGCAAATAAGGTTAATAAACTATGTATATATATGTACATATATGTATGTGTATACACACACACACACACACACACACACACACACACAGTTGTTCTCCAGTCTTCAGTCAGCATCCTTGAAATACATAAATTTATACAGAGTATAATTATTACTATATTTTTGGTCTGTAAATATGTATAGCAAAAAACACATACAGGAAAATAAACTAGAGGTATATAGGAGTAACATTTCTATCACTGAAATTAAGTTAGAGGAATTTGAAATAGATTCCAATAACAAAAGAATTATACGATAAAACGTATAAAACCCACGAAGACAATAACAAAAATATAGTGAAAAATCAATAAAATAATTTAAAACATTACACTAGAAAATGTTCATTTACTGGGGAAAAAAAGCAGTAAACAAGAACTAAAGGAACCAAAAATGCATGACACATATAGAAAACCATAAAATAGTAAAGATAATCCAACTATATCAATAACAACATTAAATGTGAATAGATTTGATAATCCAATTAAAAGACAGGATTCTAGGGATGGATTGTTAAAAGTATGATTCAAATATGTGCTGTCTACAGAAAACAGACTTTAAAACTCTTTTTGACAGCAAGTAAAAAGTTGGAAAAAGTTATTTTATGCCAAAAAATAACATGAGAGGCTGGGTGCTGTGGCTCATGCCTGTAATCCCAGCACTCTGGGAGGCTGAGGTGGGTGGATCACGAGGTCAAGAGATCGAGACCATCCTGGCCAACATGGTGAAACCTCATCTCTACTAAAAAGTACAAAAAAAAAAAAAAATTAGCTGGCGTGGTGGCACGTGCCTGTAGTCCCAGCTACTTGGGAGGCTGAGGCAGGAGAATTGCTTGAACCTGGGAGGCAGAGATTGCAGTGAGCCGAGATCACGCCACTGCACTCCAGCCTGGAGAGAGAGCGAGACTCTGTCTCAAAACAAAACAGAAAACATGAGAATCCTGAAGTTGCTCTACAAACATTGGACTAAATATACCTTAAGCCAAGAAATGTTACTAGAGATAAAAATAAGCACAACTTACCAGGAAGATATAACAATTATATACTCACCTGACATCAGAGCTCTAAAATACATGAAGCAAAAGCTAACAGGTTTTAAGGAAGACACACACACACACACACATATATATACACATATATATATACACACATATATATACACATATATAAGTATATTATATATGTATATATGTATATGTATACACATATACGTACGTGCGTGTGTGTGTGTGTGTGTGTGTGTGATCAACAATACCTGGAAATCAATATCACACGTTCGGTAAAGGATAAAACAACTAGGCAGAAGATCAACAAGTCATGTGCCACCTACTGTCTTCTATCCTCTTTGTCTATGAAGAGAAGCCAGCTGTTAATCTTCTTAGGATTCCTTTTTATATCATGAGTCATTTTTCTTTTGCTGCTTTCAAAATGTTCTCAATTTTGACTTGCTGCATGTTAACTACAGTGTATTTGGTTTTCTATACCTTTGTATGTATGTATGTATGTATGTATGTATGTATGCATTTAGAGGCAGGGTCTTGCTCTGTTGCCCAGGCTGAAGTGCAGTGGCATGATCTCGGCTCACTAAACCTTCACCTCCTGGGTTCAAGTGATTCTTGTGCCTCAGCCTCCTGAGTACCTGGGATTACAGGCACCTGCCACCACCTCCAGCTAATTTTTGTATTTTTAGTAGAGACTCGATTTTGCCCTGTTGGCCAGGCTGGCCTCGAACTCCTGACCTCAAGTGATATGCCCACCTTGCCCTCCCAAAGTGCTGGGATTACAGGCATGACCTTAAAAAAAATTACAGCATGCAAAATAAATTACGTGCCCAGCCATATTTATTTTACTTAGAATTCTTTGAGCTCCTTGATGTAGATTAAGGGTTTCTATCAACTTCGGAAGGTTGGCAACCATTAATTCTTTGAATATCTGTGTTTTATGTCTCTGTCTAATAGTCCTATTTTACTGCACTTAGTAGTGTCCCACATTTTTCTGAGGTTCTCTTTATTTTCCTTCATAACTTTTATTTCTGTTATTCACATTGCATAATTTCTATCAATCTGTCTATTTGGCTGATTATTTCTTTGGCTCAAATCTACTGTTAAGCCACTCCTGTAATTTTTTTTTTATTTCAGTGAGTTTTCTTTCTATACATTGGAATTTCCATTTGTTTCCTTTTTAACTAATTTTTATTTTTTATTGATATTCTCTATTAGATATTATTATCTTTTTTACATCTTTAAGCATGATTTTCTTAGATATTTAAAAATGTTAAAAAATTTATAATGTCTACTTTGAAATATTTTTCTGTTAAATTCAACAGTGGAACTCTCTCACAGCCATTATTATTACCTCTCCCCATGTCACCTACATTCTGATTGCAAGTTACATTTCTTTTATTGCGTTTCTTGTAATTTTTTATTGAAATCCAAACAATTTAGGTACGTACTGTAACAGTTCTGGACACTACTCTTTCTCCTGTATCCAGGGTTACTTCTTGTTGTCATTATTGTCGTGGTTTTCTTGTTTATTTCTTTAGTGATTTCTTTGGACTATTTTAGTGAAATCCATTTCCTCCTCAAGGTCATGCTACCGATAGTGCTTCTCAGAGGATGTAGCGTTGGGCATATGTACAGTCACCCTAAGATTACAGTAGTTTTAGAACCTTTGGCTCTTTCCCTGACCTCTCTGCCTTTTCTGGTACCATACTCAGCTTTTAGGTTCCTTGAATTTGCTGAAGACTGCTTTACTGTGTCAACAATATCCTGGGGGTATACATTTCTCCATTGCCTGATTCAATTAAACATGAGCCTCTTTGTAGGAATACTGTATGAGGCCGGTTCAGACTACAAGAGAACATTTATTACTTGTCTCTTTCCATGGTTCTCTCTGGCAAACTAGCTTGCCTAGTTTATCTTATTTCTCCAATCGAGATAGCAGATTCCTCTTAATGTTAATTAACAAAATGTCCTTTTTTTTTTCTTTTAGAACAACCACTGATTTGATCTTTCCTATTCTGTGTTTCAAATAAAATAAGTTCCCTATATTTGAAGTTCTCTGTTCCTGTGGACTGTCCCTCCTTCTGGGTAAAATCTCTGAGCTATTGCTCCAAACTTGGGGATAGGAATAATAATCTGCTTCTCAAGGAGCAGGGTGCTCAGTGGGGACAATAGCTTCTGGTTTTCTAATTTGCTTCTCTTGGAGTGCAACCTCTGCCCAGTGAGTAAGCTCAGGAAAGGGCTATCCAGATCCCTATATCTTTGCCTACTATCTCTAGGGTCCAGAATCTGTCCTGTGAGTGGGGCCCGGGTGCAGGAAATGAGCCCCAAATTACTTGCCATGCCAGAATGCACATGCCAGGAATATAGCCTTTGGAACTTGTACCTGGGATGAAAACAAATGCTGGCAACTTGCTTGTTCCAATAAAAATCATATCCCATGACTAGGAGCTGAAGGATGAAGGAACCCTGTTTTCTAGGGCACACTCTACCAGCTTCGAGCATCCAGGCACTGAAAGGACAGAAAGAGTTGTCATTCAAATGTCATAGATTCTTGCTATTCTTATCAAGATTAAGTAGTTTTTCTCGTTTCTTCATTTGCTGTATGCCATTTGAGCACTTCCAGAGGTATTCAATGGTTGGGTTTAAAAATAATTTTCAAAAATTATAGTTGTTTCCTGGATGGGGATATGTTCATGGAGGCCCTCATAATGACATTCTAAAAGTCTTTTTTAAAATTTTTAACTTGTATTTAGGCAGGTTTAGGAAGAAGCTTACATTGTCTTCTTCCGCTTTTGAAATTGCTATTAAAACCAAGATTCCAGGCTTTTAATTATAAAATATTTATTCTAGGACGGTGGACCATTCAGAGAGAAACTAGTAAAGAAGAACTATCATGTCTATCCTAGTTGTATCTACATAGGTTGAGACAATTCAAATTGTGCCTATTTTACTTGATGACACTGCATAATTATGATAAAAATAATTTTAAAAATAATAAAATTGATTTTAGAGACCACTTTAGATTGACAAGAAAAAAGTGTGGAAAAGGAATTTAGAAATGAAAGAGAAATAAATATTTTATACCAAGCATTATTATCAGATGGACTTTAGCATTAAGTAGCAAAGAAATAGTGTACTTTCTTACTAGTAAATTTGTTTTATAAGTTAACCTTCTAGTATTCCAAACTATGAAATTCGAAATAATAGTGTTATAGGTTACAGGATTTTTCTCCAGATGATGTACTATTGCTAATTTCCTATGTCACATCCACTCCTCAGAGTCAATCTTTGATCTTCTGCTAGAAAGTTGGGCTCACTTTCACTGTTTTCTCTTGTCTGTCTCTGTCTCTTTCTTTCCTCCCTTAACACTTTTTTTTCCCCCTATTTATTCTGTTGTCATTTGTTTTTCTCTCTCGTTTTTTTTTTTTAACTCTACACGTTGGCTGTTTCTAATTTTCTTGGTTTTAAGATCACATTTCAGATTTTTGCCTCTTAAGTTTCTTTGTCTTTTACAGACACTTGAAGAATGTATGTTGGGTTGATATTGATATAAAATACACTTATACCTTTAAGGCCACCCATATTTGTGTACTCTGGTTCATCAAATAGGCATTGTTTAACTTCCTTCACCATTAAAAAGAATGTTAACCGAGTTCATTTATTTATTTAATCATGTATTCATATTTACTCTTTGCTTTTGCAAACTCTTATTTCTAAAAGAGATAGGTCTCAATTTATAAATCTGTTTTTAGTATAATTTTCTGTTAGACTTTTTTTTAATATAACATATATTGTCTTCCATGTCACCCTATTTGGTTAACCCAACTATCTTTGACCTGAAAAGTGGTCATTTATGTTCTATATACTCCAAAAGTTGAACAACTAATGGTCAAGAACATTTTGTCAGGCCTCTGAGCCCAAGCTAAGCTATCATATCCCCTGTGACCTGCACGTATACATCCAGATGGCCTGAAGTAACTGAAGAATGACAAAAGAAGTGAAAATGGCCCGTTTCTGCCTTACTTGATGACATTACCTTGTGAAATTCCCTTTCTGGGCTCATCCTGGCTCAAAAGCTCCCCGACTGAGCACCTTGTGACCCCCATCCCTGCCCGCCAGAGAACAACCCCCTTTGATTGTAATTTTCCACTACCTACCCACATCCTATAAAAACGGCCCCACCCCATCTCCCTTCACTGACTCTCTTTTCAGACTCAGCCCACCTGCACCCAGGTGAAATAAACAGTCTTCTTGCTCACACAAAGCCTGTTTGGTGGTCTCTTCTCACAGACACGAGTGAAAGTTTTTATAACTCAATGCTCAAATAGAATATTTTGCAAATGAGACATAAAATGTCCTAGGTCAGATTATATTTTTAAAAAGAATGGCTTATTATTTGCTTCTGTTTGTAATATTTTACCAAATCTTATATAAAAAATTAGGCCCAGCAAACTGCTTTTATCCTAGGCTATAAAAGAGTTGGAGTGAGAAGGGTAGGTCAAAATACAAATCCTACAACAAATGTACATCTATTACTGCCTACAGACTGTGATTCTTTTTCAATAAGGAATGTTTGAACAACTTTCACTGGTGACGTGCTATTCCTCTCTGCTCAAGAATTAATTAGAACATGTTCCAATAAAAACCTCTAGCATGAATACATGGAACCAGACCATGTTCTGTGTGCTGTGTCATCTTACGTGATAAGCCACACTATCCTTCAATAGACGCACATTGCTTACATTTTTAGAACTATTAGCTGGAATAATTGTGAGACATTCTAGGCAATGTTCAATAGCCCATGCAGATGCCTGACAGGGCATGTTGTCTCTTAATTAGAAATTTGAATGCCTAATGCTTGTATATTAGCTGAAATAATTGGATAGATGTTTTACATTTCTTTCACTGTTACTGACAGCGAAGCCAGATTAGCTAGAATCACATCTTTAAAAAACATACATATGTATATGTGAAAGTTGTTCAAACATTCCATATATATGTATGCTACACAGAAATTAAATATTCTGAATATTTAAATTAATACTTAAATATAAATGTATGAATATATGGAATATCTATACATGTTACATTGAACTTAAATATGTAGCTGATTATTATATTTAGTAGACATTGTTTCAATAATTCTTTTGGGCTTTTAGTCCAGTATTATTATGGTATTATACACATTTTGGTACACCCCGAGTCACCTCCTATTACTACCAGATATCTAAGTTAAATGCTTTACTTTTTTTTTGGTAAATATCTGCTCTAATTAGGTTGCATACACACTGTGTGTTTCTGTTCGAAATGTGTCATTAGGATAGTACAAACATATGTATTGCTTATATTTAAAATGCTTGATAACTTAGTGTTTATTCACAACTGTTAATACAAAATCTGTTTTTAAACATAACAAATTGCTGTCTATTAGGAATACACATAATGGCCTATTTCCATAAACATCTTTAGTAAAAGATATCTTGATGTGCAAAACCCTGCAGACATTTTATGGAAGTTAGACAATATTTTGCAGAAGTACCTCAGAGCCATATTGTTTTTGCTTAATATTCTGAGAAGAGGATTATGATTGCCTGATAATGTGATGTGAAATAAAGGGTCCTATACAGAGGTGAATATGAAGCTTTATATATTTAAATATATGTCTCTCTTTGTTTTGCTTATGTACCTTATTAGCAAGATTTGTATACATAAAACAAGACATTATTTGAGAACTGCATGCTGTGTATGCTCTCACATGTAAAATCAGATTAATGTTGATTATATACAAAAAGAAGGATTGCTGTCGCGGGCTCAAAGACTCTTAAGAGATCTAAGTTTTGATGAAAAAAGGTATTTAACAATTAAAACAGCTCTATTTTTCTGAGGAAAAATATGGAGTTTGTCTTACACCAGAGAGTTGTGGGATTCAGAAATGTTGAATGTCAAACAAAGATATGCATATCAGCTTTTCTGTAAACAATACAAATTATTCCACATTAGATTAATGTGATAGCCTTGCAAAGCATAAGGAGTAGGTGCTATGTGGAAAAACAAAGCTATAATTCAGAAGAAGATGAACTCTCCTTGCAAGGAAAGAGTTGAAATCATAAAGTATTCTTCTAATTTTGTGTTATAATTCAGAAATGCAGACACTCTTCCCATTTTTAAACAGCCATTCACCATATAATATTTTTCACATTTTATTTTTATATGAAAATTAAATAACTCATATTAATATGTTAAATTGATTTAAATGATATGCCAACTCTTCTCGTGTCATTTCTGTTAGAACATATTTGATAAATAATGCATATATTGGCCCATACTTGATAGAATAACTATACATCATGTTGAGAAAAATTACTAGTAGAACAGGAAATGTTCAATGCCCAAGAGTCATTCCCTCTAAACAACAACAACAACAAAAATTGAGTCATATTAACTTAGTCAGCAGTGTCTTGATGACACGTCAGTTGCCACCTGTCATTACGTGCTTATTATGTACTAAAATAGAATTATAAGGTTTTGCTGACAATTACTGCAGGACATAGTACACCACATTTTTATTTGCTTGTTTTTGAAGGGGGTTTGTATTTTATTTTCACTTAGTCTACAGACAAGCTAAAGCAAAAAAAAATGTGTCATATTGAGATAGAATGAAAAAAATCACATTCTGTGACTTATAAGAAATGCACCTAAGAAATGGAAACATTCTGTTCCTTGATCCCTTATTCTTCCTTTTACTATCTTCTTTTTGATAGATATAATTTTATTTACATAAATTTAGGAAAATATATTTTAATTCAAAATATCCTTTGTTACCAAGCAGTAAATCCTTTTGGAATGGAAATTTACAGAAAGAATTATTTACAGGAATCAACTATAATTACATGTAATTCATGCTGCAGCTGCTTATAATTGTAGTTTTCCCTAAGACCTTCTCTACTTATAATCACCCGAGAATTGCTTCTTTGAAAATGGTTAATCGGAATAATAATTTTTTTCTATAACTAAATGCAGTGGCATTAAATGATTAGTGAGAAGCATTTAATAATCAGATGAAAAGACAAATTTGGTTTGACGCAAAAAAATGGATAAATACCGAGTATGTGTCAAAAATTGAACAAGGTGATGCAAGTTAGAGTGCAGGACAAATGGAAATAATAGTCTCTCCCTTAAAAGAGTTTAAAATCTAGCTGGAGGAATAAAAACATACCCCATACCTAAAAAACAATCAGAAAACATTTGTAAGGGATAACCTGACCCCGTACAAAATATAGAATTAATATGTTCTTGCTTTCCTAAGTACAAGACACATTTACTTCACAGAAAGATAAAAGTTAAAAATTTCTTCACATAAACTGAGCCATGGGACAAATGTAACATTGGATCTTCTGTGTATATTTATGTTACTGGGCCTCCAAAAGACCATGTGAAGCAGGAAAATGCACAAAATTAGCAATTAGAACTAGGTTCAATATCTAGCGCTAACACTTTGTGGACACATTGTTAAACTTGTTTGGATAAAATTATTTGACCTTTCTGAGGCTTTTCCCAGTTAAAAATAATGACCTATCCATGATCCTTGTAAAAAGTCATTCATATCATGTATATGAAACCCCGACTTATACCCCACCCAGGAAAAAATAAGCTGTTATAATAGGTGGCAGAATTTCATAAGTGACACTGCTTTTACAATGTGGTTGTCAACTTCTGGGCACTAGAATATTTTATTGTAACAATAATTATAGGGTTAATATCTATCTATATACAATTCCTAGAGATTGCCTGAATTTAATAATTTAGGAAGAAAACAAAAGTATGAAGTGATTGAACCATATCATATAACTAAATCCATGCACATTCAAATATGTGTATATATAATGTATATATTATATGCACATATATATTTGTATTTATATATGTATATATTTGGTTTTATATAACATGTAGCTATATGTGTTTTATACATATATATTTGGTTTTATATAATAAACATAAATATATGTAAAAGATTCTGCAGGAGAGGCACAATTTTCTGTCCCTTGGAAAATGGTGGTATCTTTTAGAACCTATTTAGATTAGGCCATCTTCTGTGTGTCTAGTTAGAGTTCTTATGTTTTGTGAACATATTCAAAGTACAGAATATGTCTATTGAGTCTCCCAATGAACTATGCCTTTGGATGTACACATCCTTATTTAGTCCTGCCCCCTCGAATACAGGCTAGTCCGATGACTAATTTTGAGCAGTAGAATGTGATGAAGTGACTCCATGGTACTTCCAAGGATAGGTCGGAAGATGCCTTACCTTCCGCTTCTGGGTCTCTAGAAAACCTTCCTCATTAGATAGTCAGACACTTCATAAGGGGTCCAATTATCTTGATACAAATGAGGACACCCTAGATGTGGCACTGATTTTCCTGGAGAGACTTCCATGCCTTCATGGTGACTGGACTTGGTTTGTGAAAGTTCTAGCTTTTCTAGTGGGTTCCTAGAAGGCACTGACACACATTTCCTAGGTGCAGCAAAGTTAAAGCCCCATAAGTCACATGTTGACCAGTAAAACACAAGAGACAGTAAGGAACAAGCAGATAAAGATTTGGATCTTCCCTCCTTTAGAAGGGATGTTTCAAAATGCTGTAGCTTTACAGTGCCTCATAGACATACCCCAAGAGATAACAACTCGCTGTGCTTTTCTAGAATCTATGGTTGACACGGTCCTAAATCTTACTATGTCACCTTTCACACCTACCACTGTTCTCTCACTGTTTTTTTTCTCACTGCTATTTCTCTGATGTGTCCCCTCCAATATAATGCCAGTTCGCAAGTTCTTGCCACAGGCTCTGCTTTTTAGAGAATCCAGTTGAGATGACCAGGAAAGGGACATTGTAAAATACTTTACACTGGTATATGTAAGCATAGCTTTTAGTGAGATAGACTAAAATCTCAGGCATTAGGTGACTTAAAAATTTCTTAGGGAAATTGTATATTTTCCAGAATAGTTTAGGAGTCTCAGGTTTAGCAAGTTTTAAATGACTTAGCTTGATTATGTAGCAGACACCACATCTCCATTTTGACTCCTGAATATTACCTTGTGTACTCTGGGTTTGATTTATGATACAATAAGCAAAAATACTGTTTGTGTAAGTATGCTAAATTTAGACCCTGATTTTATTTTCAAGATGATTTTAAATTAAGATGCTGGTTGTATTAAAGCAATCCAAGTTCTTATATAAAAACGACTTGCTGTAAATTAATGAGCTCTTACTACACTTATTAATGGGAATGCCACATTGCATAAGACAGGTCACTTTTCTCCAGTACATGTAAACATTTTATGAGGCAGAGAAAGTGTCGGTACAGAGTTGGTACCTCAGCATCTCTAAGGCCAGGGCTGGAAGTCAGGAGAATTAGCTGCAGGTGCTTAGGGTTTAGAACGTGCTGAAGGGACGAAAGGCCAATGTATTGGCTCCAGGTTAGTTCTTATGATCAACTATTCTTTTTATCTTCCCATAAGACCACCTCTCTTGTTTGTTGCTGAGGATGGGGGGATAAGAGGAGGGGGCCAAGAAGGAGTAAGGATGTTTCATTTCACATAGGAAACAGAATTCCTCAGACGATGGCCCAGTAGCAATGAGAAAAAGCACATTAGCTTAAGCAGACTGAGGAGGGCACCAGGGGTGGGGAATGCGAATTATTCTCATCATTTCAAGCATTAACAGTAAATCAAGACAATGGCCTGTTCAGTGTTTAGACCTGTGCAATTTCTGGCCCTTTTCCACACATTTTTCTTTTGTTTATCTCCTGAGAGATGCCCACATGTGTACAATACAAAGAACTGAGTCATAAAAGCAGAGGCCTGGTAGCCTCCCTGAGGACCAATTAATGGTGCTCCAAATCTTGTGGGCAGGCAGATAAAAAGGATAGAGAGAGTGAAGGGGAAGAGGATGAATACTCAACTAGAGTAGGGCAGGATTTTTTTTTTTTTTTTTTCAGATGTTAGAAGGGACTTCTTTAGCTATTCTTGTATACTTCTTTGGGGTGTGTGGGTGTTTTTTTCTTTCTTGTTTTTCTCCCTCAGCTGCCTCTGTAGTCCCCCTAGTTCTAATGGGAACAGAGAGAAAAGTAGTACTTCAAAATATCAATTAGGCTTTCATCCGAACTGATGACAGCACGCAGCTGGTTGGGGAAAAAAAAGAATTTAAAAGGCCATTTAGAATGTTTCTGTCCCTCCTTTCATATATTGGCAGTTTTATTGATAGGTGCTTGAGTTTGTATTACCATTTGTATCTCCAAGCTGGAAATGACTGTGAGTGCAAGGAGCTTTGTAGTTCAACCTTTAACTCCAGTCTCACCCCCTATGAGTCCACAGGCCTTTGAACAGCAACGAAGTGGCACTTTGAAATCAGGAGTTGAAAGTGTTTGACATGGAAAGGGGAGCTTGAAAGTCTTGCTCTTTGAACCTTTTCTTTTCAAAGTCCCACAGAAAGTACAGGCAGGACAATAATGGGCAGGCTGGGGGCTCTGTGGGTGAAGAGAGGATATGTGATAATGAGGTTTTAAGTGTTTCTTTAGCTCCATTCTACTCTGTTTCCTCTGAGAGAATTAAAGCTGCCTTAAGATAGTACCGTCACTTCATGGTGGTAGTAGTGGAATTTTTCCTTTTTGCATGTTAACTCATTGCTTAAGGACATTATCAGGAAAAATCTATCCAGCCATTGAAAATTAGAGAGTGGACATCAGAATTCTCTCTTCCCCAGGGATGTTGGAGAAATGTGTCCTGTGTTCCAAAACTTTCCACAGACTAGGCAGTGGTGATTCCTGAAGCAAATCTGCTGAAGGGAGGATGTGTTGCTTAGCATTACTTGTAGAGGGACTTGGTCATTACTGTGGCATTTCCTCTGCTTGACCAAAGACTGGATTAAATTCTAAATCCCCAATTTGTTTCAAAACCTGATTCAGACCATGGATGAGTATGGTAAAATATAACTTTGGGAAAATTTAGCTCTGTCAACAAAATGAAAACATAAAATTGCAAGGAAAACAGCGCCATATGTATCCTCTATTAATCGTTATTTGGGTGTGAAGATGCCTCTGACCCACTACCAGCACAGTAATTTTTAAATGTTTTCTAGGAGTGACGCAACCAGTCTTTCATGAAATCCTTCTCTTGACCACTGCATGCTCCCTTGATACAAAGTTCATGTTATGGTGATGGGAGGTAGTGAAGCAAGATAGATCACAAAGCAAAGAAATAGGTGACATTGTATTTGATGCTTTGAAAATAATAATTTACAATTATCTTTGTTCTGGTGTCTTAAAAAATCAATCATATAAAGTGCACACTTTGAAACATGTTATTACCTTTTTTTGGCTTAACATCATATATCTGTGTTAAATTTGATAAAGAAAACAGAAACCAGTATGTTTATTAAGCACCTATTATGTGACAGACACAGTACTTTACAAGTTGCTTTACAGATTTTTTTCTATTGATCTTTTCTGTAACTCAGAGATAAAAATGGTTATCCCTGTATTTCAGATGATCAATCTTGAAGTTTAGAGAGGTTAAGTAGCTAAAGCATGATCACAATTCTTAAAAGCAGGGAAATTAGAATAGATATTCAATCATTCTGACTCATGGTTTTTGAACTGTATGGCAAGTGAATATTAGTAATTAATAAGAAATATTTAATGTAAAGTCAATGATCAGCATGTATCTAGATCATTTTCTGTAACAATGACAGTTAATGCCATTATGATGATAACAGTGAATTGCCTTCTTGAAAGAGAAATTAAAAGACATTTAGTGTAGTTTTAAAGATTTGTGGAATTAAGGATATATCCCAATTCATAAGTGCCCACCCTTTTAAACATTCTCACCCACCAACAATAACATGTAATTTAGTTCCTGACAAAGATTGAAATTCACTGGATCTGGAAATAGTTGCTTGGATTTCTTATATATCTTTAAACCATAATTTACCTCTGTAACCTTATATACCTTTTAAGAATAATTTATCTCTTTATTATAAATATAAAACAAATTTTTCTCAAAACATGACATCCTGTTGTTCTCGAATACTAATTTTGCTTCATTTTTGTGGCCATTTCCTGAAGAATGAAAAAAAAATTGGACTGGGGTATCAGAACTCTCTAGGTTACTACAGTTTATTGATTGGATAAAGGGTACATTTTTCCTTGAGCTTTGAAATTCTAAAACACACATTTATTTCCTATCATGAAATGGTGTTTTGTTTGCATAACTAACACTTACTATATTGTGACTACATAATGCTGGGTTAAAAATAATGACGGTTACTCTAATAAGCATAGATCCTTGTGAAATCCCTTCTGGCAGTAGAATGCTTCATTCTCTCTGCAGGTTTCTTGGATAACTAATTCGTGGTTCAGTGTTTTCTATTTTCTGACCTGTTTGAAATGAAAATACTTTGTTATAGTAAAAATAGTTTTATTATATAGTTTCAGCACAAATATTTACAAACATGTATAACAAATATATCACACAATACTTATATATACATACCTTTGCCAGTATATTAAATTAGGAAGAGTCTGGACACAGACTGCTTTGGCATTGAGTCCTGGCTCACCCACTTCATAACTATGCAACTTTAGGCAAGTTATTTAATCTCTCTGTACCTCTCTTTACTCATCTGCAAAATGGAGATAATTTGTTTAACAAATTCACAGAGAAGTTGTGAGGATTAAATGAGAAAACAAAGAATAGTACCCAGTACAAACTAAGCAATCAATACTTTAGCTACTATTGTTATCAAAGGTACCATGTCTTATTAAGTGCTTTAGTTACCCAGTAACCATAGATACCAAAAGTTTGAATGCCATAAATAACATGATTGTCTTAAATCTGAAATATATTTTTATCTTAGAAACACTGAATAATTTTAGTTATGCTGTTTTTTTATCCGTTATTGTTATTATCATTGTTACTATCTGTAAATAAAGTAAACAGTTTACTCAGGCCAAGAGCAATTCTGTAAGTAGAATATTGTTAGACACATATATTCTGACTGTATTTTATCTTACTATAACAGTGATGAAAAAAAAGCAAATAATAATTTGGCCGATTCCTGGATGAGTACATAATATTCCAAGAAGCTCCTTGATTAGAATTGCTTTGTGACGTAAATTAAATACATATATATATATACACACACACACACACAAACACACAAATGTATATTGTCTAAAGATATATATTTATATATACACACAATGTATTATATATACATATTCAATATGATGAAGTTTAGATGAGCAATATTGAAGCCTATCTATGAAAAAAATCAATTTTTTATTTTCTTCTCAAATGGTAAAGTTTGAACAATAATATATTAAAGCAGAGGGACAAGTTTGTGAAACAAAACAATGAAAACTGAAGTAAAAGGTCTTTGTGGGTGAAACATTATAACAAAATATCTGTTTTGAGAAATGATAAAGCTGAGATGATGGACATGCTAACTATCCTTATTTGGTCATTAGGTACTACTGTAAACATGTATTGAAACATCATACTATGATTCATAAACATGTACAATTATGATGTGTCAATCATAACAAAAATTTAAAAATTCATTGGGAAACATTCTGAAAATTAATTAAAAGTGAATATATGAGTCTCCCTATAATATAGTTATTTTAGTTTCTTCAGAGTCCTAATAGATAACTAATGATAATTCTCTAACTTTAAAAATTTGTCATGAAATTTTAACAATCTGAAACTATGTGTTTATAGACAGCAGCAATTCTTTACACATCATTTCCTTGTCTACATTCTAGATACAAAATGCTTTAAATAGTCACTGCTCAGTCAAAATTTCCTCCTAAGTACTTCTTGTTAGTTTTATACAAATTTAAATCACTTATTTTATAAGATATTCAATTCTGAAACAAATTGGAATTTTATGACACTTTAAAATATTTTATTTAATTAGGAAATACAAAATTTTCTTCTGTTATAATTTTTGTTTACCATTTTTCTATTACTGAAGGATTTAATATTTCTCTTAACTTAGAAACAAGTTATTCAACCTCATATATTTTTTTGCATAGAGAAATATATATGGGCATAGATATGGATATAAATATTAACATAGATATTAATATAGAATGTTATGAAAGTATTTTGACTTTGAAATATTTCTTTTTCTGATTGACTTTGTAAGATACTTAATTTATAAATATGTTTTTTCTTTGTTTTATTATAATATTGTAGTTTTAAAATAAACAGAACAATTTTTTCTTATAAACAAATCAGCCATTATTTATAGCTAAACTCAAGAAATGGACTTTTTATCAATGAAAAAGATAAAATGTTATTAAGAAAACAGCACAGAAAATTCTTACCATAGGCAAGTTCCTTTCTACATATTTATTTTTATGACCACCTGTAGGAAAAATCTAAGTAACTAATGCATTGATTGAATACCATCTACCTGGCAATCTTTACAGAAAAAGTTTGAGATTAAGTTTGCATTTCACTCTCACTGGATCTCAATTTTTCGATAGGTCAGGTAAAGTTTCCTAAAATTATGTTTTGTAAAGTAGTTTTGATATTTATAAAACAAAGTAGTCATGGGTTTTTCAATACAATTTTTCTATTTTTGAAATGATATTCCTCAGACCAACTCTTAAACATTATAGGGCATAAATGAAATTTTGTACCCATTGAACTTATGTACGTACAATGTAGTGCCTGTTGTTAACAATACTGTGTTGTGGAGTTAAAAAAATTAAGGGGGTGGATCTAATGTTAAATGTTCTTACTACAAAACAAACAAACAAACAAACAAATGAAACGTAGGAGCACAAGAATGCTTTTGGAGGGGATAGATATGTTTATTACCTTGGCTGTGGTAATGGTTCTGCAGGCATATACTTATGTCCAAACTTAACAAATTGTGTGCTTTAAATGGATGAAGGTTTTTGCATATCAATGATAGTTCAATAAAACTGCTTAATTTTTTTAATGGAAGAAAGAAAATTATAACTTAAAAAGTAAAGTAAAATTTGGTTTAATAAAATGTGAAAAAAAATTTTAAATACTAGGCATTACCCATAGACCTTGAAACAAATTGAAATTTCATGATATATTCATATAGTTTGTGATTCTTTAGGTCTTGGATATAGACAAGAAATTGTATAGTTAACCATCTAACTAAGTGATTTTAATGTGTTCCTTAGTTTAAGAAACACATGTCTAAAAGCCATTTTTCTTCTAAAACATTAACGTTTCTCTATTATAAATTATTTTTAAATGACAAACAATAGAGAACTTAATTAAGTTTTCATTGAGGCTCCCCCACTTTTCTACCTCCCGGCTTTACATTTCTGATTATTAGGCTGAAAAATAGACTGAGAGTGATGGCAACTCAAACTGGGTAACTTTAAAAAACTCATTTTTAGTGTAAACTGAAATAAATAACCTTATGAGAAAGAGCTGAAAGACCCTCCAGGAGCTCTCAGGTTTCACAAATAAAATGTAATTGATGAGCTACTAAATGAATATTTTAAATAAGTTGATGAATTTATCCATCAATGTATTTTCTTTTGTTTCATAGTTATTGTTATTGCTGTCATAACGATGAGCACTTCACAACAGCTGTCACCACCAGATGCAGCAGCAATTGCATGGAATCATAACTTAAAAAATTAACAACCAGATTTCTGAAGTTAGAGTTCTTAGTTTCAAATCTTGTCTGCATCAAAATTGCTCTGTGACTTTGGGAAAGTTTAACCACTGATTTCTACCTTGAAGAAAAAAATGAGTATAATAATATCTATCTCGTAAAATGGTGGTGAAGATCACATGGGATAATGCAAATGAAGTTTGTATCTTATTGCCTGATACATAAAGTATATTCAATAAATATTTGCCATTATGATTACCATTATAATTATACAATTTAGAAAACTCACAACAAATCCCACTGCTGAATAACTGAAACAGTCATTATTTCATGTAAAAATTATTGCCCACGGAAGGTCCTATCTTCTTCATTGTCCAAAGAATATATTACATTAAATATGGCTTTCATTGTAATTATTAAAAATAGTTTATATTTATTCATATCTAGGTTTTCATCAAAGTTATGCATACTACTGAATACTACACTGAAAGAACCACTAAGTACTACAAGACTTATTACATAGAACAGGAGTCATCTATCCACTTTTCCTCCTAATTTCACAATCTCTAGAGGGAACAGTTTTCAACTACACACAGTCCTCACATAGTGTGACAGTGCCTGACCATAAGAGTGACTGTGAAATGGGACATTGTATAAGCTATCTTAATAACCAATAGAAAATGATGATGGTTCTGTGACCTTTAAAAATGTTTGTCAAAACATTAAAGACTTTTATCATCAGTGATAAATATATAAGAAAATTAGAAAAGAAAAATAGTGAAGCTAATATTTTATTACATATTGTGATTTAACATTTATTTCTTCGTAAAAACTCAAGAGTAGTTGGACAGATGATAAGGAGTGAGCATTTTCTATGCCTTTATAAATTGTCATAATCCTTTCTCAAACTGGGTGAGCTTCAAATATTTCACCTTTTGCATTTTCAATATCATGAACTATCTCAAAAGGATCCATCAATGTAAAGTTTTTATTGGCATCACTTCCTTTGGGAGTCTTCATCCTTTTGTCATAAGTGCTTTTCTCATATATGTCAATAAAATTCTCCACTAAATTTTTCTGGCTGCATATCTAGTGTATTATTCTGTTCTCTTGCTGCTAATAAAGTCATACTGGAGACTGGGTAATTTATAAAGGAAAGAGGTTTCACTGGCCCACAGTTCAGCATAGATGGGAAGCCCTCAGGAAACTTATAATCAAGGCAGAAGGGGAAGCAAACAAATCCTTCTTCACATGGTGGTAGGAGAGAGAAGTGCCAAGCAAAGGCGGAAAAGCCCCTTATAAAACCATCAGATCTCATGAGAACTCATTCACTATCATGAGATCAGCAGCATGAGGGTAACCACCCCATAATTCAATTACCTCCCACTGAGTCCCTCCCATGACACGTGGGGATTATGGGAACTATATTCAAGATGAGATTTGGGTGGGGACACAGCCAAACCATATCATTCTGCCCCTGCTCCCTCCCAAATCTCATGTCCTCACATTTCAAAACACAATCATGCCTTTCCAACAGTCCCCCAAAGTCTTACCTCATTCTAGCATTAACCCAAAGTTCAAGTCAAAAGTCTCATCTGAGACAAGGGAAGTCCCTTCCACCTATAAGCCTGTAAAATCAAAAGCAAGTTAGTTACTTCGTAGATACAATAGGGTTGCAGGCATTGGTAAATAAACCTGTTCCAAATTGGAGAAATTGGCTAAAACAAAGGGGCTACAGGACCCATGAAAGTCCAAACTCCAATAGGCAGTCATTCAACCTTAAAGTTCCAAAATGATTTCCTTTGACTTCATGTATCACATCTAGTTATGCTGATGCAATAGGTGGGCTCCCACAGCCTTGGGCATCTCTGCCCCTGTGACTTTGCAGGGTACAGACTCCTGCCCCAGCTGCATTCACAACTGGCATTGAGTCTCTGCAGCTTTTCCAGGTGCATGGTGCAAGCTGTTGGTGGATCTAACATTCTGGGGTCTGGAGGACAGTGGCCCTCTTCTCACAGCTCCACTAGGCAGTGCCCTAGTGAGGACTATGTGAGGGGAGCTCTGACCCCACATTTCATTTTCCCTCTGCACTGCCCTAGCATAGGTTCTCCATGGAGGCTCTGCCCCTACAGCAGAGTTCTACCTGGACATCCAGGCATTTCCATACATTGTCTAAAATCTAGGCAGAGATTCCCAAACCTCAAGTCTTGCCTTCTGTGCACCCATAGGGCCAATACCATGTGGAAGTTGCTAAGGCTTGGGGATTTCACCCTTTGAAGCAACAGCCTGAGCTGTCCCTTGGCCCGTTTTAGCCAAGGCTGGAGTGGCTGGGATGCAGGGCACCACTTCCCAAGGAGGAATGCAGCAAGGGTCCCTGGACCTGGCCCAGGGAACCATTTTTCCCTCCTAGGCCTCTGGGCCTGTGATGGGAGGGGCTGCTGCAAAGGTCTCTGACATGCCCTGGAAACATTTTTCCCATTGTCTTAATGATTAACATTCAGCTCCTTGTTACTTATGCAATATTTCTGCAGCTGGCTTGAATTTCTCCCCAGAAAATGGGTTTTTCTTTTCTATTGCATTGTCAGGCTGTAAATTTTCCAAACTTTTATGCTCTGCTTCCTCTTGAATGCTTTGCCACTTAGAAATTTATTCTGCCAAATACCCTAAATCATTTCTCTCAAGTTCAAAGTTTTACAGATTTCTAGGGCGAGGGCTAAGTGCTGCCAGTCTCTTTGCATAGCAAGTGTAACTTTTGCTCCAGTTGCCAACAAGTTCCTCATCTCCATCTGACAGCACCTCAGCCTGGACTTCATTGTCCATATCACTATCACCATTTTGGTCAAAGCCATTCAACATGTCTCTAGGAAGTTCCAAACTTTCCCACATCTTCCTGTCTTCTGAGCCCTCCAAGTCTCTAGGAAGTTCCAAATGTTCCCACATTTTCTTGTCTTCATCTGAGCGCTCCAAACTGTTCCAATCTCTGCCTGTTACACAGTTCTAAAGTTGCGTCCACATTTTTGGGTATCCTTATAGCGGCACCCCACTCTCTCCTGGTACCAATTCACTGTATTAGTCTGTTCTCATGCTGCTGAGAAAGACATACCTGAAACTGGGCAATTTATAAAGGAAAGAGGTTTAATTGACTTACAGTTTAGCATGGCTGGGGAGGCCTCAGGAAACTTACAATCATGGTAGAAGAGGAAGCAAATGCATCCTTCCTCACATGGTGGCAGGAGAGAGAAGTGTCAAGTAAAGGCAGGGGAGCCCCTTATAAAACCATCAGATCTTGTGAAAACTCACTATCATGAGAACAGCAGCATGGGAGTAACCACCCCCATGATTCAATTATCTCCCACCAGGTACCTCCCATGACATGTGGGGATTAAGGAAACTATAATTCAAGATGAAATTTGAGTGGGGACATAGCCAAACCATATCATTTAGAGTCTCTCCAATAGCAACCGTGTTCAACAGAACACAGCGTTCAGTGAGTGTCAACAGTCTTATAGCCAGCTACTTATTTCTATAATTCATTTGTGTTTTATTCAAATTTCACTTCCAGTTTTATCACTTTCCATTTACTTGTGAACTTTCATCTTTGTCAGCCAACTACCTGCTTTTGTCATTCATTCTTGTAAAACCTCATATGGGTTTATCATTAGAAGACAAGACAATTGTGCATAAACTAAATAACAGGTATGCAGTGACTAATTAACAGATTTTGAAAGTAGCGATACAATTGGTCACTAATCATGATACACATCTCTGATGTAGTTAATGACTTGTGGACTGATAAGCTAGCAGTGGAGTTTTTACAGTTTGTATTTACAGCATTTCCATGGCAAAAATCTGAACCATGCTTCGGGGAACTGGTGCTATTTAAACAGCAGTTACTGAAATTTGCACCTGCTGAAAACCTGCAATGCAAGGACTGCAATCATTTTGGCTAGACTTTTGGTGGTTACTTCCATGAGTACAAACACAATGGCTCTTATCTGTGCATTTTTATGTTTCAGTTTTAGCCATTTTCTTTTGGCCCTCTACTGTAGAAGAGGATAACTATCTTTTACCACCATTTCACTGTTGCCATTACCTGGCCATACATATATGTGTGCACTGAGAACTCAAAATCCTAAGGCCCCCAATGAACTGAACATATCCCCTCTTAGTCAATGGTAATCCAGGGTAACCTTAAAAACTGAATTCTTAGTTTTGATGAAACAGGAGGTTGAGAACGCCTCGTTACACCTCCTACCTTTTATGGTTCAGACACAACAGTGGACCAATATTGATGTTAAAATGGTGATTATAAGACTGACGAAAAGGATTCTTTGTGGTGATAGATATCACATTATAAACAAGACCTAAGGCCATGCCAGGCAAGGGGTAAGTCACACACTCCTACATTTGGAGAATAAATTACATTCTAACTGCCACAAGTTTTTTTCTTTTTCTCTAGCAGCTAAACAGCACTGATCTCCAGATAAGCAATATTGAAACAATCGCAGCTCATCCACCACCAGACACTAATTAACCCCTTTGCTTCACAAGCCATAACTACAACTTTTGACAAGAGACTGAGTTAGTAACCTCTTCCTGGTAAGAAACCACAGACCATGGGCTGCTTCTAGTCCATTTACAGAGGCTACTGAATGCCTCTACATCCCTGCTTCATCTTTTGACATATAGGACCTAATTGTAATACATTTAAATGTTAAGTCTCTGGCCCCAAATGAACATGCAACACATGTAACATGCATGTTTGCTTATCACCCATGTGTGCATCCCCCCTTAGTAAATATTAATAGCTTCTCCTATAACCTGTTGAAAATGTTTATTAGCCAACACCTTCAGCATAAATTCTTGATTTTCACCTTGTCTACCTCTAAGTGCCTGCTAAAGGTTTCTGCCAGAGGCAATGCTTCCCTCTTGTTAGGAATGGCCAGCCAGCAGGCTGTAACCCTTTGTAAGAAATAATGCCTCTTCTCCAAATTAATCAACCTTGTGATTCTCCAGTTGACAGGACATACACACAGACACACATTTTCTATCCCCACATCTTCCCATTAAAATATATTATAGTTTGGATTTTACAAATTGATTTAGGCTAGATTTTGCTGCAGCAACAGCTCCAACATTTTCATGGCTGAAAACTGAAAGATTTCACTTTTTGCTCAAGCAAAGCCCAGTACAGGTCCAGGAACCTCTCCAGGTGTCTCAACAGTTAAGACTGACGGAAGCTCCATAACTCAATATTTGCGTCCTCTGTGTCCTTTTCAGTCAATTCTGCAGGGAAAAAGAATGCTGAAGGGGCTCACACAGACAATTAATGTCCTCAACTCAGAAATGACATGACTACCTTGTATCCACAATCCACCTGCTAGAACTCATCATCAGCCCTTGCCCAACTACAAGGAACCAGGAACTGTGATTTTCCTTTGAGATTAGAAAGCACGTACTGATTACCACTGAGTAACAGAAACCTTTGCTAGGTAGTTCAGTAGCCAATGTTTATGTTATTTTATGTTATTTGAACTATAGAAATACTGTTCTTGTCACAGAAAAGTACTATGTTATAATTACATTTTTGTTCCAGAATAGTTTTTTTATTTTTTTCCTTAGGAATTAAAATTGTCTTTCTCCGTTTTTTTTCATTATTTTGTAGGTATTTTCATTAATTTAATGCTAAACTCTTTAAATTGTCTAAATCCCAATGCTTTCATATTCAACAGTTATCCTTAAAACTTTACCTCATTTGTGAAATCTCTCTCAGAGATGTCTGAACACTTCTAATCTCTATCCTGCTTTATACCTGTTGTACAGTTGCCCATTATGAAATCTCCCTTGTTCATCTTCCATATTTTTCTTTGAGTTTCTCTGTAGTTGTGTCTGTGTTTTCTACATCCTGTGTATTTCCTATTTTTTATTTATTTTCTCACTTATGTGACGTACATTTCTTACTTGCTCTCAGAAAGAGAAAACGTTGGAAATAATTTTTTTGAGAACTGGAATGTTTGAAATGTTTTAATTTTACCACATATCTGATTAAGATTTTTACTTTACAAATTTTAAGAGTACAAACCATATTCACACACACTTTTGAAGTCATTGCCCCAATTATGTTATTTTCATTGGTGCTGTTATGTAATCATTAGGCTTTGATGGGAGATTTTTTTTCAGCCACATCTCTCTAGTGGCTTACAGCATCTCTTTGTTGTTCTCAGTGTATGAAACTCTGCATTAATATTTTCCTTGGTGTTGGCCAATTTTCAACCATTGTTCTGTGCCCTTAATTGGCCCTTATTATTTATAAACTTTAGTTTTTTGATTCTACTAAAACACTTAAAAGTTTCTCATTATTTTCCTCCCACCCAACTTTTTGTTTTTTGTTTTTTTTTTTTTGGTCTGGAACTGTAATTAATGAAATATTAGACGCCTTTAATAGTTTTCTATTTTTCCTTTCTCTGATTCAGCTCTAAGGTCTGGGGACGTTTATTCAACATCGGCCAAATTTCCTATTTATTATATCTGCTGTCATGTTTTTAATTTTCACGAGTGCTTTTTATCCTAATACTTATTTTAAATACATGTATTATATTTTAGGTATCTGATGATATTAATGTTTTCTAGTTAAACTACTTTATTAATGAAATATACATTTTATTCCTGTTTAGCAACTGTTGTCTTCATTGCTATTTCTATTTCTTAGAAACTTTCTCAGGTATTTTGTGATCCTGGGTCCCTATAAAGATGATGGGAAGCACTAAGCATGTGCTGTAAGGTTGTGGAGTTTTTGTTTGATAACCAGCTGTACTATATATTGGTGTTAATGTTGTTAGGCCTTTTCTCTTACCTGGTAATATTCTACAAGGAAAATTCCTCACATATCTTTTATTCTAGAGATACAATTTTATGGAATAATTAGAATAATCTGGGTAAGAAATCAGCATTTTCTCTTCCCCCAATATTCTTGGTTGGAGAGACGTTCTTAACCATTAAAAAACTATAAAAATACACTGAAAAAGAGATTTACTTTATTGGAAATACTATATTGTCCCCATTCTCACTATATATATATATAATTTTTCCATTAATACTTCATTTATCTAATTTGATCTTTTGTATTTAAGGGAGAAAAATATCTGCCTGTAACAAATATACAAAATTTTCCTCCCTGTAGATATGAATTCTAATAAAGCAAAGAGGTAGGGCATAAAATCATGAATTGTTTAAATATATGGGATCATCATGACAATATGGCTTTTCAGTTCACATATTAGGAAATTGAGATCTAGAGAAGTAAAACATGACAAAAAGTCATACATCAAACAGTAAGGCATCTGCTTCCCAATATACTCTTTTTTAAAAAAAATTTATTATACTTTAAGTTTTAGGGTACATGTGCACAGGGTGCAGGTTTGTTACATATGTATACATGTGCCATGTTGGTGTGCTGCACCCATTAACTCGTCATTTAGCATTAGGTATATCTCCTAATGCTATCCCTCCCCCTTCCCCCCACCCCACAACAGGCCCAAGTGTGTGATGTTCCCCTTCCTGTGTCCATGTGTTCTGATTGTTCAATTCCCACCTATGAGTGAGAACATGTGGTGTTTGGTTTTTTGTCCTTGCAATAGTTTGCTGAGAATGATGGTTTCCAGTTTCAACCATGTCCCTACAAAGGACATGAACTCATCATTTTTTATGGCTGCAGAGTATTCCATGGTGTATATGTGCCACATTTTCTTAATCCAGTCTATCATTGATGGACATTTGGGTTCGTTCCAAGTCTTTGCTATTGTGAACAGTGCTGCAATCAACATACGTGTGCATGTGTCTTTATAGCAGCATGATTTATAATCCTTTGGCTATATACCCAGTAATGGGATGGCTGGGTCAAATGGTATTTCTAGTTCTAGATCCCTGAGGAATCGCCACACTGACTTCCACAATGGTTGAACTAGTTTACAGTCCCACCAACAGTGTAAAAATATTCCTATTTCTCCACATCCTCTCCAGCACTTGTTGTTTCCTGACTTTTTAATGATCGCCATTCTAACTGGTGTGAGATGGTATCTCATTGTGGTTTTGATTTGCAATTCTCTGATGGCCAGTGATGATGAGCATTTTTTCATGTGTTTCTTGGCTGCATAAGTGTCTTGTTCTGAGAAGTGTCTGTTCATATCCTTCGCCCACTTGTGGATGGGGTTGTTTGTTTTTTTCTTTTAAATTTGTTTGAGTTCATTGTAGATTCTGAATATTAGCCCTTTGTCAGATGAGTAGGTTGCAAAAATTTTCTCCCATTCTGTCAGTTGCCTGTTCACTCTGATGGTAGTTTCTTTTGCTGTGCAGAAGCTCTTTAGTTTAATTAGATCCCATTTGTCAATTTTGGCTTTTGTTGCCCATGCCTATGTCCTGAATGGCATTGCCTAGGTTTTCTTCTAGGGTTTTTATGGTTTTAGGTCTAACATGTAAGTCTTTAATCCATCTTGAATTATTTTTTGTATAAGGCGTAAGGAAGGGATCCAGTTTCAGCTTTCTACATATGGCGAGCCTGTTTTCCCAGTACCATTTATTAAATAGGGAATCCTTTCCCCATTGCTTGTTTTTCTCAGGTTTGTCAAAGATCAGATAGTTGTAGATAAGCAGCATTATTTCTGAGGGCTCTGTTCTGTTCCATTGGTCTATATCTCTGTTTTGGTACCAGTACCATGCTGTTTTGGTTACTGTAGCCTTGTAGTATAGTTTGAAGTCAGGTAGCATGATGTCTCCAGCTTTGTTCTTTTGGCTTAGGATTGACTTGGCAATGCGGGCTCTTTTTTGGTTCCATATGAACTTTAAAGTAGTTTTTTCCAATTCTGTGAAGAAAGTCAGTGGTAGCATGATGGGGATGGCATTGAATCTATAAATTAACTTGGGCAGTATGGCCATTTTCATGATATTGATTTTTCCTACCCATGAGCATGGAATGTTCTTCCATTTGTTTGTATCCTCTTTTATTTTATTGAGCAGTGGTTTGTAGTTGTCCTCGAAGAGGTCCTTCACATCCCTTGTAAGTTGGATTCCTAGGTATTTTATTCTCTTTGAAGCAATTGTGAATGGGAGTTCACTCATGATTTGGCTCTCTGTTTGTCTGTGATTGGTATATAAGAATGCTTGTGATTTTTGCACATGTATTTTGTATCCTGAGACTTTGCTGAAGTTGCTTATCAGCTTAAGGAGATTTTGGGCTGAGACGATGGGGTTTTCTAGATATATAATCATGTCATCTGCAAACAGGGACAATTTGACTTCCTCTTTTCCTAATTGAATGCCCTTTATTTCCTTCTCCTGCCTGATTGCCCTGGCCAGAACTTCCAACACTATGTTGAATAGGAGTGGTGAGAGAGGGCATCCCTGTCTTGTGCCAGTTTTCAAAGGGAATGCTTCCAGTTTTTGTCTATTCAGTATAATATTGGCTGTGGGTTTGTCATAGAGAGCTCTGATTAAGATACGTCCCATCAATACCTAATTTATTGAGAGTTTTTAGGATGAAGGCTATTGAATTTTGTCAAAGGCCTTTTCTGCATCTATTGAGATAATCATGTTTTTTTTGTCTTTGGTTCTGTTTATATGCTGGATTACGTTTATTGATTTTCGTATGTTGAACCAGCCTTGCATCCCAGGGATGAAGCCCACTTGATCATGGTGGATAAGCTTTTTAATGTGCTGCTGAATTCGGTTTGCCAGCATTTCATTGAGGATTTTTGCATCAATGTTCATCAAGGATATTGGTCTAAAATTCTCTTTTTTTGTTGTGTCTCTGTCAGGCTTTGGTATCAGGATGAGGCTGGCCTCATAAAATGAGTTAGGGAGGATTCCCTCTTTTTCGATCGACTGGAATAGTTTCAGAAGTAATGGTACCAGCTCCTCCTTGTATCTCTGATAGAATTCGGCTGTGAATCCATCTGGTCCTGGACTTTTTTTGGTTGGTAAGCTATTGATTATTGCCTCAATTTCAGAGCCCGTTATTGGTCTATGCAGCGATTCAACTTATTCCTGGTTTAGCCTTGGGAGGGTGTATGTGTTGAGGAATTTATCCATTTCTTCTAGATTTTCTAGTTTACTTGCTTAGAGGTGTTTACAGCATTCTCTGATGGTAGTTTTTATTTCTGTGGGATCGGTGGTGACATCTCCTTTATCATTTTTTATTATGTCTATTTGATTCTTCTCTCTTTTCTTCTTTATTAGTCTTGCTAGCAGTCTATCAATTTTGTTGATCTTTTCAAAAAACCAGCTCCTGGATTGATTGATTTTTTTCAAGCGTTTTTTTATGTCTCTATTTCCTTCAGTTCTGCTCTGATCTTAGTTACTTCTTGCCTTCTGCTAGCTTTTGAATGTGTTTGCTCTTGCTTCTCTAGTTCTTTTAATTGTAATGTTAGGGTGTCTATTTTAAATCCTTCCTGCTTTCTCTTGTGGGCATTTAGTGCTATAAATTTCCCTCTACACACTGCTTTGAATGTGTCCCAGAAATTCTGGTATGTTGTGTCTTTGTTCTTGTTGGTTTCAAAGAACATCTTTATTTCTGCCTTCATTTCTTTATGTACCCAGTAGTCCTTTAGGAGCAGGTTGTTCAGTTTCCATGTAGTTGAGAGGTTTTGAGTGAGTTTCTTAATCTTGAGTTCTAGTTTGATTGCACTGTGGTCTGAGAGACAGTTTGTTATAATTTCTGTTCTTTTACATTTGCTGAGGAGTGCTTTACTTCCAACTATGTGGTCAATTTTGGGATAGGTGTAATGTGGTGCTGAAAAGAATGTATATTCTGTTGATTTAGGGTGGAGAGTTCTGTAGATATCTATTAGGTCCGCTTGGTGCAGAGCTGAGTTCAATTCCTGGATATCCTTGTTGACTTTCTGTCTCGTTGATCTGTCTAATGTTGATAGTGGGGTGTTAAAGTCTCCCATTATTATTGTGTGGGAGTCTAAGGCTCTTTGTAGGTCACTAAGGACTTTCTTTATGAACCTGGGTGCTCCTGTATTGGGTGCATATATATTTACGATAGTTAGCTCTTCTTGTTGAATTGATCCCTTTACCATTATGTAATGGCCTTCTTTGTCTCTTTTGATCTTTGTTGGTTTAAACTCTGTTTTATCTGAGACTAGGTTTGCAACCCTTGTCTTTTTTTGTTGTCCATTTGCTTGGTAGATCTTCCTCCATTCCTTTATTTTGGGCCTATGCTTGTCTCTGCATGTGAGATAGGTTTCCTAAATACAGCACACTGATGGGTCTTGACTCTTTATCCAACTTGCCGGTCTGTGTCTTATAATTGGCGCATTTAGCCCATTTACATTTAAGGTTAGTATTGTTATGTGTGAATTTGATCCTGTCATTATGATGTTAGCTGGTTATTTTGCTCGTTAGTTGATGCAGTTTCTTCCTAGCCTTGATGGTCTTTACAATTTGGCATGATTTTGCAGTGGCTGGTACCGGTTGTTCCTTTCCAGGTTGAGTGCTTCCTTCAGGAGCTCTTTTAGGGCAGGCCTGGCAGTGACAAAATCTCTCAGCATTTGCTTGTCTGTAAAGTATTTTATTTCTCCTTCACTTATGAAGCTTAGTTTGGCTGGATATGAAATTCTGGGTTGAAAATTCTTTTCTTTAAGAATGTTGAATATTGGTCCCCACTCTCTTCTGGCTTGTGGAGTTTCTGCCAAGAGATCAGCTGTTAGTCTGATGGGCTTCCCTTTGTGGGTAACCTAACCTTTCTCTCTGGCTTCCCTTAACATTTTTTCCTTCATTTCAACTTTGGTGAATCTGATAATTCTGTGTCTTGGAGTTGCTCTTCTCGAGGAGTATCTTTGTGGCGTTCTCTGTATTTCCTGAATTTGAATGTTGGCCTGCCTTGCTAGATTGGGGAAGTTCTCCTGGATAATATCCTGAAGAGTGTTTTCCAACTTGGTTCCTTTCTCCCCGTCACTTTCAGGTACACCAATCAGACTTAGATTTGGTCTTTTCACATAGTCCCATATTTCCTGGAGGCTTTGTTCATTTCTTTTTATTCTTTTTTCTCTAAACTTCTCTTCTCACTTCATTTCATTCATTTCATCTTCCATCACTGATACCCTTTCTTCCAGTTGACTGCATCGGCTACTGAGGCTTGTCCATTCATCACATAGTTCTTGTGCCATGATTTTTAGCTCCATCAGGTTCTTTAAGGACTTCTCTGCATTGGTTATTGTAGCAGCCATTTGTCTAATTTTTTTTCAAGGTTTTTAACTTCTTTGCCATGGGTTCAAACTTCCTCCTTTGGATCGGAGTAGTTTGATCATCTGAAGCCTTCTTCTCTCAACTGGTCAAAGTCATTCTCCATCCAGCTTTGTTCCGTTGCTGGTGAGAAGGTGTGTTCCTTTGGAGGAGGAGAGGTGCTTTGATTTTTAGAGATTCCAGTTTTTCTTCTCTGTTTTTTCCCCATCTTTGTGGTTTTATCTACCTTTGGTCTTTGATGATGGTGACATACAGATGGGTTTTTGGTGTGGATGTCCTTTCTGTTTGTTAGTTTTCCTGCTAACGGTCAGGACCCTCAGCTGCAGGTCTGTTGGAGTTTGCTGGAAGTCCACTCCAGACCCTTTTTGCCTGGGTATCAGCAGCGGTGGCTGCAGAACAGCGGATATTTGTGAACCGCAAATGCTGCTGCCTTATCATTCCTCTGGAAGTTTTGTCACAGAGGAGTACCCAGCCATGTGAGGTGTCATTCCAACCCTTCTGGGGGTTGTCTCCCAGTTAGGCTACTTGGGGGTCAGGGACCCACTTGAGGAGGCAGTCTACCCATTCTCAGATCTCCAGCTGCATGCTGGGAGAACCACTACTCTCTTCAAAGCTGTCAGACAGGGACATTTAAGTCTGCAGAAGTTATCGCTGTCTTTTGTTTGTCTGTGCCCTGCCCCCAGAGGTGGAGCCTACAGAGGCAGGTAGGCCTCCTTGAGCTGTGGTGGGCTCCACCCAGTTCGAGCTTCCTGGCCGCTTTGTTTACCTACTCAAGCCTCGGCAATTGCGGGCGCCCCTCCCCAGCCTTGCTGCCTCCTTGCAGTTTGATCTCAGACTGCTGTGCTAGCAATGAGCAATGCTCCGTGGGCATACAACCCTCCAAGCCATGTGCGGGATATAATCTCCTGGTGTGCCATTTGTTAAGCCCATTGGAAATGTGCAGTATTAGGGTGTGAGTGACCCGATTTTCCAGGTGCCATCTGTCACCCCTTTCTTTGACTAGGAAAGGGAATTCCCTGACCCCTTGTGCTTGCCTGTGAGGTGATGCCTCGCCATGCTTCAGCTCACACAGGATGCACTGCACCCACTGTCCTGCACCCACTGTCCGGCACTTCCCAGTGAGATGATCCGGCATTTCCCAGTGAGATGAACCCGGTACCTCAGTTGGAAATGCAGAAATCACCTGTCTTCTGTGTCGCTCATGCTGGGAGCTGTAGACTGGAGCGGTTCCTATTCAGCCATCTTGGCTGCACCCCCTCCAATATACTCTTCCATCCAATATACTACAGTGTCTCTAAAATATTATTTTTATATCCAATTGTTGCTTATTAGGGAAGTCCCTATATTCTCTATATGTATGATTATTTGTAGGGCCTTATATAGGCCTTTAAAAAGTTATTATTATCCTTTGTCTCTTTACAAATATTTATTCATGTGTGTTTGCACTGTGCTAGGTATATCAATCAATAGGCAAAAAAAGTCAATCGTAACTCTTCACCAATGTTTGAATTGATTTTTAATAAAAAAGAAGGTGTTCTCCTAAGAATCTTGAAAAATCGAATTTCTATCTCTACCTTCTTCTTCTGTATTAAAGCATCCAAGGACCTAGCTTACTGGACTGATGAGAAATTTATTACCACACAGCCCAGTCAGAGGAATGTAAATGCTATAATCAACCACATGTTCCATAAGAAATGCATTAATCAGTATAGGTTAAATAATAAAAGTTTTAATATTTAATATGTTTTCCTAGAACAGTGGAAAGATTCAGCAACAAGATAGCAATGTAGGTGACATAAGGGAAACAGAGCAACATCGTATGCCCCCTAGGAAGGACCCTGCAGCAGACCTGACTTTGTTCATCACAGGCACCACAGAGCATACTAAAATCAAATACCAAATATAAAACTCAGGTAGAGTTTTAAAGGGCCACAAAAATGTCAGTGCAGCAGGTGTTTAGATGATCTCTATGGAAAGCACATATTAACAACAACCCCAGTACAAATTAACACTTGAAATATTCATCATTACATAGTGAGATTTGTATTATGTAGGGAAGAAAGAGGAGAATGACTCAAATAACTAAATTTTAAATTTGAAAGAGCTTTTCAACTGTTTGATGAAAACAGCTCTAAATATATTTTTACTTATCTATCATTAGCTTCTTGGAATTTTTATTCAGAACACTAAAATATCTGAAAACTGGGCTCACTTTTGAAGATCAGATTTTATTTAGGATTCACTTTACAAATGCAAATTTTAAACAACATAGAAATTCAGTTTTTTTTTTTAAAAGAGATAACATTCTTTTCATTGATTCCCCTACTTTACATGAACATTCTGTTAGATACTGTCTGGAAAAAATAAGTAAGAAATAATCTGTGCAACATAAAGGTGATTATATTCCATTAGGGAAATAAACACATAATATATTTTGGTATTATATAGCAAGTAGAATATTATACATAAATTTAAGAGGAAAAAAGGGGAAAGAACACCTACACCAGTCTATTTGTTTAAGAAAAAGCTCCTTGGAGGAGGTACCCTCTAAGTTGAGTCTTCAAGAGTAAGATTAAAGTAAAGAAAGGCAGATAGAACAGTTCAAGCCACGGCAGTATGTTACAGTGTGTTATGCAGGAGAAAAACTTCCAAGCATATTGGCAATTCAACTCTAAAGTGAAAGGCAGCTTTATTCTAACTAGTAAAAGATCAGTAAATAAAAGGTGCACCTATATGTCATGCAGGACTTAGTCAAATATAATTAAATATAATCCACTGAAAAAATAAAACTGAAGATAATTTTTAATTATTCTTAGGGTTGTATTACATATCTTTCAGATCAGAATGTCTGGTTAGATTGTTTACATGAAAGAGGAAAAATATTGTGTTTAGCAGATTCTTTAGAAATAGAAAATAGTTTAGTATTTTAAAAACTTGCCTCTTTTATTCTTTTCTATATTTTACTATGTTTCAAAATTGAATACTGTTTGAGAATTAATGTGTATTTTTGCATTTACTCCAGATTCCTAGGCTAACTCTTAATTTAGCATATAGAGCATATCTCAAATATTCAAAATATAGAACATTTTGATAGTTTTTCACTAAGATAACTTCAGTATAAATTAAGCAAATTAATGAGTCTTCTTTTACCTTGCCATCATACTATTTTTCACAAAGCAGCAGAGAGCTATTCCTTTAGCAATACTAAATACAGCTAATCTACAGTGAGGCCCTCTAATAATCTTGTTACTTATAATAACCCATGCCATGCTAACCACAACTCCAGTAAGAGCTGTTATTATTGCCTTCATTTTAAAAGTAAAGAATAGTCCACTCTAAAATTTGGATTTTAAATACGGAGTTATGCTGCCTTTGAGCACTCAATTTAACTTTATAATGAGAAAAAAATGATGGCAGAATAAAAAGGGAGTTATATAAACATATCTTAATTAATTTTTAACATTTTAAATTAAACTTAATACATTTGGCATATTTTTTCAACCTCATTGAAAAACTACAAAGGTTTCTAAAGACTAGTTACTGTTTATGCAGAAAATAACACCGGTTCACATTGTATTCAATGACCAAACAACAGGATAATTCTCTATGTTTCTCACATGTTTAGACGAGTTGAAGGCAAGCAGAATTGCTGCAATGGCATGCATGGGAAGGACACATTTTTATTTCAGTTATCCTCCCCTAAATATGAGATTTTCATTCATGGGATACTAGCTAGCCCATGAATTTAGCCAAGGATATAACAGTAGTTCATTTCTATAACAGAGGAGAAGACATAAGTCAGTATAGCTGAAAGGATCAGCATTTTAAAAGAATGATGGTAGTTGATGAATCAATTTCACCTATTACCATGTTACACTAATAAGAGAGAAAAAAGGATACTTAGAAATGAAGGGTAGTAAATATGGAGCAAATAAACTAAAATGATATAACAGAGTATACAATCAACGTATGGAATATACTACTACCGAATGTTATCTCATTGAATAATGTGAATAGATTCTTCAAACATCCAGGGGATTTTATGACCATAGACCACATTTATCTTCATATAAGTTAAAAAGATGGTAATCGGCCGGGCGCGGTGGCTCACGCCTGTAATCCCAGCACTTTGGGAGGCCGAGGCGGGCGGATCATGAGGTCAGGAGATCGAGACCATCCCGGCTAAAACGGTGAAACCCCGTCTCTACTAAAAATACAAAAAATTAGCCGGGCGTAGTGGCGGGCGCCTGTAGTCCCAGCTACCTGGGAGGCTGAGGCAGGAGAATGGCGTGAACCTGGGAGGCGGAGCTTGCAGTGAGCCGAGATCCCGCCACTGCACTCCAGCCTGGGCGACAGAGCGAGACTCCGTCTCAAAAAAAAAAAAAAAAAAAAGATGGTAATCAAATCTCATGCTTCTGGAAGGAAAGTGATTGCCTATTATACATTATTTTGGATAATGTTTTATTTGGTTTCCTCTGAATTATTGGCTGGCATAGGAAGGATACTAATAAATTGTCTTTTATTCTTTGGGATTTTTTGTTTGACTCACTTTGTGGCTCTGGTCTCCCATTGTTTTGTATTGCAGTTAATCGCGCACATATCCAAGCATTTTCCATCCTCAAATTATTAACTCCATACTAAGGAGAACTAAGTTGATCAAACGTGTATTTTCCAAATAACTATTAAAGTAAGTTACATATGATAAGGGGTCAATAAGTAATGTGCTATGCATTCTTCTCTCTTAGGGAAAAAGTGAGCTACTGAAAAGATTCAAATAGTATTCTTCTGAAACGGTGCTTAGAGAAAAAGAGTATTTTTTTCATCTATATTTAGTTATAGGTAACATGATTGATTAGCTGTATTATGCAGTTTTATTTTTTCCAAGATTTTATCAAGTTGTTTTTCTGAGACATAGAAAAGATATTATTATTATTATTATTATTATTATTATTAGTTTGAGACAGTTTCACTCTTGTTGCCCAGGCTGGAGTGCAATTGCGCGATCTTGGCTCACCACAACCTCCGTCTCTGGGTTCAAGTGATTCTCCTGCCTCAGCCTCCCAAGTACCTGAGATTACAGGTGCATGCCACCACACCTGGATAATTTTTTTTGTATTTTTAATAGAGCTGGGGTTTCGCCATGTTGGCCAGTCTGGTCTCTAACTTCTGAGCTCAGGCAATCCACCCACCTTGGCCTCTCAAAGTGCTGGGATTACAGGCATGAGCCATGGCACCTGGCCCCATTTAGCTTCTCTTTCAAAATTAGCCTGGAATCTCACCTCACCACCTGCACTTGGATAAGTCGCCAACACAGCCCAAAGCCAATCATTGACCACGTGGCTCACTGTAATAGCCTCCTAACTGGTCTCCCTGCCTCCACTGTTCTGATTCATTTCATCGTGGCAACCAGAATTATCTGTTTATAGTAACAGACACATCATGTTATCTTCCTGATCTAAACCTTCCCTTGGCTTGCCATCTTTTGTAAAATAAAATCCAAAGATTTTTGTCTTTTTCAGGACCCTACATGACCTGGATTATGATTGTATTTTCAGCTTCATTTCCTCTCGCATGTTTTCTATGTTGCTTTGACCCAGTCCTATTCTCGCCCTGCTATTCTGCAAGCGCATGCCTACAGTACCCACTTTTACCATTGTTCTCCTGGATACTTAAAGGGCTGTGTATTTCATTCTGATTAGTCACCTCCTCAAAGAAGTCTTGCATGGTGATTCCTATCTAAAATAGGAACCCCAGCCATAGTGATACCAATTATTACTACCTGACATTATGTTTTATTTTATATTTTATTTGCTCCTTGTCTGAATTCCTCACTAAAATGTAATGTTCATGAGCACGGGAACGTCATCCACTGCAATATTCCTAGTACTAAGAGTAACACCTATCACCTAGTAGGTACTCTGTAAATACTGGATGGATTAATGGATATTACATTTATTTATATTTATGTAAAATATGTTTAAAGACTACATATATTGCTTGCTAAATGGAGTCCAATCAATTTGAATGCATGTGCATACATACAGGTGCTCCTAATTTGTTACACGTGTAATTAGATAAGTGGCAATTTAATTGGGAGGGAAGAGCAGTATAACCTGGTAAAAATAAAATGGAGAGATGTGAACAAATGAGAGAAGAGAAACTCAAGGAAAGATGAAAAGGAAACACATGAAAATATGGAGAATCAGTAGACTAACACTCAAAAGAAAAAGAAGCAGTGTATGTGGGGACAACGAGTAAAGCAAAAGAGTAATTTGTAAAGAAAACACATAGCTCTACTTCATAAGGTGTGGATATTGGGTTATAGCAATGGGTGAAACAGAGTAGACAGTCAGCCTGGAGACCGAAGGATGCTAGTTAAGATGTGTTCCTTAAAGTGCTTTGCTTCTGGGCCATCTGCCTCACCAAGATATTCTTCCTATAACAAATGAGAGCAGGATTGCTAGCAAGTTAAATGACTCTGGCTCCTTTTTTTTAATTTTTCCCCCAGATTCTTAACAATGAAAGTTGTTCAGGCCTGTAAGTCAGATCATGACATCTCTATAAACTCATACATATTATTTCCCTGGCGCCAGAAGTTGATGTGTCATGGAAAGATGGCCTACAGCTATGCCTTATAAAGCTGAAAAAATAAAGCACACGATGTTCCTCCTGTTGTCAGGCATTCTCCTTACAACTAAACCATGCTGTCCCCCTTCATTCTGTTTGTTCTGACAAGTCTGCATGTCAGGCCATCTATTCCCTTTTACAGAGCTATGTTGATAAAGTGCTTGGTCATACTAAAAGTCCTGGAGATCTCATCAGTGCAAGATTTTCATTGAACCAGCTGCTTATAAAATTTTTCATGGCAAGTCAGCAAAGCTTAAGTGTGTAGCCATGGTCAGAGTACGGCTTAAATGAACTGGCCAGGCAGTTGCTCTGTGGGTTATTTGTAACGTGCATGACATCTATACTCAATGTTTTGACATGCTTGTTAATTTATCACTTGAATCCTAGAATAAACTCAGAAATTGTTTTTCTCTTTGTTTTTTCTATTTAGAAAGTGGTCACAATTACAATTAAATTCATTTTTTTTGAACTTCATTAGACTCTTGATGTTATCAAGGGATATCTCCAGAAATATGTTAATTAGATTAACGCATCTAATCCCCATATGTGTTAATATCACTCAAGTACTTTCCATGCAATATAAGAAAAAGACTTTTAAAAACTCCAGTTGGCTAAAGGTGTTGTGTAGTTGGCTGTACTCATTTCTGAAACATCAGCCCTCGGTGCTCATTATTCACCTGCCTCAGGAAAATTACTATTTATTTTAGGCTGTGGACCCCTGATCTCTTGCAAATACTCAAATCTGAGTATGAGAGTCCTTGGATATTAAGATTCCACTTCATGGCAGCCTTATGTATATCTCAATTCTTCATATTCCCTTGAATAGTGTGGACTGCCTAAGCTAAACTAAGAAAAGTGGAAACCAATTATCAATAAGATAGTGAAAAGAAAAGCATTTTATTCTAGGTCAATAAACACAAAATCAAATAAAGACTTGGAAAGGTATTTAGGAAGGAAATTATTAGAATAACTATTGAATTTCACTACTATAATTGACAAAGGAGACAAAGGGAATTAATTTGGTTAACCATCTTAATCTGTATTTAATTTATCCAATTTTATGAATGGCTGAAATTAAATTTTTGGTTAAAATTATGTAAATTTTTTTTTTCAGAAACTAGTCTAAAATGTCCGTATTTGTATACTAAACAAATTCTTAAGATGATTTCTAGATTAAGACTCACTAAGAGTCATATGGTCATATGCTTTAAACATCTAAAGTTATAAAGATTAATAATTGAAAATGTAGACATTTTCCAGAAAATTTTAAGAACATAATTAAATAATCCAATAAGAGCTATCTTCCATTTAAAGAGATATTAACCTTAATTTTTTCATGCAAATAATTATTTTAAAACACAGAGAATATCTAGATCAGTCATTTATATAATCCAAATTTATCAATTAAAAACCATTCTTCGCTCCACTTTTGTTTATTCATGGCCACTCTTTGAGGAAGTAGAAAAATATACATATTTCCTAAAATTGCTAGAAGTAATACAAAATGGTCAATAGAGTTTTAGACATTTAAAAACATCACCTCAATGTTTTATCTTCTAACTGGTAACTTTATGAAAATCACAGGGGTTACTGATTTATTATCTGTACATTTAGCAATATACAGTTAATAGATACCAGAGGCTATACAGTCTTGACATTTGGTATTAAAGATTTCTTGTGTATTATTTCTTTGTAATAAGACAGATCACTATGCATGTCTAAAATTAGATGGTAATTTGATAACAGTAATACATAAGCCAGTACTACACTTCCAAGGAAAGCATTCAATTTATTAACACACAGTGCAACTGAAGAAAGGTATCAAATCTAATTTCCTATGAGATCTTGATCAATTTAATAATGTCATTAAGAAAATTCCATTCATTGATTCATTAATTTATCAATTTGTTCTATAAATATTGCTACTGACAGATAGCCTAGATTTCAATCCTTACTTTACCCCATAGCAATTGTATGCCTTTGAAGGAGTTACTTTACATCTCTGAGCCTTTATTTTCTTATCAGTAAAGTGGGCATAATAACAGTAATAATTTTATAGGATTGTTTTTAGGATTAAATGAGTTGATTCATATAAAGCTTTTAGCAGAGCTCATGACACTCTGAAAACATTTGAGTTCTTACTAACATTTTTACATTTTTATGTGCCTGAAGCTATGAGACATTAAAGCTATAAAAGCAAGTAATAAAGATATAGTTTCTACCTACATTGAAAACCAAATAAAAACTAGTAGTTAAGAGAGATGATCGCTGAATAAACACTCACCATGTAAGATTGTGACGGTGACAAGTGACATAAGAGGTACAATCTTCTATGGAAGCTATAATAGGAGAATTTGACGTAGTAAGGGTGACTAGAAGTTGTTTTTGCTTTTGTTTTTAATGGCAAAGATAAGAGCATAGATTAAGTACTTTCCACAGAAGAAGCATATTTAGTACAAGAAGGTCTTACAGTAGTTTCCGTTATACAAAATAAATAAATAAGGACCTACAAGTGCAGAAATCCTCCCTTTTTCTTCTCAGTGAGAGAGATTTTTGAACTACACCTAATAGAACATTAAAACACCCCCTTCTGTCATGAAGAAATGCTCAGTATACCAGGTGAATGTAGTGACAGGCACTCACCACCTGAATAAGAGACTCAGGAAGCTGCAACAGATGCAGAATTTCCCATAAAATTTTAAGCTTTATTGAGGTATAATTGATGTACAAAAATTTTGCACAAACCTAACGTATACATTTTGATGAATTTGAACATACATATACCGCCATGTTACCACCACCAGAATCAAGATTCCAAATATATCTGTCACCTCCAAAAATGTCCTTGTGTTATTTTGTGGGGTGTGTGTGTATGTGTGTGTGTGTGTGTGTGTGTGTGTGTAGAATGCATAACATGAAATCTATTCTCTTAACACATTTTGAAGTACAAAATACTGTATTGTTAACTATAGGTATTATGTTGTTCAGCAGATCTCTAGAATTTATTCATTTCGTATAAGTGAAACTTCATTCCCACTGAGCAACAATTTCCCATTTCCTCCTTCCTTGTCCCTGCAACCCATTCTATTCCCTGTTTCTATTAGTTGGACTATTTCAGATATCTCATCTAAATGGAATTATGCAGTAGTTGTGAGTTTTTTTTCTGTGACTGGCCCATTTTACTTAGCATCATGTCTTAGGTTTATCCACATTGTTGCAAATTATAGTATTTCCTTTTTTAAAGGTGAATAGTATTTCATTTTATGTAACTGTCACATTTTATTTATCCATTTTTCTGTCAATGGGCTTTGAGTTGTTTTCATATCTTGGCTATTGTGAATAATGCTGCTAGGAAATTAGGGTGCAAATGTCTTTTCAAGATCGCGATTTTAATTCTTTTGAATATATACCCAGAAGAAGAATTGCTGGATCATATGATAGCCCTATTTTTAAAATTTTGTTGAGGAACCTCCATACTGTTTTTCATAGTGTCTGCACTTTCCACATTCCCACCAACAATCTATAGGGGAAAGTACAATTTTCCATGGAAGCCAAATCATCCTTTCTGAGCACAAATCTAGGTTGAACAATGTGCGTTGTACAGTAGGCTTGGAATAGCATAAAGGGATTGGTTCGTGAAGTCTAAAATCCACAGGATTTATAGATTTATAATGTCCATCTTTCTCTTTATTCTTGGGAATGTTGAGGTTGGGTAAGATTTGCTGGGCTCCCTGTGTCCTGCAAAGTAATAGCAGGGTATAGGATCTTACCAGTTTCGCACACAATATTGACTCTACCAAATTGGGAAGAAGGTTGCACGTTGAATAACCAAAATAAGGCATTTAACTACTAGAAGCTGGGTGGGAGAAAAACAAAGTAGAGTATAGGAGAAGGCAATAGACTATTTCAGAACTGTTCCCTTAGTCAGTATTTTCTTTTCTTTTCTTTTCTTTTCCAGATAGGTAATTCAATTTTTTTTTTATGAGATCTCACTCTGTCTCCCAAGCTGGAGTGCAATGGTGCTATCACGGCTCACTGCAGCATTGACCTACAGGAATTAAGCGATCCTCCCACCTCAGCCTCCTGAGTAGCTGGAACTACAGGTGCATGCCACCACATCTGGCTAATTTTTGTACTTTTTGTAGAGATGGGGTTTCACCGTGTTTCCCAGGCTGATCTCAAACTCCTGGGCTCAAGTGATCCACCTGTCTCAGCCTTCCAAACTGCTGGGATTACAGGCATAAGCCACTGCTCTCAGCCTTTAGTCAGTATTTTACAAACTCCTTTGAATATAAATACCTCCTAATTCACTTGTTAAATATATGGTTTCCCTAACACCTAGCTTGATGGGAACTAATATTTTGCATTTTAAATAATACCCCAATTGAATTTTTCTCATAAGAGGATATTAGAAAAAACTGCATTTAACAACACTGGCAATGGCTGTTGAAAAGAAAATAGAAATTGGTATTTAAACACAGGGAATATCATTTGTAGTTTGTGTAATAAATACATGTGAGATTAAATGCATAAAGTTCTTGTTATATAGTATGGATTTTATCTTCGTCAAAAAATTATCTTGTTATATTGACGAAGTTGCAAGTTCAAGAACTCTAGGATATTCTTGCGGCAAGGTCAGAACTGGTTAGATTTATCATATAGATTGTGGTGCCTAAGATTTACATCATTGTTTATATATTTCTATCTAAAAAATTGTCCTCGGTTTCTTAATTCAATAAGCCTATACACTGAACAGGTATAGGTGCTTTTTACTTATACCAAACACGTACACACAAAATATATGTCAGTGAATAAATAGATTTGTATTTACTTATTTTTAAAAACTTTTATTGTAGGTTCGGAGGCACATGTGAAGGTTTGTTTTATTACGTAGGTAAACTTGTGTTATGAGGGTTTGTTGTACAGATTATTTCACCACCCAGGTATTAAGCCCAATACCCAATACTTATCTTTTCTGCTCTTCTCCTTCCTCCCACTCTTCTCCCTCAGGTAGACTTCAGTGTCTGCTGTTTACAGTTGTCATATTTGTTCTGTATTTTGCTTTGTGGTAGCAATCCTTGTTACAGGTTTTCAGGCCTAAAGCTTTGAGCTGGTTCACCTGTCTGACATCTTTCCTTCACACCTACAACCAGAGAATCCTGGAGACTGCTCAGTGTGGCTGAACATAGATGAGCTATACACTTGCAACTCAGAGCTGAAAACCTTAATCCCTGAAGTAATCTCCTACAGCCTTCAGGTCTTTGGATAATTAACACTTTTATTGAAAATCTTAAAAATCTACTGGAGAATATTTCTAGAGTTTTACAAGATTTTGAAGGTGTGATTCTCTTTCAGTACAGTGAGTTATGCCATTAAATTCCCCCAAATACCTGAAAAGCCCATATGTTTAACGTGCATGCTCTTCCATTGTAGGTTGAAAGCTAAGTGCAAAGGTATAGTATCTAGGGTTCTTCTGTGTCCGTTAGACCAAACCACATCCTATGATGTTTTTGTTACTCTTAAGATACTGTTATTTTTCAATCTTTGCTATTTTTAAAATCTATGTAGGAAAAGGAGATGTGAAAGAAGCAAGAACAAAAAGCCCACCTTTCTCACAATGATTTTGCATTCTCATTTCCATATCTCTTCAAAGGGTTTGGCCTAATTTGGGGTAGGTTTTCATCTCACTAAGTCAGTCCACCCATGCTAATTCAACGTTGCCTTAAGTAGCATAGATATCAAAAGTATATCCTGCTGCTTAAGTATACTGCACTCTTCATTAAGGATTGAAGGATATATGTACAAGGTAATGAGTACCCATGTGAGTTTTATAACCATCATGAAAATTGGTTGCTTTTCCATGGCTGTTTCTTGTATCCCGATTTCAAAGCCCCTTCCAATGCCCCTCTCCCTCTTTCTCTTTCTCTGTCTCAATACTCTCAATGGAAACTTCACTGATAATACAGTGGCAATGCATTTAAATGTTAAGTACTGCAAGGAATATTTTTATATTAAATACATTTCTAATTTAGGTTGGAAAATGTTTGCTATCCAATTGGTAACTTATTTGCTAATAAAAGTTATAGAATAAAAGCAACCACTCCTTTCCTAATCTAAGCAGTTGTGTCCCATGGATTTATGCAAATATATAGGAACTTGAGAGTTTTCTAAACCATCCTCATGTAGCAAATATTTGGAAATTTGAAAAATAAATGAAATGACAGCTTTGGCAGTGTTGGCTTTCTAGTTGGTATAATACGCCTCTAAATGAAGTTAAAGTCTGATATTTGTTAATTATACTTTCATCTCTAAAAAGTACCTCTTACTTCTATTGTTCTTCAGCGACTTCTCATATCTGTTACCTCCTTAGAAGATGAAAATAATGGAGCATCCCAGCCGTGCAGAAGGATTATTTATACTGATAAAGGACCCACTGGGATCCACCATAATTCAATAGAGCATCATGTTGACAATGGGCCAGTAGCCAGTATTTTACCTTTACTCTCCTAAAGAATGAAGCATTCTTAGCCTGACTCACCTGCACAGTTTCAGGATAGATGCATCAGATTTGCTGTGCTGAAAGGCACTGGAGTAGAGGTGCCCAATCTGGCCTATTTGCAGATCCACATAGATATCTTGTTAAAAATAAGAATATAGAGCTTCACCTCAGACAGAATGAATCTTAAAATTTTCACTTGGGTTTCATGAAACTATACTTACCACAAAGTACTAATTTTCAGAAAAAGAAACTACGAACAGAAGTTACTTAGTGGTTTGTGCAGGAACTCACATTTTCAGTGTCCCCATCTATTTTCACAGTTACAGCATGCTGATGAATATATTCTAAGAAACACAATGGGAATAAAACATCTCACCAAACCATGAACTCTTTATAACAAAGTCTTTGCTAACTTGTGGCATAATCAGTATTTCCACTGCACATCTTGTGCCTAATCCTATGTAGAAACTGGAAGAAAGAAGTTTAGCTCTCTTGAAACACTACACCAGGAAGCATTTGTGTATATGTTGCCAATATTCAATCAGATTTAAGACAAAAAATTTTAAACAAATTACATACTACTTTACTTTGGAAAAATAAAACATATATTACATAAAATAAACTATATGTTTCTTTGGAAATTATATTTTGATACTGAAAAAAGTCATTGGGTATTAATAGTGTGATTTGGTTTAACTAAATTCATTGTCATGGTTTTTACCCTTTATAATATTTTTATATATATACACGTATATATATATATATATACGTGTATATATATATTGTGTAGGTCTTATTTACAAAATATATGCATTAGCTTAAGAGAAAAAATAACAAATTATAGTAAATGTGATAACCTGTTGTCTTTTTAAAATTTCACTTTACATAGGTATGTCATATGTCCTATTTCATTAAAATAAACTTTTTTAATATTACTGTGCTGTTGAATGATTCTAGCTTTGTAATGGTTCTTTTTTGAGTTTATAATATTTTATTAACAAAAACATGCTTTCATTTAATTACAGGAAATTATCTAGATTTGATTATATTTTATTTTTTTTTTAATTATACTTTAAGTTTTAGGGTACATGTGCACAACGTGCAGGTTAGTTACATATGTATACATGTGCCATGTAATGGTTCTTAAAATAGTTTAGGAGTATTCTGAATATTGTGGAAGATGCTGGACTCTATGTGGTGGCTCTAACAACATACAACTTTCTGTCCCCCAAAAGGGGGTTGATTTGCTTTGCTAGTTTCCCCATTATATAAGAGTCCAAGTGTTAAATACTAAGTTAAAATTGGTCTAGATGATAAATACCTGAGAGGATGTTTGGTTTATTCTTGCACCTTCGCGTCTGGAAGCATCAGGCACCCGTGAGAGTCCCTGATTTAAGCTCTGCTCACTTTCACCTTTGCATAAAAAAGCAGAACACATTCAACTGTTATTTTTAATCGTTCTTTTCATAAGTAATACAAGTTTTCTTGTGTGTTGCGTGTGTGTGTGTGTGTGTGTGTGTGTGTGTGTGTGTGTGTGTGTGTTTTCTAAAGAAGCAAAACAAAAATGATGAAGCAAAAAAAACAATCTACAACTTCGTAATTTGCCAGTTACAGCCGGTGGTGCTTTTACATTGCTGCTGCCACCTAGTGGCTACCTTGTAGAAATCTATCCGCTGGTTCTCGGGAAAGAAACTGCAGAGGGCTCCTCAAACAACGTAGCAAGCAGTCAAAATTGATTTTCCTATTGTGTTAGTCCTCCTTGCAACATAAACATGTCCTAACAGAAGGAAAATATTGCTTATTAAAAAACGTCCTTAATCAACAAGGAACAGAGTAGATGATAAAATCCAATGAATGCTTTGGAGAAATACAACTTATTTAACTTGTATATGCAAATCCACGATAGCATCTCTTTTTCTGTGATTTCAGACTTTCTGTTGTTATTTCATATAGTAGATTCACTGGTTTCCACAGAGTAAAACGGGAAAAAAAAGAAGTAGAGATGGGTTAGAAAGACAGATGAGAAGAAACCTGAGATAAGCTCTGTGTTTTGTCTGCTAATTTGTTGCTTTCTGGGTCCTAAATGTGATGATTGTGGTAATTGTTTGTGTTGTGGGCTTTTCCCCCAATTTTTCTTTATACTTTGCATTGTACAGAAAAGAATGAGCCACCCAGAGATTATAGTTGACTGTTCATCAAGTAGGGCAAATGAGCCAATGTCCTTGGAAATGTTTAGACAGAAACAGAGCATCCCTTCTGGTTTCCTGAGGCAATTTCAAGGGAGAATTAATTTATTTACTAATTTTCTGAAGAAATAGGTGACCACTGACTTGAAGTAGGATTGGTGTTTAGAGCACAGAAATAAAGATTAGAAGTGCGCAAGCTTGTGGCAATACAAAGCAAATATATATATTAGTATGTTATATATTATATACTAATATAATAAAAGATTAGAAATGTTATCAGAATATCAGAAATGTCAGAAATATTTTTACCACTTCAGCCTCACATCACAAAAATTGGCAATATCGTCAGCTATTCCTGTTGCATATCTCAAAACATCATTCTACACAGTGAATTTATATTACATGCAGATCTTTATCATAAGCAGTGTGGTGCAGAAATCCTGTTATAAAGAAAAATGGACAATATACATTTTAAAGAAGTAATGGAAAAGTATAACGGAGTTATCCAATGGTAATTCAGACAATACTTGGGTGGTATATCAACCAAGGTACAATAGGAAATAGCAGCTTGGAGTGATTTATCTACGTTCTTAAAGAGAAGGAATTTCATACAGGAGATTAGGATACAAGTCATGAAATGCATTAGAAACCCTAACTCAAAAGCTGGGAAGTACAAGAAGCTGCTACCACTCCTCTACTTGATCATCAAAGGACAGAACTGACAGTACACACAGGAAGAGACCAAGGCCACCCAAAAGAAGCCTATACATGGTAGACCAGTCTAGGTGAAGGGGAAGCTTTGAAGCAGATACCACTATTGCTAAAGAAGCAAGGAGAAAAGCTCTGACACTTTCTTTACCCTTACCCTACAGTCATATGAGCAGGTCTTTAATTGGCTGAAAATAGTAGGAAGCCTGATGAAAAGTGATCCTAAATATGTAGCGTGCAAAAGTGATGATCTCCCAACATAGAATAGAGATAAGAAAGGGAGATGAATGAATTTAAGATCAAAACAAGCCAAGACAGGCATCAGTAAGGACAGTAAGAAGCACAAAAACCAAGAGGACTGACAGGGGAACAGAACATGACCTGAAGGATGAAGGAAGTATGAAATATAATGAAGGAGAAAGGAAGGAGAAGAATATATCAGGGCAGCAAAAATAATAAGGCAGGATTCCAAGGAAAGACTGTGAATGGTGTTATCAGGAACAGCGAGGAGAAGACTAGACAATTTGAAAAAGAGCATGCGGCATCTAGACAAGTTTGGAGAGTCAAGAAGACTTGAATGCTAGAATAAGAAACTGGAAATCAATTCTATAGACTATCCATTTCCAGAAGCTTATCATACAGGATGATAGTTCTGGAAGATGCTACAGCAGCTTGCTTGTTAAAAGGATGTTCATTGTCAAAGAGTTGGGGAAATGTTAGTTTTTAGAATCTTTTATATGCTACTGTGCTCTCTGGATCCATGAGATGTATATCATAACGTAATATAAAGTTTCATAAATGTGTTTATTATCATAATGTAACAAAGTTTCATAAATTTATTTATTTGTATATTTATAATACATCTTATTGGTCTAGTGGTTTATTACAAGGCACTCTGGAAAAACTGCTAAATAATTTTGAAATCCTGCCATTTGCCAGCAAACTGAATGAAGAGTGAGATGTTCATAAGGCAACTAATTCCCAAAGATTGAAATAAGTAAAAAAATACTGTTATAAGAAACTTGAATTGATTCAAATTTCCACTAATTCATAGTTTATGATCCATTCCCTGGAATTATACTATTAATTGAAAATATGTTTTAAAAAAACAAGTGTTTTAATGGGTTTTAATGTAAAAGATTTGATCTGAAAAAGACAGCTAATATTCATAATTACAAATAATTCTCATGTATTCACTGAAGTAAAATGATGGGGCTTTTCATTCAGTCAGGAGTTTTAGTTGCTCAAATATTTTTATGAAACAGTTTAAGGTTATTCTGATTGAAACTATTATCTAATTTGAAATTGTTCCAGGCCGTCTATTTAGAAGGTCAAAGTGGCTCTAGACAGAAATGTTTAAAACTACTGAAACAAACCTCATTGTTCATGGGTATCCAGTAATAAGAAGGAAAGAATTAACAGCAGGCCTGTAGCACACTCCTTCCATACAGGGACACTGGAGTGGTGGGTGGAGTCTGACTTTGGACAGACCTCTTTGCAAATATTAATAGAGTGCATTGATGGAAACATGCTAGGAGTCTTTATCTATAAAATATTTTAGGTGGATATACCTGACCAGTCTAGACTGCTTATTGTAGATAAATCTGGGATTTATGGTTTGTGGAACTTGAATGTCTGGGAAATGAAGAGTAGTTACATAAGCTGTCAAATTAGTGGAATACAAAGCAGGGACATTTCAAAATTGAAATGGCTCATTTTTGAGTTTAATGCTTTTGCATATATTGCTAATAAACCTCATAGTTAATCCTACACCAAAATGCCAACCAGGTTGGAACAGAATTGATATTTTGGAGAGCTGAATTTGAAAATTTCGAGTTCCTCCAGGGAATATCTTGATGTTTGCTTGTATCATTTGAGTCCTGAGCAGATCTGGTTCCTGGTTAAGATCCTCAGTCTGATTTAATATTTCAACCCTTTTTGACAACACAGATTGGTAGAGTAGGCATGATTAACTTTTAGACCTGTAAATTATGATCACTCAAACACTTTTTAATAAGAAATGAGGGTTTCATAATGAGGGTGTAACATAATGAGGGTTTGTTGCCGGAATAGTGTATTCTTGTTATGAAGTAGCAAAAACCTTGACTCCATCTATGGAGGGAAAGATTTAACAGTGGAATTTATGGGAAATAGGTTTAGATCTAGGGAGATTAGCTAAGTGAATACACAAATAATGTAAGTTTAAAGAAGGTTATAAAACCATGCTATTCCCTAGCTGGTGATAGCAGTCCTCATCAAACACAGAAAAAAAGACAGACTTTTAAATCTTTTTAAACGTCAAACATCAAAAACAGAAAAAAAAGAAAGACTTTTTTTTAATTGATTACTGAACAAAGACATTGTATTCAATCATAACCCAGGTGACCTCAGATTCCAGAGGTTACTCTGGTTAGAGCTGGGGTTCTTTATGAAGACATCAAAGAACGAGTCTGATGAATTCCTGTTAGCATGAATTATCAGAAAAAAGAAGTGATTTGGGAGCATGTCACTAATTTTATATACATTTGAATGAAAGGGGTTATGTCTCAATTCCAGATGGCGGAAAACTATTGTGAGAAGCGGCTTTCAGATGGTTTAATATATACCTTGTAACAATGGGTAATGATAAGGTTTCTGAAGGCTTATACCGAGTGAGGTAACCTCCCTACACTCTCCTTTACCAACAGATGGAATGACTTTCTTTCTTTTTTTTTTTTTTTTTTTTTTTTTTTTTTAGATGGAGTCTCACTCTGCCACCCAGGCTGGAGTACAGTGGCAGGATTTTGGCTCACTGCAACCTCCACCTCCTGGGTTCAAGCGATTCTCCTGCCTCTCAGCCTCCCGAGTAGCTGGGATTACAGGCATGGACCACCATGCCCAGCTGATTTTTGTATTTTTGGTAGAGATGGGGTTTTATCATGTTGGCCAGGCTGGTCTCAAACTCCTGACCTCAGGCAGTCTGCCCGCATTGGCTTCCCAAAGTGCTGAGATTACAGGCTTGAGCCACCGTGCCTGGCCACAATACTACTTTCAAAAGAGTACATAGGTGCAAGCAATCCAGATTGGCTATACCTGATCAGATTGACACACTTAAATTCATGCTATTTGCACAAACCCTGGTAGATGCAAAAATATATCAACTATGCTCCAGGGATTTGGGGTCATTGAGGAGGAGAGGAGAGGAGGGAGTAAAATAATATTCCAAAAACAGCAATTGGTCTGCTAGCTAAGTGATCATGCGTGGGGCTGAATGATGAAGAAAACATTTATGCTATACAAAAAGATGTTACTATGGGGGATGGGTGGAAGGAAAGAAAGAAAAGAAAAGCAGGGAGAGGGCCTGATAACCGACTTAGCTGAATGAAGTTTTTCAGGTGGCTATTGAAAAATAGGAAAAAATGAGGAAACTGACGGGGCTGCCATCATTAAGCTGGTGGGATGTTACAGATGCTTGAGGGGATAAAACATCTACTTTAGCACCTCCCTAACCTCTTAAAGTGCTCCCTCAATTTAGTCAATATATCCTCTCCTGGACAAATTCAAATCCAATCATGAAGGATTTAGAATGAAGAATGCTTAAACAAAGAGCCGAATTTACACTATCAGTTAAAGCTATAGATTTGAAAAAATATAAACTACTAGGTTGATATCTATTCATCTTACCCATAGTGGGGCATTAAAGGCCTTTTGATTTTAAATATTCCAGTAATTTTATGCAAAACTATCACTGGATACAATTTCTCATTGTATAGGTATTCCCAAGGGGGATAGAAAGAAATGGTCAAAGGTAAACCAGGATTATATAGAGATGTCCTGATAGGAGAGTTATGCTACAAATTAGAAAATGTGACTAGAAGAAATATTAAATATTCTGGGTGATACGATTTGGCTCTGTGCCCCCACCCAAATCTCATGTCAAATTGTAATCCCCAGTGTTGAAGGAGGGCCCTGGTGGGAGGTGACTGAATCGGGGGGCGGACTTCCCCTTTGCTGTTCTCATGATAGTAAGTTCTCACGAGATCTGGTTGTTTAAAAGTGTGTCCACTTCCCACCCCCTCCTGCTCCACCATGTGAAGATGTGCCTGCTTCCCCTTCGCCTTCCACCATGATGATAAGTTTCCTGAGGCCTCCCCAGAAGCAGAAGCCAGAAGCCAATTAAACCTCTTTTCTTTGTAAACTACCCAGGCTCAGGTAGTTCTTTAGAGCAGTGTGAAAATGGACTAATACACTGGGGTTGTGTTGTTGTTATTGACATGCACAATTGGAATGAATATTGAGTCTCAATGAGAGATTCTGCCTTTACTACACTTGCATGAGTTAGCCCTTCCCTTGGTTTCAAATGGACATGATAAAGGAGAACCTTTATAATTGCCCAAGCCCTTATTGGATGTAATAAATAAGAAAATGGTAGTAGAGGAAGTACAGTGAGTGTTCTTAACCTCTTTTTTTCAACAGCCTGTCTGGCCCGCACATGAGGCAAACTGATTATGGAAATTAAGAGTGCATTGCTAGGGATCAAAGAAAGTGCTCCCCACTATTTCTTTAGCTACACCCAAGAGAGTAAAGACTATGCAAGAAGTACCTGAAGTGTGCAACAGGTTACAAGTGATTGAAAAAACATGAAAGACTTGGCTAAGGACTTTTTTCCATACCCATTTTGAGGTCCAGCCAGGCACAATTTGCGTTTTTATGGAATAACGTTCCATATACATATATTTTTTTTCACGTGGATACTTGAATTTACAGCCATACTGTCATAATTCAATGTGATAAGCCTTGAACCTGATGACCATTAAGAATACTTTATGGCCAGGTGTGGTGGCTCATGTCTGTAATCCCAGCACACTATGGGAGGCTGAGGCAGGTGGATCGCTTGAGTCCAGGAGTTCAAGGGTAGCCTGGGCAACATGGTGAAACCCTGTCTCTACTAGAAAAAAAAGGAAAAAATTAGCTGGGCATGGTGGTGGGCACCTGTAGTGCCAGATACTCAGGCAATCTGCCTGGAGGCTGAGGTGAGAATTACCTGAGCCTGGGAAATTGAGGCTACAGTGAGCCCTGGTTGTCCCAGTGTGCCCCAGCCTGGGTGACAGAGTGAGCCATTGTCTCAAAAAAATAATAAAACTTTACTGAACTACATTCATAATATCATGATAATTTTCTCCCAGAGAAAGCAGTGCAAAGAGTTAAGGGCTGTGGTGCTTTATAGCCTGTTGAGACTGACTGATTAAAATATAAATCCTGGCCCATTCTGTGAAATTTTGCTAAGTTATGTGGGACAGAGAACAGAGACATCCTTTGAACTTTGAGAAGTAAATTATTATCTCTTACTTACCTCTCTGATAAAGAATAAGCTTGGAGATTGGTGGGACTGTTTGTGGAGATCACATCAACCCACCTAGGAATGCTGCTGAACTCTATGACTAAGAAGCCCAAAGCTCTTAAAAGTTCTAGATTGTGGTTGGAAAAGCCAGACTAAGTGTTTGGGTATGTTTAAAATAGACATTTTTGCTGAGATAGAAAGTAGATTGATTGTGGATGAAGAAATACTGAAAAATAGTAAATATATACCACTCAGAAGAGCAAGGAAAAGCTAACTTCTTTTAAGCACTGTGGTTTATGAATTGGCTCTATCACCAAGCAAGTGCAGGCTGGCACTGAGGGAAATCAGGTAAAATGGAACTACAGAACAGTGGAAGAGCCACAGATTTGTACCACTGGCTCTACTTATCTGTGCTCTGTCATTCTACCTCCCATGGCCAACTCCACATAGGTAAATTAGACCTCTATAAGAAGAGAGATTCTTAGCTTGTAAATAATATCCATGAGAACATCCTACTTACTCTGCCCAGAGTTGTTCTCTGCAGTACTCATTGGTAGAATTGGGTTCAACGTAGAGAATATTTAGACTATGCCATTAGCTCAGAGGATGGTGGCATTGAGGTTCCCATGCAGAGTCTTACAACATTCTTACAGGTAGTGCAGTCTGAAACAAAACTCTGGGATAGATTAGCCATGCTTCTGACATATTGTGACATTTCCTGTATAAAACGATACATAATCTGTATAATGTTTTAAGGAAAAAACTACGAATTCCTGATTCTACAAACACGTACTGGAGTGAGAAAATAAAATATATAAAAGATCAAAAGCCATTGTTACTTAAATGTGAGACTGAAGAGAACAGCAATATATAGAGATTGCAGGCCCAATGTGTGATTACACTCCCCATGCATTTTAAGGGCTGTGAAAGAATATCTGATTTTTTTTTCCAAAGTCATATAGTAAATAGATAGCACTAACAAAGTCAAATATTAATAACCAAGAACTACAGATCCTCAAATCCCCTTTCCCCCAACCAGCAAAACCCATAGAAATTTACACTGACCAAAGTAAATAGAAAATAAAAGTCAAACCACTTAAACGGTTGACATTTAGGGATAGAGCCAGGCACTTGCTTTATCTTTCAGAATTACCAGGGTTATAACATTAACAGAAAATAAGTGATATTATAGACATGGAGTAAAAGTTGGAGTTAAGGTCCAATGAGCAATAGTTTAATTAATAACTGCTGGTGATTAACATAATTTTAAATTTTACCTTGGCAATAGAGAACCGCTTAACTTTGCACATCATAACTGCCTTTTCTTTTGATTTTCTAAATAGGAAAGAACTAGTTTAAAGAAAAATAGCATATAGTCATGGCTATGTAGGTTATACCCCAAATTAATTTTGAACTGATTAGTTGTAACGAACAGAGTTGACTTAGAATATAGGGTATCTCATTGACAAATTTTTTTTCTCTGTTTCTCTGTTATGCTGTCCTTTTGGAATATAAATTTACAAATGCATTCTTTTGATGAATTACTTGACTGACCCAGAACAAGAATAGGGTTTACCTTATTAAATTGTTATAGTATAGTCCAAAGGTTGTTCTTTTTGGTGAATGTTCATGATAGGTGACCATGGCCAAGTATATAATGACTATTGTCTTTAAATGTTGGTTTCAGGTTCTGACTTTCACTCTGTGGTATACACTGTGAGAATGCTTAATAGAAAGAAAAAGAAAAAATCATAGTCTCTTCTCTAGCCAGACAGTACTAGGCATGATGATGTTTGTGGTAGTGTGGGTACTGAAAACTATCAGAAAATAAAGGTAAAATAATAGGAAACAACAATTAACCAGTCAGAAATGTCTTCTGTAGAAAAGGAGAGGGCTCAGTCCTTCATCACTTGAAGCCATTTCAGCACCGAGTAATCATAACTTCAAAAATGTCTGGGTATAACTTTTATTTTGGATACAACTTGCTGCTCTACCCAATATCTTTTGCTGTGGAATCTTTTATTCACTATTAGTCCTCCTGAGAAAGAGTGATTTTTTTAAAAGAAACTTTTCACAGGAGTTTTACAGAAAACATATTACCTGGCCGTCTGAGATTCAGGGAAATCTGAATGACTATTCCTCTCTCAATGCAAAAGAAAATGTGGCAGAAACCAGGAACTGTGAATTCACTGGCTACAGGTTTTAAAAATCCTGACATGTAAAAGAAATATTAAATTTAAAAAGATTATACGTGGTTTATTAGAATTTCTAAAATTTATTTGACTTTCTTATGATATTGCTAAAGATGTTAGGCAATGCACGTGACTTTTTAATTCTTTGTGATGTCTGTATCAAAATACACAAAGCACTATACAAGTTATGTAATCTGTGGACCCTAGATTATTTTCATTGTCATCATCAGAAGAGGAAGAGGAAGGAGAAGGAGAGCCACAACAATGATGCATCAGTTACAACAACATGAATGAGAAACAAAAACAGTGAGGATAATTGAAAACCTATTACATGTTTGACACTAGGCACTTAGCATGCATTTTTTGTTACTGTTTTGGTTATTCCAGTAATGCTATAAATAACTGTTATCTTTATTTTATAAAGAAAGGAAATGAGGCCTAGAGAAGTGAGGAAACTTGCTGAAGTTCATTAATAATAATGAGCATGTGGCTTTCAAGTTCAGTCCAACTGCTCATATTTGTCTCAGAGTTCACCGAGCAACTCGTATAGAAAGTGTCCCTTGGCTCAGATTCAGAAACAAGAATTCTATTATACGTTGCGCTAAAATCTTTCTATCAGAAAATAAATAAGACTCAAGCAGAGACACATCTCACATCATATCCTGACACAATTTAAAATAAGCTTTTTCCCCCTTTATGCTGCCAAATACTAAGGTAAGTTAAAAGCCACAGAGAAAAACAAAATATTCCGTATTTGGGGCAACTTCCATGGGGTGGTTTCCCAGCAAACTTGCAGAATGAGAATGCCCTCCTTCCTCCCAAATATTCCCATATCACCCAAAATCTATCCTGAGACAATCCTAGAAATGCTAACAATTTGAAAATGAAAGCTTTCATGGAGAAGATTTTCTATCCTTTCTCTTATACACAATAATAAAACAACTGAAGATGATAAAGAGCATTTGTCTTTCAGTGAATATGGGAAATGTCAGAAAGTGGCCGCAATTTTACTCATAATATATCTAAATTTAAAAGAAAAGATTTGCATATAGGTAAATATTATTAAACAAAGGTGCCATATTTCTTTAGAAGCATTTTATTCCTAGTTCCTTCAATAAGCCTTTGACCAAAGTCTGCCCTTGAAAACACACAGAAGACTTCCACTAAAGTCAAACATTATGCATACACATTTCTAGGACCAAATTTGGCCTGATGCTTAATTAGTGTCTGGCTGTGATTACATCTGTAGTGTTGAATTTTCAAATCTAAATTTTCAGTGTTGCAACAAAACTTTGTCAAATTTCTTTAATTTCTGCAGGGGAAAACAACATCAAGAGTAGTTTGATATTTTAGACTGAAAAAAATGTTTTTCCTTAGTTTGCAACAAATATCTCTCAAGTTCAAAAAAGAAGACAAGTCATTTAAATAGTGAAATTCTGTAAATAAATAAGCATTGGCCTCTTGAGTTTGACTTTTGGATGCTGAGAAACTTTCAAATAATATTGTTCTGGGCAATGGGTACTGCTGTTTTTTCTCTCTCTTATCTGAGGAACGAAGGGCATTTTCCCCTTTTTTTCTTCTCTTTTTTGTTTCTCTCTGTGTTTTTTCCTTCTATTTCATTAATCATTCACAAGTAGCTAGCTAGTAAGTATGATTCAACTCTTGTGAGACAAATAAACCCATACTTCCCTGTGCCTTACTGCCCCAATTTTCCACTGTTTATCTCACACATCAGTTACTAAGCTGGGTAGAAAATTGTCTCTCTTAGGAGGGGTGTTCATTACTATTAAAGGGCGTTTATTTATATATATTTCACTAGGGTTTGTCATTTCTTTTTGTATCTTCAGTTGCAAAAACTTACTTCATACTGAGTTTCAACTTGAGGAAAAGTTAAAAATCTATGCTGTGAAACTTTTTTGAGTATTGCTTTCAGCTTTACAGCCGTATTCTCCAAGGATCAATGTAGTCACTATTTGCAAGATCAAATGGCTTGACTATAATGTACATTACATATAAAATACTTTATCTGAAGTGCCCCAACTGATGGAGGCTGGCACTTTCATATAAATGGCCTTTGAAAATAAAAATTTGGAACTAGCATGTATTCTGTTAGTCTAACCTCAAATTCATTTTTCAGTCGACAACAGCTGGGCACAATTTAAGTTGATTACGGTTAGCTATCGTCTATTTTATATTTTTAAGCATCAATTCTAGTTAGTTGGCATGAAGTGTTTCAATGATATTTGATGTTCAAATAGTGTTCTTAAAAATTCTCATCACCTCAAGGCTACCTGCATAGCCCAAGGCAGTATCCTCACAATGCTACAGAAGCTGACAGGAAAGTGAAAAATTCTTTCAACTGGTTGTTACTGATCTCAAAGTAAGGCTATGTTCTTCAGCACTCCTGTATCCATTTTATTTCTTAGAACATTTTTTGGTCAATTACATATTTCTTAGGAACTGAAGTTAACTCCTTTTACATACAAGTATCTATAGGGTCTGGGTAGCTTGATATCAACCATGGGCATTTAGGAGACTGTCCTTTTGTTGGGCGAATCTTAGACTTTACTAAGAGTCCGACTAAAAAGCAGCCCCATAAAGTTAAGAAAATGGAAAAAAATACTGTATTCAGTTACCTGTTCTGAATAATCCAAGGTTATAAGACATTTCTAATTTCCTGGGGTCCCAGGTCACATTATGTAGTTAAAATATTATGTGGTTAAAATGAATTGCTACGTAGATAAAATGTATTATTTGTAAATATTGTAACTTATTGCCAATGAAGATAAATTTTTTTCTGTAATGTAATATTGACTTTTATAACAGCAAGAAAATCTTTCCAATAGTCTATAATTGATGATGTAGACTTCATGTGACATGATCAAGAGTTATAACTTAACATATATTATTTCTAAGTTAATATGATTGATAATCTGTATGTCTGAATTCTGTTATACAGAAGAACCAGGAAAAAATAATTACTTCCATTAGAAGCCTCCAAAATCTTTTTATAGACTATAATCAGTGATATGATTTACTCTTGAAGTGCTACCCTAAGACAAGGAACTTTGATAAAAATTCTATTCTTCATTGTAATGGATGATGCTACTGACCCATCGCCAATAACTGCTTTCTATCATCTTATTCGCTGAATTATCCACACTCTGTCTCTTACTTTCACTAAGAACAAAGCACTTGCTTTGCAAATAAGGAAAGTGATATGCACACACGTGTGCACACACATGCACACAGACACACGCGTAAATGTGTTTCAAATATCTTGTGCAGTTAATATATTTCAAGTTTTTAAAATCAAGGAAAGCAAGGAAACATGATTCTTAATGAAATAAGAATAGAAATATTAAAATATTACAGCAGACATTTAGAAATGCTTCTGTTTGTAACTGAATCAAATCTAGATGTTCATTTAGAGGCATTTAGAAATATTAAGATTATATGACACCTGACAAGTCAAAATCAGTATTTTCTTGACTTTCTTCATTCTTTCAAAGCAAATTTAGAACCTGGATATATCTCCAGGAATGAGATTCATTGTTTAACTTATTTCTTTAAGATGTAGTTATCTTCACACATATAGTTTTTAAAAGTCTTAATATTTCTTTTGAAATCTGAAAAAAAATCTTAATATTGGGGAGCAGGTTGTGTGCATTTAAGGCAAATTCAGTTCAGTTACAGATGGGCTGTCCATTTTTTAGCAGTGCTAATTTCTGCTTCTAGATCTTGAAAATTCATTAACATCAATAAGAATTTATCAAGTGCGTATTATGTGTCATGCACCTGTAAAGAAGGGGCTTCAATGTTTTAAAAATATTTATTTATCCTCTTTTAGGAACTCATAATACATTAAACATAGATGAAGCCAGGCATGGTGGCTCACACCTGTAATCCCAGCACTTTGGGAGGCCGAGACAGGTGGGTCACCTGAGGTCAGGAGTTCGAGACTAGCCTGGCCGACATGGTGAAACCCCGTCTCTACTAAAAATACAAAAATTAGTCGAGCATGGTGGCGCATGCCTGTAATCCCAGCTACTGAAGGAGGAGGAGAATCGCTTGAACCCGGGAGGCAGAGGTTGCGGTGAGCCAAGATTGTGCCATTGCACTCCAGCCTGGGCAACAAGAGCAAAACTGTCTCAAAAAAAATAATAATAAAAAATAGATGAATAGGCAAATTATTACTGTATAATGTGTGAAGTAGAATTATCATAAAATTACAGGCTTCAGTGGAAGCATATGGATGGGTTTGGAAGATATGAGAAATCATTGTGCTTGAAGATAACAGTACTAGTTGTGACACTACATATATATATATATATATATATATGAGAGACTAAACAGAATATGTGTTTGAAATTCTTCTTGCTTTATGGCCTACCTGAAGGATGTACTTAGAGACATCCAACTTATACCGGATTGTCAAATTTTTAACTAGTTTACAATGCACAACTAATCCATATAAAACAATATTGTTTGAAGGTAGAATTAAATTTATCTTTAAGACATTTGTTCCTCTCATACTGTTCTATTACATATTGCTGTTCCTAAGCTATACTAGTGTTATTATTTCTCCAAATGTATCCAGTCTAACAGACTTATACAGGAATTAATGCTACTTGGTTTATCCAAATCATTGCAGGCAGTCTTTGAGTGAGTAAATATAGTTATATGGTAGAATTGCATGCATAATAGAAAAAGTAGCTTTTACCCCCCAAAAAAATCCAAAAGAAGGTGAATAAGTTTTGTTATCTGTGGAAAAGGTATCCCCAATTTTGACTTTATAGCTCTTTCCTGATTTTAAAATATATTAACAGCAGGAAAAGACCTTGAAATAATAATATACTTAGATAAAACAAAATAAACCAGAAAGCTACTTAATACGTCACTTGCTTCTTTTTATTAGTATATCAGCACAATATTTTTCTTTTAAGTTTTATTTAGGTATACTTTACATAAAAGAATTTACCCATTTTATTTTCTTTTTTTTTCTTTTCTTTTTTTTTTATTATACTTTAAGTTTTAGGGTACATGTGCACATTGTGCAGGTTAGTTACATATGTATACATGTGCCGTGCTGGTGCGCTGCACCCACTAACTCGTCATCTAGCATTAGATATATCTCCCAATGCTATCCCTCCCCCCTCCCCCCACCCCGCCACAGTCCCCAGAGTGTGATATTCCCCTTCCTGTGTCCATGTGATCTCATTATTCAATTCCCACCTATGAGTGAGAATATGCGGTGTTTGGTTTTTTGTTCTTGCGATAGTTTACTGAGAATGATGATTTCCAATTTCATCCATGTCCCTACAAAGGACATGAACTCATCATTTTTTATGGCTGCATAGTATTCCATGGTGTATATGTTCCACATTTTCTTAATCCAGTCTATCATTGTTGGACATTTGGGTTGGTTCCAAGTCTTTGCTATTGTGAATAATGCCACAATAAACATACGTGTGCATGTGTCTTTATAGCAGCATGATTTATAGTCCTTTGGGTATATACCCAGTAATGGGATGGCTGGGTCAAATGGTATTTCTAGTTCTAGATCCCTGAGGAATCGCCACACTGACTTCCACAATGGTTGAACTAGTTTACAGTCCCACCAACAGTGTAAAAGTTTTCCTGTTTCTCCACATCCTCTCCAGCACCTGTTGTTTCCTGACTTTGTAATGATTGCCATTCTAACTGGTGTGAGATGGTATCTCATAGTGGTTTTGATTTGCATTTCTCTGATGGCCAGTGATGATGAGCATTTTTTCATGTGTTTTTGGCTGCATAAATGTCTTCTTTTGAGAAGTGTCTGTTCATGTCCTTCGCCCACTTTTTGATGGGGTTGTTTGTTTTTTTCTTGTAAATTTGTTTGAGTTCATTGTAGATTCTGGAATTTTCGCAACCTACTCATCTGACAAAGGGCTAATATCCAGAATTTACCCATTTTAAGTGTACAATTTTTAGTAAACTTACAGGAATTGTGCAACCAGCATCATAATCCAATTTTAGACCATTTTCATTACCCCAAAAAATATCCCTGATGCTGATTTGCAGCCATATCCTGTTCTCATTTGGCATTACTTTTTATCCTAAAAAATAATAAAATATTATAGGCAATATCCAACTTACTGACGTTGTTCTAAAATTCAATTTATACTCACATATTTGAAACTTGACATGCCAAAAAGAACTCATATATTTTTGGGGGAATGGTGTTATTTAGAGTACAGTCCAAACACCTGTAACAAAATGATTCAAAGCAAAATGTCTTAATTAAGATAAAAATTTTATTTCTCTCTAGTGTAAGAGGTAAGGAGTCTGTTCTGCTGGGGAGTTCTGCTATCTTCCACACATGGTTTCCATCTTCTAATTTAAAGGTAAAGCTCCAGTTTCTTCATTTGCTGGCCAAAGAGGAGTGGGGAGGAGAGTCAGAGGATTGAAAGCTCATCTCCTAAGGGACAGGACTTGCACACATCATTTCTCCTAAGGAAATGTGGCAGAAATGGTGGTGTCCAACTAAAAGTAGAAAGTTCCGTTATGAGAGATGAGAAAATAGTCAATAATGAACAAATTGTTTCTTCCACAGGTACCTGGGTTACATAAACTTTACAAATTTTATTTTAAGGATTGATTTTCTAAATTAATCTTTGCCTTCTCCAGTGTCCCTCTCAGGCACTTAATAAAAATTATTTTAATTACATTTAAAAGTAAAAGCAGACTAAAAAAAAGATATTTATGTGCATGTTATTTATTTAAGATATGAAAAAAAGCAGCCGGCATGTCTCAATGCTTTTATTGGGGTTTTTAAATTTAACTATGAGTAGGAAAAACAAAAAAGTTTGATAAAGTCAACCACTGAGGGTCACACAAAGAGGTAAAATGCAAGGTAAGTTGAATCCCCAAAATCTCCATGTTAACTACTAGATAGGCTTACCTGTTCATGAAATTGGGGACTTTTGCAAGTGGCTTTAAGATGAATTAAAAATATAGATTCACATTTATATATAAAGCATCGTTTCAAATCAGATATACAATTTGTTACAATACACAGCCTGTGCTGATAAAGATGGTTAGCTCCAAGCATTTTGGGGAAAAAATTACTCTAATTTTCAGATGAAAGTTGAGAAATGTTATGTGTATATATTATATATATTTCATATCTATACATTTTAATGTGATATATAATATATAATGTGATATATAATATATAATGTGATATATATAATATAATAATGTGATATATATAATATAATATATAATGTGACATATATTTTAATGTGATATATATCACCTTATATACTATATATCACATTTATATGATGTGATACATAATATATATCACATTATATGTGATATATAATATATATATCATATAGCTTAAACTCATTTTAAAAATCAACCTTTACTAAAATATAAAGCATGACTGTCCCAAAGATATATTTATAATTTTTTTAGTTATCTGGTACTTAATAAACTTTTACTATGGAAAAAACACTATTCTATATCTGGATTGTAGAGCACTGAATAAAATAAAGTCCCTAATCTCAGGTATATCTATTTAAAAGGGAATAGGCAGAAAAGAAAAGCAAACAACAATTCAGAGGAGAGTCATGAAAGTATGTCCAACATACCACATTATTTAGAGATAGGCAGGGAATTAAGATTCAGTGGTGTGATAGTGGGCTACCTTAGATTGGGTAGTCAAAGAGCTCCTCTCTGAGGAGATGATATTTAGTCTAAGATAAAGTTATGTGAAATTCAGGCAGAAGATTATTACAGGCAGAAGAAAGACTAATGAAAAGGTCCTGAGGGCAGAACAAGCCTAATATACTCAAAGAGGAAGAAGACCAGTCTGCCTGAAGTATAGTTTTAGGAGGAAAAATATCTCAAGATGATACAAGATCTGGGTGTGGTATAGCTTTGTAAGGCAAGGATACTGTTAATTGTAAGGCAAGGTTTACTGTACACACAGAAGCTAACACGTTGAATGGTACTGAGCAAGACAATGAAATGTCTTATTTTGTGTAAGATTGTTTTACCTTCTGTGTTAAATACCTGGGGGCAATGGGGTTTGGTAGCAAAGGGAAATCAAGGCTAATGATGCAGTCCTAGATGAGAAGTAACATTGACTTGGAGAAGGGCGGTACTTTGGGAGAAGAAAAAAACAATTGTGTCATCAGGCATGAAATATATTTTGGAGAGTTAAGTGAACAAACCTTGAAGATGGGATGGAGATTTGAGGGAGAGAAAATGAAGGAAAGAGAGGGATGAAGAATGATTGTACAATAATTTCGGTATTTTCATTAAACAATTGTGAAAAACACAAGGAACCAGTTTGCAAGTTAAGAATTAAAAGTTAATGGGAGCCAAGTAAAATTTGAGATAAATTTTAGTAGATATCTACATAAAAGTATTAGAGCAGGCCTTGATGTACAAGTCTGCTGTTCTAATGAGAAGTCAAGTCAAAAGGTATAGATTTGGAAGTCACTGGCCCGCAGATGCCACCACAGCCATGGAACTTTAGGTTCTCGGAGAGTACGCATAGAGAGAGAAAAGGGTCCAATTCAGACAAAGCTTTTCGGGTTCCAACAGTTAGAAGACAACCAGAGGAAGAGGATTTTACAAAGAAGATTACGTTAAAGCCTCCTATGCAGGTAGGAGAAAAGTTAAGAGGCTGCAGTTCCTGTCTGTGTTAAATGCTGCCAGAAAGGAAACACTGAATTTGACAACATGGAAGGAAGCCCGATGACTTCAGGGAAAGATTCTTGGAGGCAGCATTTGGATGGAAGCCTAACTGCAATGGGTTAAGGGCCATTTTTCATATAAAAAAACAGAAGCATTTTTTTTCCAGAATTGTTTTCTAGTAGATACAGTTGAAAGCTGAAATGGTAGCTATACTACCATGTTATGTTGGAGGAAGTGGCAAGAGAGTGACAACATCTGGTTGAAGAACCAGAATTCCAATTTATTCACTGATTTTCTTAACCTCCCAATCGTTGGATTTATAGGTAAAGGAAATAATGCTTATGGACATTTCTCAAAATATGTTGGCATAAAGTTGTCACTACATAATTGAGAAAAAAAGGTATATAAGAAATGAATTTCTAATGAAAGTATGTAATTATCATCATTTTTAAACCAGAATACAGAATACCTATTATATATGATATATAATTTTTGAAAGGGAAAGTTTTACATAAATGGAGTCTCAAGATAATATAACAAGCAAAATAATCTTAACTTTTCTTAGTTTAATTCAGTTCAGCAAATAATTTTTAAATATCTGCCGTGTTATGAAAATCAAATTGGTGGTGTGATAGAGAAGGTAAAAACAAAACAACAACAGCAAAACAAAACCAAACAAGCTAAGTCTACTTAAAAACTTTTTGTAGGGAAAGATAAATGCAAAAATGTGATGTTGTTTAAGAGTAAAAAGAGATTTGAAAATATAAATTATATGGGGGATGAAGGTATCAGAATATCTTCAAAAAGCTGAGTTTTGGAAATAAAATATGTCTCCATGAAGATCTGGAGAAAGACCCAGAAGTAGGTCACATACATAGATATGGATGTAAAAAGCATATGGTACTCTTGAGAAACTGTAAGCAGCTTGATATCGCATGCATATTGAAGTGTGAGTTCAAGTTCAAATACAGTTAGGAGCCAGTATCCCATATCTGAGCATTAACCAAAGAAAAGAAAGAAAAAGCTAAATATCTCGAAGCTTTCCAAATTTTGTCCAAACAAATTTTAGAATACAAATATTAATAGAAGTCATATTATAATCCTTAAAGAATTAATCAGGTCAAGAATGACACAGACCCTTCTAGTGCTTTCCTGTCTCCTGTTCTGAAGTCACCAACCACAAGATATTCAGCCAGCCAGCCAGCCATGCTACAAACATTAAAAAGTTTATTCTTATGATACTCCAGGACAAAGTGCAATCTGTTTTCAGACAAATTCAATTTTAATGTTATTGATTATTGTTTCATAAATGTTTTTGCTCAGTTTCTCCGCCTCTTAAAGGAGAATCACCCATTATGTGACAGAATTTCCTAAACATTGGTCATTAAAGTATTTATTAAAAAATCACATTTGCTCTTCTTCATAGTCAATAGGAAGTTCCTTGAGAGAAAACCATAACTTCGATTTTGAGTATTTAAGCCATCCTTACTCCCAGGCCCATGTGTAGCAAACACAAAATAAATAGTCTTTTACAAATAACACTAGGACATATCATGTTACAATGGTTATCTGAGCCACAAAATGATACTTTAATAATAATAATTACAATATATTATACATAATGTATATACATACACAGAGTAAATTAAGTTATACATAATTTATATGATATACATGTATGCATATATATAATCTCAAAAAGTACCTGTTAATCCCTCTGCTGTCAGGGTAGCTAGATACCTGATCTTTATTGCTTCAGATTTCTTAAGTATGAGTCAGACACTGTCCACTGTGCCTATCAAGCTACAGGAGACTCGTTAAGCTAAGTAGTCTTCTTAAAGTTTCAGTGCAACTGTAGAGTAAGAAGCACCATCCTCCATCTCACAGACAGCATTCTCTAAAGAAATCCCTGTCTAATCAAAACCCTGCCAGTTTTATGCCCTTATTGTGAGCAAGGAGCTAAGAGTTAGAAATCCATTTCTCTAAACTGCCTTTTGCATGATTGTCTCTCACCTCACTTTAGAATGTTGACATCAATCATCTTGTGGCCTCAGCAGAAACTGAGGCTAAGATAAATTTATTTTAACATATGGTGACTCATATTTTATTCTTTATCTTCATTTTTTTCTTCATTCAACTGAAGTTTAGATGATTACTTTGATCAGATTCTGTTTGAAACCCTAAAGGAAATTTTATGAACTTTGCATTTTCTTTTTAAAATTATTGATAAGAAGGTTTTAAAAAAACTACTTTGTGCTTTACAGTAAGATAAATTAAAAACAGTTTTAAATTTCACCTCACTCTTTTGACTTGCAGGCCTCAAAACAATGTGAATTAATTGAGGTTTTATTATGCCTAATAGTAGAGATAAATGGCACAATGAGCTTTCCTTTTAAATGCAAATCAAATAATCGTAGTTTAAGAATTTTATATCCATAAAAGATCATAGAGCCTACATTAACCACTTAACTTTAAGAAAAAACCTTACGATCTTTAAATTACTTGTTAAACGTTATAAAACTGATTAATATTAAAATCTATTTACTTACAAAACTCTCTCCATTCCATCATGGTATTCAATATTTGTACAAAACTACAAATGAACCTCAGTAATCATTAAAAAGTGCCAAATGTTTGCATTAACATGCCTGCTTTTCTAGATGGACCATTTAAGAACAAGTAATATTCAAGTACCTCAAAAATATCAGTAATTATACTTCATGACAAACAATTGTAATCTCAATTTACAGATGTTTGCTGAGGTAGGTTATCCATTAATTAATGCCCTTCCTATTTTTGGATATGCATACTACATTATTTGTCTCTGTAGGATAAAATTCCCTCTCACTTTCCCAAATTGTTTCTTTTCTACTAGTAGAGTGAATAGATGTCATTATTAGTGTTGATGAATTTCGAACAGTGTCTCGATGGGAATTTCCATCATGATTTGCCTGGCCTCTCTGACTCCCTTAGACCCATGCATTCACTCCAGGGCAAGAGAGGAGAAATGAGAAAACACAGGATCAGGTCTGCCACTGTGTTTCCATTAACCTGAGTGGTCCCTTCACAACCTCGGAAGTGCAGAGACTGAATAATGGCCCAAGTGGGGCACGACAGATCGATTTCATAATTTTTACACACTGTTTCTCCTCAGTTCTAACTGGCTATTGATTGGACGAGCTGGAGATGGGTAGTGCCTCCGGGACCTTAGAAGTACTCAAAGGAAATTCTCTCCCTCCTCTCAGCAACAACTCCAGGCTCTTGTAACCATTCACTTTACAGAGGAAAGTAAGAAAAAACTCAACAATGAAGTCATCTCAAAAGAAACTAATTTCTTCCTGCAATGCGAAAGTGAACTCACTTTAATACATTACTATTTAGCTTTCAGATGATTCCAATCATATATTTAAACTAAAGAAAGCAAGCAGTATTCACATAGGTGAAAAATGTTTTAAAGTGAGTAGGGCTTTCATAATATCATTTGATCTAATCTCTTTACCTAATAGATGTGAAAATTGAAGCCCAGAGTTTTTAATTCATTTACCCCAAGACTTGGGGTAACTTGGAATAAACTTGGTTTCCTAATCTTCTTTCTAGTGGCCTCTATTCTCGGAAATGTTTTCTTATTTCTAACAGAGAACCACAGAGAGACAGTCTCTATTCTTGCTTTGGATCTGTGAAAGTCATAACACCTAAAATTAATGTAGGCACCAATTCCCAGTGACATCTTATGAATGTCAGACTGGAAAAATGAAAAGAATGCAGGGCTTTTGACACTATGGAACCAATGTACCAATATGGAAGCTTGCCCTACATCTGGAATTTCTGCTTTCAAAGATCAGAAACTTCTATAAGGTTTAAGAGAGTTGAGGTCAAGATTTCTTTTCTTTTCAGCTTAAATAAGACTCACTAAAAAGTTCTTCTTCTCAATCTTCTCCCTTCCTGATTTCTTCCAATGCAGGAGCCATCTAGGCTTCTGCAAGGAATGGAAACCACTGTGTGTTTCTTAAGGGCAAAAAAAAAAAAAAAAATACATGCACTATACTAGTTCAAGAAATTAAAACCAGTTGTGAGGATAGCATGTTCACCTAATATCTACTGCTGAAGTAGAGGGGAAGAGATCCAGAAAAAATAGCACAAGAAATTCTTCAGGGATGAGATTCTTCTAGGATGAAAGCCCCGGAGACATTCATTCCGTGGGATTACCAGTTTACAACACAAAGTCATAAGAGGGTCATTAGACTTCTAATAAGTTCTTCTAGGTCACTAGTTCTCAACAAGAGTTAATTTTGTTGCCTGGAAATTTGCCCTGCCAAGGGAAAATATTTAGATATGTTTTTAATTGACCCAACTTGAGTGAGGTGCTACTGACAACTAATGGGTAGAGGACAGGGATGCTATAAACACAAGAATGCCCCCACAACGAAGAAATTATACAGCCAGACATACTAATAATTCTCAGAATAAGAAATGCTGTCTTAAGTTGCTTCCTACTTACATGAATTTTTAGCAACCCTATTATTTTCAAATAATACCTTGTATTCTGCCCAACAAATTTTTAATTCAGATAAAAAATGGTTTGAGCAAAGGGTTTTGTTTTTTAATATTACATGAAAGTGCCAGATTTTTAACTTTTAATTTTCTGACATCACAGAGTAGATCATAAGACTGTCAGAAGCCTTCGGAAAAGGTCCCTGAGGGACTGAAGGCCACCATTAGAACTTGGAACATATGCCTATAGTCCAAGCTACTTAGAAGTCTGAGATACGAGGAACATTTGAGTCCAGGAGTTCAAGATTGCAGTAGGCTGCGATCACACCACCACTGTACTCCAGCCTGGGCAACCAAGCAAGATTCTATCTCCGAAAAACAAAACAAAACAACAATAACAACAACAAAACTTCGGGGCAGTGGTTTGCCTCTTTGGTATTTAATTATTTTTTAATAATGCAGTTTTTTGGTAAATGAGAATATTATAATTCCTTGCTTTCTTGGCAAATTGATGGACCATGTGACTAGTTCTTTCCAGTTGGCTATGGACAGATAGGGTGTAGCATTAAATTGCTGGTTGGAGGCTTCTCAACTTTCTCTTTGTCCTGGTGCCCTGACTGGCAACCTTCCGTATATCAGCGTTTTTAATTCCATACTGACTGTGACTTAAGCAAGTTTGTTTGTTATAATGATTCAAGCAACTAAAACATGAGTTGTGTGTTATTTCAGCCTAATCTAGATTTTTATAACAAGTATGTTTATTAGAGCTTTAAAATGGGTCATTTTAAGTAAAAATTGCAACTCAGTTAAAAAGTGGGCAAGTTCATGTAAGTTAAAATCTAAAAAAAAAAAAACAAAACAAGAATAAGAAAAACTATGTATATTTAATTCCCTCTGGATATCAGGTAATTTGCCTGTTTTCATTGCACAGATTATTATTCATTATTAATTATGCAACCAACCAAATGCTAGGCACTGGTGCAGTAGCATACTTCTAGGTGCGATAACTTTGATAAGCATTGCTTGCTAAAGCTCAAAGCTTTAAGTTCCACTGGATGAGACATTTTATCTGCTGTGTTCACTGTGATTAGCCTAGTATCTGCTAGCAGGGGTCAGCACACAGTAGGCTTTAATAAATCTTTGTTGACTGTAATAATCAATAAAGATTTCAACAATCTACCGTCAAGGAACCGTGAGCTGCTGGGGCTGAGAGAACGATTTTAGGCCAATCAGTATGTCACTATCAACTGGATAAGAGAAAGGAATATGCATTTGGGTGGGTAGAGTAGTGTTAATAAATAAAGACTACTTCTTGAGTACATTTTCTTCTGAGAGTATGAAAAAAGCCTCAAGAGAATCACTCCTAAAACTGGGGATGTCTCTCGATAATTTGGGAATATTCACCATCTTATATCTGAAAATTTCTGAGCTACTGAGTAAACAAGTACTTAATACTGCTGAGGCTGAGACAGGTATAGGAGGGAGAGAGTAGGCTTAAGCGAGGTATTTCAGGGCTGCAGCTCACTGTTGGAGCTATCATGGCAAGCTGATGCTTCAAAAGCTAGCTACCTACAACCCAAACATCACCATGTCACTCAATCCCCAAACATTGATGCGGAATTTTTTGGGGTGTCGCTTTGCCAGCCAGAAACCTCTTAATGTCAGCTCCTTTTGCCTGAGTACTGCTCATGCCCTCTAGGCTCATTCTGTTTACTCAGCCAGGCAGGCTGCACTTGCCCTGTGCTACTGGCCTGGATCTCATACCTGCCTAGCCTGAGCCAGGTGCAGAGTATCCAGGGGTGTGTGAGCCAGCGAGTGCGGGGTCTGGCCGCTGCACACAGCCAGGCACATCACCTTCTGCAGCAGGGTGCTCAGCTCCAGGCACTGGTATAGGTATAGGTGCAGGCTGTGTTTGAGGCTGTAGCTGGACGAGACATACCACACGTGGCTTCCACTGTGGGCACCAGCATCTGGACACGGGGAACAGGGCAGCACTCGAAAGCTCAGAGACACCAGAAACTTCAGAGCCCCAAAGAGGGTGTTACGGCCCTGGCTCGGGGAGCCCCTAGGGCTGCAACTCTTCTCTTCTTCTCATTGCCTGCAGCATGGCGAGGGTTGGGGGTCATGTTTCAGCCCTGATTATGTTACTGCTCTTTGACTCCCGCCATTCAGCAGGTTGTAGTGCCAAGTTCTTGTCCAGCGTCTAGGAAGAATGAGGTATGCAGACAACTGGAGGGTAAGCAAGGTGGAGAGGAGCTTCACTGAGCAACAGAACAGCTCTCAGGAGACTGGAAGTGGGTAGCTCCTTTCTGCAGGCAGGTCCACCCAACATCTATTTGAGTCTGACTGAGTCCGGAAAATTTTATGGGCTCAGAAGAGTGAAAGTCAGTGCTAATTTGTCCATGGGTGGCCATGAGTGGGCCTGGAAAACACACTATCCAGTTGGCCGAATGGTCTTCAGTGAAGTTCTCACTATCGGCATCAGACTGCCTGGAACTGCCAGCCCAGTCCACAGGCTTCAGGCATTCCCTGGCTTGAAGGTGGGACTTTACCAGGGACCTGCCCCGTTCCACCCAGGAACATGTCTGCCTCCTGCTGTCAATATGCCATCCGTGGTGCCCAGGCTATTCGTGCTGAGGAGCATCTGCCGGCCTGTGCGAGCCACCCTCAGCCTCCCCCCGCCCCCTACCAGCCTCCCTCCACTCATCAGCAGTCTGGAGGGGACCAAAGTGGCAGAGGGCTAGTGTGTCAGGCTGCCCTGAATCTGCACAGCTGGCTGGGATGCAATAGTGCCAAGCCTCTGCCACAACTTTGTTCTACCCAGGAGCAAGCTGTGGAAGCAGGAAGAGACCAGGCAGTGGGAGCAGGCACTTTCAAACCCAAGGAGCAAGGAGCTCCCTGGGCCCCTGAGAGTGCAGGAATGTCTGGGTCCAAAGCCCTGGCTGGGCGGCTGCAGCTGCACCCGCAGGTGCAGGGCTCCTGCCCTGCTGACTTAGTAGATGACGGGGCTCCCACCTGTTCCCGGCCCCTGCTGACTCCATGGAGCAAGCAGCCCTGAATGCACCTCCACTGCTGTAGCAGCATCTTCACAGTGGCTGCTCCAGACAAGCCTCCACTGCCATCAACATCATTTACTAAACTTGGAAAAACTAACATTGGTAGCAATGAGTATGTGTGTATACATATGTTGGGGCACAGATTAAAACCCATCTGATCTCCCTTGACAGGGAATTAGATGGATGCATTCTATTGCATTTACATCTCTTTTATTATTATTATTATTTTTGAGACAGAGTCTCATACTTTCTCCCAGGCTGGAGTACAGTGGTGTGATCTCGGCTTAATGCAACCTCCGCCTCCTGGGTTCAAGCGATCCTTCTGCCTCAGCCTCCCAGGTAGCTGGGATTACAGGCATGAGCCACTGCACCTGGCCTACATCTCTCTTAAGTGGCATCGAATGTGTCCCATGTGGATATTTGCAACACAGAGGATGGCTATAAATAGTCAATGTTAGGAAGAGAAGCAATGACAGTGTGGGGAGAGAAGAGGAAGTGTTTCTAAAAAGAGTGTTTAATTAGATATTAAAGTAAATGTTAAAACAGATATATCTGGGTCTTAGGAAGTAGAAGTTGGCTCTCATAATGGCTAAAATTATTGACAAGTTACAGAAGTGAACAGAGTTGTCATTACAGAGAATGCATGACCAAGCGAGAAAGTGGGAGGTGTTGACTCAGTTGGTGTCAGTTATCGGAAAAATAAAATGGCTTGCTGTCTCACTTCAGCAAATTGAGAATCTTAAATAAATTAATCTCAAAATAAAAAATAGGGCCCTTCCTTATGAGATGCTTACATCTTGTAGGGTAAGAAAGACAAACATTTAAACATGATGTAAGAGTGAGGCTGTGGGGATGCACTAGCTGCAGGGGAGCACAGAGTATTTATACTTAGACTGGGAGGATACAGGAAAATTTCCTGAGAAGACAGCATGGCGGGAGCTAAAGTTTTAAGGACGAATAAGAGTTAGCCAGGCAAAGAATGTGGGAAGTGCATTCAGGGCAGTTAAGCAGCGTGAGTTAAAGCACAGAGCTGTGAAGCAGTATGGTGCATGAGGAAAACAGCAAGTCACTTGATTTCAAGTGCATGAAGTAAGAGGCAGGGCATGGCAGGAGTTAAGGTTAAGAGATACATAGGACAGGGAGGGCTGTACAGGAGATAATATCAAGGATTTTGCAGACAACAGGGTTCCACTGAAGGGTTCTAAAGCAGGCAGGTGACACGATCAGATCTTATTTTTAATTTTATTATTTATTTATTGATTTCGAGACAGGGTCTTGCTCTTGTCACCTAGGCTGGCGTGCTGTGGCAGGATCTCAGTTCACTGCAGCCTCGGACTCCTGGACTAAAGTGATCCTCCCATCTCAGCCTCTGGAGTAGCTGGGACAATAGGTGTGCACCACTACACCTGGCTAATTTTTTTTTGAGACCGAGTTTCTCTCTAGTTGCCCAGGCTGGAGTGCAATGGTGCGATCTCGGCTCACTGCACCCTCCACCTCCCGGGTTCAAGCGATTCTCCTGCCTCAGCCTCCTGAGTAGCTGGGATTACAGGCATGCGCCACCATGCCCAGCTAATTTTGTAGTTTTATTTTTTTTTTTATTATACTTTAGGTTCTAGGGTACATGTGCACAACCTGCAGGTTTGTTACATATGTATACATGTGCCATGCTGGTGTGCTGCACCCATTAACTCGTTATTTACATTAGAGGCTGGGTTTCTCCATGTTGGTCAGGCTGGTCTCCAACTCCCGACCTCAGGTGATCTGCCTGCCTCGGCATCCCAAAGTGCTGAGATTACAGGTGTGAGCCACCATGCTTGGACCAATTTTTGTATTTTTTGAGATGGGGTTTCACCATGTTGCTCAGGCTGGTCTCAAACTCCTGGACTCAAGCAATCCTCCAGCCTCGGCCTTCCAAAATGCTGTGATTACAGGTACGAGCCACCACACCCGTCCAGATCTTATTTTATATGGGATATTAATGGTAACTTTGTAAAATTGGAGGAAGAAATACCACAGGCAAAGACTACAACTAGCACCCATTAGTTAAATTGGGAATGAGGAGGATCTAAACTAGGAGAATGACAGTGTGGTTTGAGGAAAGGTTATATATGTATAAACAACTTAGTGATAAATTTAGTAGGCGATTACCTGGAAGTTGGAGTAAGGAAAAGAAAATGATATTTACAGCCCATATTTATATTTGGACAATGGTTTTATGAGAGGCAAGTATTACACAGGCAGGAACAATTAATGGGGAAAAGCAAACTTATGACAATTTTGAGACAGTTTTGAAAATATTTAGCAGGCAGTTGGATATAGATATCTGAACTTCATTGCAGATATTGGTACTAGAAATACACAAAGGGGAGTCATAAACATTAGTTTGCAGCTGAAACTAGAAAATTGGAAAAGGGATCTCCATGGAGTGTGTGTGGAGTGAGAATAACCAGAGATCAATCTTGAGGAACATTTAAGGAGTGGGCAGAAGGGCAGAACTCATTGGAGATTGAGGGAAAAAAAAAGTCAAAAAATTTTGTTTCTTGATTACAAAAACAAACAAAAACCAAAAACAGACTGATATTGTCACTTTTCTAGTAGGTTAAGGTTTTTTCTTTTAAATTCCAGTGGGTAATTAGGAAATCACTGGCTACTCTGATAAAATAGTTTCAGGGAAATGATAGAGACAGTGAAAAAAGTTACAGGCTATTAAAAAATGAATGGGAAGTAAGGAAAAAGTATCTTATTTCAAGAAAAGTGCAGGTAAAGGGAAGAGAGGAATCAACACAAATAAAACAGTTTAACTTTCAAGTAAATGTATTTCTAATTCTATTCTTTCCTGGGATAAGGGATTGCTTAGAAAGATTATATGTGTTTGAAAGCAAGGGTAAAGCCAAGATAAAGGAAAAACCATGGTAAGGGAAGAAACAATTGCAACGGATGAAACAAAGCTCTGAAGGACATTTAGAAAATAAAGAACAGATGTCTGCTTGATGGTTGGTCATAAAGAAGAGAAGTATATAATCCTCTCAGAAGGTAAGGGTGGGTATAGAAAATCAGAAGGTGAGGGGGACAGAAGAGCCAGTAATTCATGTTTTATGAAATCAGATTCCCTAATAATATAGAAGTTTGTTTATTAAGAGTAAGGTTGAGAGAGTGGAGAAGCCTTGAGAATAAAGGTAGAACAATTGCTGAAAGAAGTGGAAGGAACAACTGATTGAGAAGGCCAAAGACCTGAGAAATTGACTAGGATCGAATGTACAAATTTGTGGACATATGAATGTTTAAATGATGGCATTTCTCTAGCAGCGTCAAGCCTCTGCATTAGAGTAGAGAAAGTGGATAATGGAATTAACTCAAGATTGACATTTTATCTGTCAGATGTCTGTAAAGGTAAGGATGTAAGGCATTGAGGTTATTGACAAAATAGTTCAGATAATCAGCAACAACAGGACCCAGGCTGAGGAGCGAAGACATCAAGCCTGGAAATGTCTAGCTCAGCTGAAAGAGGGAGGTGGGGTGGAATCCAGAACTGGTTGTTTCTGTAAAGCTGTTTATGGCCAGATAAGTGAGAGTGATCAAGACAAGAGGTTGTGCTTAAAACCTGAGACATCAGTGCTTAAAGCGTGCGACATCAGCACTTAAGGTTCAGATATAGACAGATTTCAGTTCAACTTCAACGTATGGCTGTCGGCTGTGATGAGTTAGGTATTTTTGTGTCCATTTTATGACAAAGCAAGTGATTTGGAGAGGTTACATAATTTATGTTTAAACCACTAGTGGGTATGAGAGCTGGGATTTGACCACAGGTTTTCTGACTTCAGAGCTTCTGTACTTTTATTAGTCCATATCATCCTGCACAATTTGACTTCTCAAGTAATGAAATAGGGATGCATTTTTGCTTTATTCAAGTTTATACTGTTTTAATTTATAAGAGAATCAACATAATTTTGATAATCATTTGTTCTATTTACTTTGTTTTGTTTATAACTGAATATTCCTGATTGGTTGTTTTGGACCTAAGTGTTTGATTTGGGAACATCTTCAAAGATGTTAGTGTCCTTTTCATTTTGAAGATATTTGGCCTAATAACATTTTGTTCATAAAACTGTGTTCAGCCCACCAATGAGTTTAAATTGGTTTCAGAATTACATATAGTTAAATAAGATGTCAGAAGCAAGTAATTTGAGTTCAAATTATGTAATAGCATAGATATGTTTGTTTGTATTTTTTCCAAAAGCCTTGTTGAACTGAGTTACTCAAAGCTTTTCTTGTAGAGTGCCTACTGGTGCTTTATAAAATCACAGGCATCAAATTAACGAGTCCATCCAACTTTCTAGATAATTAGAATGCCCCTCAGCTTAACAGCACAGGGCTGAATCAGAACTATTTTACTGAAGAAGGTGTGAAACTTGTTTTCCTAAGTGGCAAAATAAAAAGTTATTAATAGCGATGCTAACATTCACATTCAGTTTAACTGATTTTTTAAAGTCATTTTTTAGTCTAATCTCCAATGACTTTGAACATAGTTTCCCAAATGTTCTGTTCTTGCATTGTGCCCTTGCATTAAGTTCAGGATTAGTTTTTCTTATCACCATACTTCAAAAACAGAGATCTTAAATATATATCAAATTTGGTCTTGTTTGTGACATTCTAATATTAACTGATGATTTTTATAGCATTGATTTCATATGGCAATGTTTGTTTTTAATTGATTTAGGTGCTGTGTTCTCAGTAAAACTAACTCATTAGAAAAATGTTCTGAAACCTAGTTGATATCTATTTATTCACTTTTGCAGAGGGTTTTTAGCCAAGACACATTCTCCAATTTAAATAAACTTCTTTATATTATAGATTACATCATGTATAAAGAGAAAATGCAAAAACATGGTTAACTTTTACATATTAGGTCATTAAAAATCCATTCTTGCCTTCCTGCCCATTACTACATCTCTTTTTCAGACCTGTCACCCATTTCATTTAAGCACTTAGCTCTCTTCTAATGAATGAATTGGCATTTCATATTACCTTATTATCCTACAAAACAAAATGCATACTCAATAACATTAATGGTAATTTCTCATAAAGACACATTATCGATCCGGGAGCTACCTGTAAGCATTGAAAATTGCAGCCTGCACACAGAGCCTTTCACATCTGGGTCTGAAGAATTAAAGAAAAATTAAATTTGACAGCAGTAAATTCACAGGCACAATCTAGGCTCCAATTTATATGCAAAATGAAATGCTTTATGAAAATTTCTTCTATTTTCTCACGGAGATTTGGAAAAAAGATTTCACTAGGTGCTTCTTTCTTTAATATCCCTCTACTTAAATATTATACTGCAGTCACTGCAGACTCTCTTTGATGTATAAATAATCAAGTTAAATTATGTGCAGCAAGGAGACTAGTGCTCTGCCATTCTTATTTTACAAAGTAATTTCTACCCTAGAGGGTCAAATTTCCCTGACAAATTCTTAATTACTGTGTTGCAACAGAAGCAGAATCTATTTGTGCATAAATCCTGGGCATTCCCATGTGGCAAGTAACTAATATTACCAACCATTTCACTTGGCCTGTTCACTGAACTCCATAATTAGATAATACTTTTGATGATGGTACATTTGAAGTCTTAATCCATTTAATTTTTTATGAGTTTTTTTTTATTTTAATAGGGATATGTTAGTGACCACTGCCTATTTAAAAATCATTAAAATTCTGTCCACAGCAGTAATAAAGATTAAAGATCACTAATATGGCATTCATAACCTTGCTGGTTTTCCAGAAATCCAGGGCTTAAGGTAAATGTTAAAGGTCATTTAATATGTTAGTCACTAATTATAATCCTGGGTAATAGGTTCCTTTTCTAATTATCATGGTATAAAAGTTCTATTGTTTGGGTCTGTGCTTCTGATTTTTGTATTTAGCTTTTTTTTGGAATAAGTAATCCTGGAATTAAGCTCCTGAACATTGATGAAAGTAGGTAATGCTTGATGATTAACTGGATAAAAGCTTATATTTGAATGCTGTATGATATCTTGCCTTGAAGTTACTTACAAAAGATGCAGCATCTTTTTTTCTAGGAATAAGTTCAGGGAAAAGGTCATTGTAAGGTTAATGCACCCATATTTTAATATCAAACTATGACAAATTTGACTACAGCCTTTCCGTACCCCTGCCAAAACATTAAGAAGAAAGCTTAAACAACATGAAACGAGAGGAGGTATTTCTAAAAAGTGGACTAGATTTGGCCTCTTAACCTAATAACAAAAGTGCAAAATTATCCATTTCACTTTGCAATAAATTGCCCACTCCTTGTTTAAACACACATACATACACAGGCATACACATACATCTCGTAAGTTAGAGTAGCTTCCTGAAGAAATCACAAGCTGCCTTCTCAGCTAATATCCTAGGATCATGACAAGCCAAAGCCATGATGGACCAATTGTAACCCATCAGTATTTTGGCCCGTATTTTTCACCAAATTCAGACTATGTTGTTGTTTTCCACTTAGCTTTATATTGGTCTTGAAAGTATTACATATCATCTGCTTATAAAATGTCTGCACTTTGAATTATTTTATTAACATGTATTTTTTCATATTTCAAACATTATTTGCATTTTCTACCTCTTCAGTCATTCATATATACTTCAATCTTTGCATTTGTCCTTGCAAGGAATCTTTAACAAGTCACTAATATAATGTCAATTGTGTCTTAGATTGTTAGAACTTGTAAAAAGCTTTAAGAATATTTTATAAGAGCCCTATCAGTAGTTATACCTTGATTAATTAATTCATAATTATTTATTGAGTATTTGCTGTGCTCCGGACATGTAAAGATTCTTGCTATCATGAAACTTTTATTCCACTGACAGGAGAGACATACAATAGACAGAATAAATAAGTTTACCTCTATTCCAATGTCTCTCTCTATAGTATATATAGATACTATATATAAGTAACTATAGATACTAATGATAGAAACTTTAAAATACTACAAGCAAGAGGAAAACTCAGGAGTAATATGGGAATTGATGATTAGGAATCAGAAAAAGGGTTACTATCTTAATTTGAGTGATCTTAGAAGGACTCTTTGAGAAAGTGACATTTGACCAAAGATTGGCAAGCATTACTCAAGGGTATCAGGTACCCCAGGAAGAGCAGGCAAGTACAAAGACTCTGAGGCAAGAGCATGCTTGGCTTGTTTGAGGAGCAATGTGAAAGTGAGTGGTTGGAAAGAAGGAAAGAAAGTTAGAGTATTTGCATATTTGTTCAAAAAAGTATTGGGCTCCAGGTTACATGTTACCTTTAGGCTCTTGCAGAAACTTTCACCTTTTTTAATTTGTGAGATGAAGGCCATATGAATATTTCAAAAAAGAAGGGACATAAGTCTACTTAGGCTTAAAAATTATAACTGACGTCTGGACTTAAAATCTGCTAATGGGGTTAAAGAGATGAAGCAGAGAGACTAGTTAAGGAGCTTTAAAGATCATCCCATCAAAAGATGAGAGTGGATTGAATCAGGGGATCATTTTGGATATTGAAAGCCAAATTTGATATGTTTTGAAATTAAAGTAAAATAATTTGATAGCTGATCAGATATATGTTATGAGAGAAAGAAAAGTGTCAATAATGAAACTAGAATTTGGTTTTTAGCAACGTCGGTCTCGAAACTAATGTTTATGACTTTAAACTGAGACAGTGAGCCATGTCCAGGTTCAGAGTACCAGCGAATACAACTAAACTTGATGAGAGTTTTGCAAGGAGAGGATAATAAAGTGAAAGAAGGGCACAATTATTGGCAATGTTTGCACAAAATGGTATGTAAGAATGTAGAATTTAGACGGTGTAAGGAGGGTGGTGAGGGTAGGACAATGCACACACATAAGTGCCATAAATAACTATGATAGATATCCCTTTATACTTGGGGGAATGGAATACATGAATGATAAGTCAATCATCTCTTCCACTTGGAGGGCTTTCTTAGACAGGGGCTAGTAATAAGACTGGGGAAATTACAAGAACTCATAAAATCGAGTGTGGAAGCACAGCGTTAAACACCAAGAAAAGAGAAAAGTGGAAAAGCAACTGTACGTATAAGAGTGCTACAACAGACTCCCCAAAAATGAATACTATGAATTATGCTTCCCCAACTGAGATCACAAAATTAACGAAAAGACAAGGGATAGCTGATGCTGGAGGTTGGGTTTACCTAGGGCTGGCTCCATGTTTGTGACCTGTATAGGTACACAGGATCCCACGCTAAGAATGGCCTTGCATTTGGTTCAATCCTCTGCTGCTGCAGTCTTGGGACTTTTAATATTTTGGAACAAGGGTGTTTTGGTAGCGTCCTGCAAAAGGCAGGATAGGTTTAGATGTTGACACACGCGCAGACAGAGTATGAGAAGGTATTACTCTCATTATGAGGGTTTCTGGGGACAGCAGGGTAGACTCCCAAGCAGGTTCAAAATGGCTTGAGTGAATGAGGGGAATATGGCTTTGGTTTCTGTTGTGATTCAGACATGCTGGGAGGAGAGCCTCTGCATAGGAGCTGGATTAGCCTGGTTTGATCATTCTCATCTGGTGACAAAGAAGGGAGTGACAGCTTTCTTATGGGCTTGTCCCACTATGGGGCTTGAAAGCTGTGAGTAATTAAACATAAAAACATGCAGTCAGATGCTTTATTAAAAGGGGTCCCTGGGATTCCTCCTTGCACTGGCCCCACAGATGATGTAGTTGGTCCTGATGTTATGGAAGCAGATTCTGAGACACAGTTTGGGATGCTAGATGTATATTAGGGAGTAACTACTGTGAAGGGAAGAGAGGAATTCAAAATGGAAGGAGGAAAACGTCCAACTGCTATACATTCATTCACCCATTATCAACATTCCCTACATGGGGACATATGGCCACACATGTATATGGCCATGTGCTTGTCAGATACAGAACTGTGCAGATTTTCAAGATGGGGAGCAAATTATTTTCTGAAGAAGGACCTTAGCAGACTCATCTCTACATCTCCCAGAGTTGGGTATATTCAGTGTCTTGAAATTTGTCATAGGTTTTAGATGCAAATTAAAATAGTTTGAGTTTTTAGGGGGTAAATTAATAATAAATAGGTCTGAAATAAAGGCTTCAGAGGCATCCAAATTAATTGGGCACCAGACAGGTCACAGGATTTATTGTCAAAGAAGTGGCATTCAGATTTCTCTCCATCAACTATCAGATATGTGACTTACTAGATATAAAAAGTTTAGTCTCTTTGAATGTGAGTTTTTTAAATAAAGATAATGCTGTTACAAATTGATATTTTTTGAGGAATAACATTTGAAATAACTGTTGAAAAGTTTCATACAAATATTAGTCATTTTTCATATTAAAAGCACTAAACTATAAACGTTGTAACATATAGTTAGGGTGACCAAAAGTCTATGTTTTTTTTTTTTTCCAGTGGAAGAGAGTTTTCTAATTTGAGTTGATTATGTCTTAGTGTGTTTTGCCCTTCCTGTTAGGAACCTTCTCTTTAATAGCAAACTTTTAGTCATGCCAAAAGTAGCATACCCATCAATAATTACTAACTAGTGTATCTGTTTTATTTAACAAATTTAACCAAGTTATCTGATGATCATCAATAGAAAAAAAATAAAGTTTTAAATTGGTCAGTGCATATTTCTTACTCATTTTAGTGTTTTAACAAGGAGTTATGGGTATCTTATATAAGATATGAACATTTTATTTTTCTCAAATTATGTTAAGGAGGATGCTTTAGGTTTAACTGCTTCTTGTTTTTATAATGTCATCTAAGAATTTTACGGAGCTTCTTGAGGTTAAATCCATGTGTATTCAATATTTTCTACAGCTCAGCATTTTTATATTTATGTTAAAAATAAAAACATGAAGAAAGTTTGAATCCTCACTCGGGTCACCAGTGGTAAAATAGGGTCACAATTTAGTTAGTACATATAGCACTCCAGTACCTCAAGTACATAAAGCACAGGCCTTTAGTTCAGGCTAGAAACTCTTCTTTCAGTAAGTAGAAAATGAAATAAACAAACCTCAGTTTTGAATGTTTAAAGTCTGAAGCTTGCTCCAAATTCTTTTATAAATCAGGCTGTGTAATCTCATGATGTTTCTGGAAGTAGAAAAGAAAGATTTATTTCAACAAAATAGTGTATATATTTTTTTCAGTTTCCCATTCTTAAATTGAAGTCTTAGATAGGGCTGGAAGTTTAAAATTAAAATGGTTTCATCACTTCAAATTCTGCAGCTGTTCTTTTTTTTTTTTTTTCCTTAAAAAAAAAAAAACTATTTAATGTCACACAGACAAACCCTGCCCCAATTACACAGGAACAGATTTGAAACAGCTTGGAGTATAATTAGAGATAGAAGGTGTGTATATTTGTATTTATGTGGGATTGGAAATGCTAAATAAAACTGTATATATACAGTTGATGGGGATCTTTAATAAGAAAATGACTACTTTAGAACCTTGTCCTGGACTAGTTTTTCTGTTTACATTTTGGTTATTTCAAAACTCAGGAAAACAAAGGAAACATTTAGCTCAGCAATATTTTGAAGTAAGCTAAGATCTTATTTGAGTATCCAACACCACAGTGCAGATATATTTGAAAATGTCAAGAGAAAAATAACATCAGCAACAAAAATTTACTGTTTTTCTCAATCCCTCCTTCTTTTTGCCCTCTGTTACTACTGTGATAGACATCCTATTTCATCAATACTGAGAAATGTAAAATGTCAATGTCTTAGTCTTCTTTGTGTTGCTATAAGAGAGTGCCATGGACTGGATAATTTACAAAGAAAAGAAACGTATTTTTTACAGTTCTGGATGTTGAGAAGTTCAAGGTTAAGGGACCCACATCTGGTGAGAGCCTTCTTGCTGCGTTATCCTGCAGCAGAAGGCGAAGTGCAAGAGAGTTTGGGACAGCAAGAGAATCAGAGGAGGCCAAACTGGCTTATCAGAATCTACTCTTGAGATAATGACATCACATCGATCTCTTTATGAAGGCAGAGACCTTATGACCTAATCACTTCCTATGATGCTACACCTCCCAACACTTGCACTGGGGATTAAGTTTCCAAAAGATGAATTTTGGGAGACACATTTAAACCATAGCAATCATATAATTAAATTAAAATGGTAAAAATTATACCTTTCTGGAGTGTCTTTCCCATTGAAAATCTTGCACAAATTACTAATTTTACAAATGAAAAAATATTTTTATATTTATATATGACCTTGATAAGGTCTAAAAATGTACACCTTGATGAGAAAGAGACCCAGAAAGAGAGAGAGAGAGAGAGAGATAAAATCATTAAAAATATAGGCAGTGGCTGGGCTCAGTGGCTTATGCCTGCAGTCCCAGAACTTTGGGAAGCTAAAGTGGGTGAATTGCTTGAGTCCAAGTATTGGAGACCAGCCTGGGCAACAAGATAAAACCCTGTCTCTATAGAAAATACAAAAATTAGCCAGGCATGGTGGCATATGCCTGTAGTTCCAGCTACTCAGGAGGCAAAAGTGGAGGATCACTTGAGCCTGGGGAGGTCGAGTCTGCAGTGAGCCATGATCATGCCTCATGCCACTGCACTCTAGTCTCGGCTACAGAGTGAGACCCTATCGGAAAGAAAGAAAGAGACAGAGAGAGAGAGAGAGGAAGGGGAAGGGGAAGTGGAAGCGGAAGGGGAAGGAGGGAAGGAAGGAAAAAGAAAAGAAAAGAGAAGGAGGGAGGGAGGAAGGAAGGAGGGAAGGAAGGAAGGAAGAAAGGAAAGAAAGTTCAAAAGAATTAACTTAAAATTGTATTTCATTCACTTTGATGCTCAAAGAAAAGTTGGCCCTATTATCAGTTATCTCAACTTAAAGCTTACTGTGAAACATACACTCTATCCCTTCATAGCTGTTAAAAAGATTTAAAGTCATAATCACAGCACTTGAAAAGAACAATGCAAGTTCATTTTTGCTAATCTGATATCTTAAAATAGACTATCATAAAAATCACTGCAGAAAGATGAGAATCTATTTTTAAATTCTTCCTGGAATAAAATGGTCTATCTTCCTCAGTTTATCAGTCCTGACCAAGAAGAAAAAGACTCTCTAATACTAAATCAAATTTTTAATTCTGCTATTTAATCACATACTTTTAAGATGTCTCTTAGTGAGAATGGGAACTCAATTCCCTCAAATCCTAGAAGTTTTCTTTCAACTTTCCATTCTCTTTCTCTAAGGCATTTACTCAAAGCATGGTCCTTGGACAAGTTGCATCAAAACTATCTTTGGGAGGCTGAGGCGGGAGGATTATCTGAGGTCAGGAGTTGGACACCAGCCTGACCAATATGGTGAAAACCCGTCTCTACTAAAAATACAAAAATTAGCCGAGCGTGGTGGCAGGCACCTGTAGTCCCAGCTACTTCGGAGGCTGAGATGGGAGAATTGCTTGAATTGCTTGAACACATGAGGTGGAGGTTGCAGTGAGCCGAGATCATGTCACTGCACTTCAGCCTCGGTGACAGAGTGAGACTCCATCTCAAAAAAAAAAAAAATGCAGATACCTGTAGATCAGTATATCTAGAGGAGATGACAGAAAAACTATGATTTTATTTTATTTTCAAGTAGCTAATTAAGAGTTTTTAATGTTGAAAACTACTTTGTTCTTCTTATTTATGAATTTGACCTAATCTTTCATAATGATAACTATAATTTTAGCTTGAATTCTCATCAGAAAATTTACCTCTATAAACAATGCTTCATACTCTCATCGAACCCACGCAGACTAATTTCATCATGATTGTTTAAAATTGTCATTCACCATATGGATCTATAGTCATTTAACAAGTCCAACACATATCTATTGAGAGATTTTACCTACTGTTATAAAAAGAAATTAAACAGTAAAACAAAGAAATAAAAAATAATAAGATTTCTCATGGGCCTATTTAATAATAAGGGGGAGTACAGACAATAAATTAAACAATAGCCAAACTATATGTGAAGGTAATAGGAATAAAGGATAGTAGGAGTCTGGGAAAAGGTTGCAATGTAAAATAGAACAGTTAGGGAGCAAACATCTTTTTTTGAATTTTTGAATAAAAATTTGAAAGAGATGGGAAAAGAGCATCTGCAAGAGAAAGAACAGCCATTACAAAGGCCCTCGGTGGGAAGTCGGCCTGATGTGCTTGAGAAATAAAAACAGTGGAGAGAGTGGAAGGAGCAAAGCCATAGAGAAATAGGGGATGCAGTTAGAGAGGTAGTGAGAGGCCAGATTGTGTGGGGCCTTGAAGGAGATGCAGAGCAACTGGAAGGTGTTAAGCAAAAGAATGACCTGGTTTCAAGGCTCATAGCTTTAAAAGCAACCTCTCCTCTATCAGTGCCCAAATTTATAAATTCAACTGTATCTATTTTCCCAATCTTCAAATTTTTATCCAGAGGTTCATTGACGTCTCCAGTTGGATGCTTATTATGCTTCTAAAGGTTAAAGTGTCCAAAACTGAACTTCTCCTGCCCATCTTCTTCCTCCTCAAATTTTCTTCTCCTCATCTTTCCTTCTCAGTTAGAGACAACTCTATTCTATTTGCTCAAGCCACTCATTCTTTTTGTTGACACCTCTTACACATGACAACATTCACCAGATACTCCAGCAGATCCTGTTGGCTCTACCTTAACATTATAGACCAAAATCAATAACGGAAACATTTTTCAACACTTATGCTACTGCCACTCACACACACACAAAATGAACTGGTTTCACTAAGTTTGAATGACTTTGTGTCACTGTTCTGCAGTGAACAGATTTTAGAAGGAGCAAGGATGAAAGCAGGAAGACAGATAAAGTTATTGCAATAATACTTGGGAAAAAGGATGGTGGCTATGACCAGGGTGGTAAGTAGTCATATTCTGGATATATTTTAAAGGTGGATTCAATAGTAGTTTTTGACTAGTTTCATGTGATATATGAGGAAGAAGAGTTATTATTTCTTCAAGGCATTTTGGCCTTAATAACTGGAACCAGTCTTTGCATTGAGACAAGAAACACTATAGATGGAGCAAGTTTGTGAATATAGATCAAATTTCAACATGCAAAGTTTGGGAATTCTATGACACATTCAATGGAAATATCAAGTAGTCAGGTAGACATAGGGGTCTTCAATTCAATGGAGGTGTTCAAGTTACACCACATGGGTGGCATTTAAATATTTCAGGCTGGGTGAAGTTAAGAAAGAAAATTAACCTAAGGAAATGCTCTGAAAAATTATAATTGAAGAGTTTGGTGCTAAAGCAGGGGGTGGAAACTCTGATCTCCTAGTTCAAATGCTGTTCATAGAATAAGTTAAGATATGGACTGAGAATTCACAATTGGATTTATGAATGTGGAAGAAGAATCAGTGACTTTGATGTAAGTAGCTTCAATAAATTGAGAAATAAAAGTGATAACCTTATAAGAGAGAATGTAAGAAGAAATGGGGAAAAAAAAACCTGTCTTTCAAACATATCCACTTGCCTTGCTCAATTTTGCCCTTTTCATGTCATTTAATTAACAGCCTATGCATTTGCAAATTTTTCTTCTATTCATGTAGGTCACTTTTACTTGAAATGTTAAATATAAATATACACTTTACATGCTTATTTATTGAAGCAATTAACAGTCCATATTATTAGCAACATTGTTGCTATTGGGGACTTTGATAAACTCTGTCAAATTTTTCCTAACAAGAAAGGATTTTTTTTTTATAAATTGTACTCAGGTAGTCTGATGCACTCTTATTTGCAAATAACATTTTTGAAAAATCAGCATGACATGTCAGCAGACTAGGATAACTTATATGTTACTTTGTTTCATTTAATGCTTTTTAATTTTATAATCCTTACAATAACCAAATGCAACATGTACAAAACTAAGCACATTTTCTGCCACAAACTGCCTTCCCCTGATGGATCTTATACTACTAATGGAAGTATTGTAACACCTCAAAATGTACAAGTGTCTAGAAACTTTTTAAGTTGGATAAAACAATCCAAGTGTCTTTTGGGATCCTAAAAAATACATATGGATATCAACATATAACAATAACGTGTTTAAAATAATGTCTTTGTGTCATCAATGCAATATGTCAATTCCATTAAAAATGTAGTAATTGATCATCTTTAAAATTATTCTATTCTAAGTAATTAAAATGCATTTTAAAGAGCAAAATTATAAACTCTTAGGTATCTAGAATTCTCAGTTCTAAGAATAAAACACTTCCAAGCATTATCTTGCCTGAGCCTACAGATTAAATTTGCTAGTAACTTAAATAATAAAATTCTATTCAAATATTCAGAGACATGTCCACATTTATTATTTCAACTGTTTAATTTTCCTCTGGGTACATGTATTAATTAATTAATGTGCTGCCCTTCTTATGTGATGATTTGCTTAGAAAGGTAAAATTATTAATAAAAAATATTTCCCTTGCTTTAGCATATTTAGGGCAAAGACCAAATGCTTGAGATATTTAAACTTACCTGTTTATGGCAAGCCTAAAAGAGCAGAAAATGTGACCCAGATGCACTGTGTAAGGTAAAACTTGAGAAACTTGACGTAATACTTGGGCAAGAAAGAAACGCACGCATACACACACATAATTTTTAAAAGTCCTGTTCCTTTTAACAATGAGATAACTAAAGAGAAAAATATAATAAAATATGAACAACAGCAATAATAATTAGTTGAGTAAAATCAGGGTTTCCAAATGAATATAAATGTCACAAACCATCTAAGGAAAGAAAACGTGCTGGCTTAATCTAAAACACCGTTACTGGTGTTCAAAAGAATCGCATCCCTCATTGAAAAAAAAAAAAAAAAACTACATTAGTAAAAGTTTGGGGGCCAGGGGATATGCTTTAGTAATCTGTAATGAGTTATTGATTCTATAGACCATCATCATGAATTGAAATAATTCTCATTTGAAAAACTCTAGAACCTGTGGTTTGGGGTAAGCTATATCTTCTATTGTTCATCATCTTAACACTGTAGGATCATTCTTTACAGAGATACAAACACGGTTGATTTACCTATTAGGCATTGTAGGTACTGTAGATCATCAAAGAAAATGTTATGATGTAACATTAATATATTATTATTGCAACTGTATGGTAAAATATAATTTCGAATATGCTTTTAATAGAAGAAGGGGCATACAAAGTCAAAAGTGGGTGGTCTCACAGAAGTGCTAATGCAGCCCTAGACGGTGAATCAAATGACATAAACCAACCCCTATATTTATTTTATTTTCAGAAGATGGTGAAAGTGTCTCCCTCCTTTGCTAGAAGTAAAGTTAAGCCCCTTTGCCTTGAATTCCCAAGGAAACCAAAAGGTGAAAGTAGATTTTGTGATCATATTACTGAATTCCTCTCATTTGGAAAGTTTTCACATGAGTTTTTGAAAGGCTAGTAGGCTAATAGCCACAGGGACTTTACCTTGAAAATTGTAGCTACAGAGAAAGAAATTTATTCTCTCCATGCCAGAGAGTAAACAATGTGAAATATGGAAAGATCACATGTTTTGGACTCATATGAGATGATGTCTCAGCTGTAGTGCTTTTAGGTGTAAACATTTTGGTGAATTTCACAATGTCTCTCAGCCACCTTTCCTCTGTATGTAAGAAAAATGGGTGCTATGATGTGTAACTAACAGAATTGTTGTGCTATTTAATTGGCAACCCCCACATTCAAACAGGATTTTTCTTCAATGTCTCCACAGCAGAAAATGCTACCATTATTACACCAGTGTGCACTGAACAAAAATCATTGGCTTGTCCCCTGAGCGCTGTCTCATATTCCATAGGTCTTTCATCTCCCACCAGTTCTACTTATCAAGACCACCAGTGTTTCTCTTCTGAGCTCTTTTATTAGCTTTCAAATAGCTTCTTGTTTGCCGACTTCCAGTTTCTTCATCCAGTAATCTGTATGCCACATAAGATCCTGTGTTGTCTTTTTAAAATGGAAATAAAATCGTAATATCACCAAATCTTCTGATCAACAGAGAACACAATATCTCTGTGATAACATGGCCTTCATGATACTACATGATATGGCCATTTTCTAATCTCTTTAAATTCCCTTCCTGCATGTCTAGCTACCATGGTTTTTTTTTAAACTTTTATTTAAATTATAATTTTATGCTAGAATGGTTTTAGATTTACAGAAACATCGTGAAAATACAGCAGACAGTTTTCATATATTCCACACTCAGTCCCCTACATTACTGACATTTTACCTTTCTATGGAATATTTGTCCCAATTAATAAACCAATATTGAAACATTGCTATAAAATAAAGTTTATAATTTATTAAGATGTCTTTAATTTTTACAGATTGTTCCCTTTTCTCCTCCAGAATATTATCCAGGATACATTACATTTAATTGTTACTTCCCCTTAAGCACCTTCTGCTGTGAGTTTCTCAGATTTAACTTGTTTTAATGACTTTGATGGTTTTGAGGATTATCGGTCAGGTACCTTGTAGAATGTCCCTCAACTGGTATTTATATGATTCTTTTCTCATGACTAGACTGGATTTATAGATTTTAAGAGAAAAACCACAGCGGTAATATATCATTCTCATCATATCACCTCACATCACATCAGGGGTACATTATAGCAACACAATCTACCATTGTTGATGTTACCCTTAATCATCTTTATAAGGTCAAATTTTTCTGTTTTCTCCACTGTGACATATTACACTCCCTCTCCTTGTTTTTAATGTATTCTTCAGTAGTAATAATGTGCAGCCTACACTTAAAGACAGGGAATTTATGCTCAATCTCTGTGAGAGTGGATTATCAACATAAAGTTTTTGCAATTCATCTTGATGGGTTGTCTGTTCTCCATTTATTTATCCATTTATTTATTTGTATCAGTATAGATTCATAGATATTTTATATTTTGTGTGATAATTCAATGGCATTGCATTTGTTGCTCATATGGTTCCATCTTTGGCTATTGGGGATTCTTTAAGTTGAGTCTTGTGTCCTTTTGACATATTCCCATTGGTGTTTGTTTGTTGTCTTTTTATAGCACGTACTTCCTTGCTTTCTGGCACTATAAGACATTCTAGGCTCATCTTGTATATTACTTGCTCCTATCCTAGAACCTTGCCACTTCTCTAAAGAGCCCTTTTTGGCCAGGCGCCATGGCTCACACCTGTAATCCCAGCTACACGGGAGGCTGAGGCAGGAGAATTGCTTGAACCTGGGAGGTGGAGGTTGCAGTGAGCCGAGGTGGCAACATTGCACTCCAGCCTGGGGGACAAGAGCAGGACTTCATCCAAAAAAAAAAAAAAAAAAAAAAGCCCTTCTTATTTTTATTGGAGAATGGTATTAGAATCTCAAACCTGGGAACTAGATGTACTCATTGCTGCCATGGTGTCGTTGCTACTATGCTTCTCCATTGACAGAAGAGTGTAATATATGTGTGTATATTAACCCATGTTTACATTTTCATAAATATAAGTAAATGTGTTCTGCTTATTTACATACACTCATTAAGATAAATATGACTTTATATTGATGTCTCCAACTCTAGTCAACAGGTTCTTGTCAGTAACCTACCACTATAACAGTGATAAGCTGGGTTCCATTATTTACCATTTATTACATTGTGTTATATGTGTTTATGTATGTTTTAGAATTGTTATACTATACTCCTGTGGGAAGCAACTTTATCAGCTAGAGTAAAGTGCTTATGTCCAGTTTATTTTGCCTTTAGTTTTAGACTCCACTCATTTCCAAGGTTACTTTCACCCAACTCTTTTCACTGATGGTGTTTCATGCACTTGTTAGATTAGATTCTTTTATCACAGCCTGCATTCTATCCTGGTATCCCTGAACTTCTAAGTGAGTTTTTAAAATCTGCATACAGTAAGGCTCACATTTTGTTCTGTGAAGGTGTAGGTTTTGACAAGTACATTGTGTTATGTCTGTACCATTACAGTCACATACAAATAGTTTCAATGACATAAAAATTTTCTGTACTTCACCTATTTAACTCTCTCCAAATTTCTGGCAACCATTAATCTGTTTACTTTCTCTATATTTTTGCCTTTGCCAAAATTTCATCCTTGTTTTTGCTTTGCTTGATAGTCCATTTTGTATTATTGCTAAATAGTATTCCAGTGTATGTATATTCCACAGTTTACCTATTCATTTATTTATCAATTTACCTATTGAAAGACATCTTGGTCACTTCCAGTGTGAGTCCATTATGAATAATGGTGCTATAAACATTAATATGTAGATCTGGAATACACATAAGTTTTCAACTCAGTTGAGTAAATACCTAGGAGTATGAGTACTGGATCATAAGATAAGACATGGTTTAATATTATAAGATGCTACCAAATTGTCTTCAAAACAGCTGTACCATTTTTCATTCCCAGCAGCAATAAAATTCCCACCAGAAATGAAAGTTCCAGTTGTTCCACATCTTGTCAGCCTTTTGCTTTGTCAGTTTTAGATTTTAGCCATTCTATTAGATGTGCCGTAACATCTAATTTTGTATTTTAATTTACACCTTTTCCCAATGACAAATGATTTTGATCATCTTGTCTAATGCTTATTTGCCATCTGCTTATCTTGTATGATGAGGCAGATGTTTAGATCTTTTGGCCATTTTTAACTGTGCTTTTGTTTTCTTAATGTTGGATTTTGAAACTACTTTATATATTTTGGAAATAAGTACTTTACCAGATTTGTGTTTTACAGAGATTTTTCTCCCAGTCTGGGGCTGGTCTTTTAATTCTTTTCACAACACCTTTAATACAACAAAAAATTTTAATTTTAAAATTCAATTTGCAAATATTTTTATTCATGAAACATGCTTTTTATATTGTATCAAAAACTTCGCAGCAAACCCACCGTCTCCTAAATGCTCTCCTATGTTTTCTTCTAGAAATTTTATAATTTTGCATTTTATATATGTGTCTATGACCTGTTGTTTTTAAATTTGTGTAAGATGTAAGGTCTCTATCTAGGTTCTGAGTTTTTTTTCTTATTGTTGCATATTGACATCCAATTTTTCCAGCACTATCTTTTGAAAAGACTAGCTATTCTCCATGTAATTGCCTTAGTAGCTTTATTAAAAGTTAGTTCATTATATTTGTGTGAGTTTATGCTCTCAATTCTATTTCATTAATCTATGTATTTATTCTTTTGCTAGTACACAATCTCTTATTTACCATAGTTTTATGATAAATATTAAAAATAGGTAATGTGAGTTCTCTGTTATTCATCTTCAGTATTGTGTTGGCTACCCCAGGTTCTTTGCCTTTCCATATACATTTTTAAATTAGTGTTTTGATATCTTAAAAATATCTTGCTGGGGTTTTTATTGGGAGTGCATTACGTTCATAGATCCAGATGGAGGGAATTGACATCTTAATGGAATATCTCTCCAATTATTTAGATCTTCTTGGATTTTCTTATATTGTTTTGTACTTTCAACACACTGTTTCTATCCACATTTTGTCAGATTTACACCCCCATGTACTTATTTTGTGGGACTGGGGTGGGGGAAGGTTGTTACTATAAATGGTGGGTTTTTTTGAAATTTCAAATTCAAGTTGTTCATTGATGTTACATAGGAAAGGAATTTAGTATATTGCTCTTGCATTATTTATTGACCTCGCTTTATAATTTCTTATCTTTTCCAGAAGCTTAATTATTTATTTCATATTCTTTCAGCTTTTAAATAAATATAGTGTTATAAATTCTCTTTAAGTCTGCTTTTGCTGTATCCCTAATGTTTTGAGAAATGGTCTTTTCATTTTAATTCAATTCACAAATATTTATCAAAATTTCTTTTCAGGTTTCTTTGTCCTGTGAATTATTTGGCAGTATATTGCTTAATTTCTAAATATTTGGAGATTGTTCTGCTTTTTTTAGTTAATTGAATTATAGTTTAATTCTGTTGTGTTTTCAAAATATATTTTGTATGATATTTTTAAAAATTTGTAAAAGTGTGCTTTATGCCCCAGAATGGGATCTATCTTAATTAATGTTCCATGTGAACCTGAGAAGATTGTGTTTTGGGCTCTCGTTAAATGTGATATTCTATAAATGTTAATTAGGTCAAGGTGATTGATAAGGCTGTTAAGGTCATCTGTATTCTTACTGATTTCTGCCTGTCTGATCTATCAGTTACTGACAGAGAGGTGTTAAGTCCCCAACAATGATAATGTATTTGATTATTTATTCTTTCAGTTCTATCAGTGTTGCCTCTTTTGCTTCGGTGCAGTGATGATTAATTTTAGGTGTCAATTTGACTGAATTAAGGGTTACCTTGAGAGCTCATGTCATAAAACATTATTTCTGAGTATGTCTGGGTGTTTGTAGAAGAGATTTTTTTTGAATCAATAGACTGAACAATGAAGATCTGCCCTCACGCAATGTGAGTGAACACCATGAAGCCGCTGAGCACATAGAATGAAAAGGCAAAGGAAGAGCAAATTTACTCTTTTTTTCTGGACCTGGAATACCCTTCTTTTCCTGTCCTTGGACATCAGAACTCCAGGTTCTCCTGCCTTTGGACTCTAGGACTTGCACTAGTGAAGCTCCAGGTTCTCAGGCCTTTGGCCTCAAACTGAGAGTTACTACAATCCGCTTCCCTCCTTCTGGAATCTTTGGACTTGGATGAGCCACACGCTGCTGGCTTTTCTGTTTGTCCAGCTTACAGATGGCCTGTCATGGGACTTCTCAGCCTCCATAATCCTATGAACAAATCCTCATAGTAAATCCCCTCCTGTCTGCCTGTCTGCCTATCTGTCTGCCTGCCTGCCTATCTATCTATCTGTCTGTCTGTCTGTCTATCTATCTATCTAATCTGTCTGTCTGTCTGTCTATCTATCTATCTATCTATCTATCTATCTATCTATCTATCTATCATCTATCTATTGTATTGGTTCTATTCTATTTCTCTGAAGAACCCTCCAGTAGGTGTATACACATTTAGGTTGTGATGTCTTGGAAAATTAGTCTCTTAATGATTAAGTAATGACCCTCTTTGTCCCCAGTAATCTTTCTTATTCTAAAGTCAGCTTTGTCTGAAATCAATGTGGCCAAACTTGCTTTCTTTTGATTAGAATTAACATGGTATATATTTCTCCTTTCTTTTTCTTTTAACTTATGTGTGGTTACATTTAAAGCAGGTTTTTTCTTTTGTTTTGTTCTATTTTTTGAGATGGAATCTCGCTGTTGTCAGCCCGGGCTGGAGTGCAATGGCATGATCTCGGCTCACTGCAACCTCCACCTCCCAAGTTCCAGCAATTCTCCTGTCTCAGCCTCCCAAGTAGCTGAGATTACAGGCACCCGCCACCACACCTGTCTAATTTTTGTATTTTTGGTAGAGATGGGGTTTCACCATGTTGGTCAGGTTGGTCTTGAACTCCTGACCTCAGGTGATCCACCCACCTCTGCCTTCCATAATGCTGAGATTACAGGCGTGAGCCTCTGTGCCCGGCCTAAAGTAGGTTTTTACACACAGTGTATAGTTGGGTCTTCTTTTATCCAATCTCACAATATCTTTCCTTCCTTGCTGTTTTTAGACCATTCACATTAGTAATAGTTATTGATATATTTAAACTTATATGTGACATGTTCTTAACTGTTTTCTATGATGTTTGTTCTTTTGTCCTTGTTTTCTACTCATTTTCTGTCTTTTGTGGTTTTAATTGAACATTGTATATAATTTCATTTCATCTGTTCTATTAACATGGCATTTATACATCCTTACAAAATTATTTTATAATTTATAATGTATATGCATTTTATAATATATAAATATATGTTTTATATTATGTATACAATTTGCTAATCTTAGTCCACTTTCAAATAACACTATATCACTTCACATGTAGTCATGTAGTGTAAGCATCTCAGAGTATTCTCCATTCTTCCATCATTTATGACACTGCTGTCATTCATTTCACATAACTTATTCTATAACCACCCAATACTTTACTATTATTACTTCAAAATGCTATTATTTAGATTAGTCAATGATAAGAAAAGTATATATAAATATATGATTTACCTCCACATAAGTCCTCTTAAAAGCTGTTTCTTTATGCAGAGTCATGTCTCTATCCTATGTCATTTTCCTTCAGCCTGCAGAACTTTTTTAAAAATTTCTCTGCAAGGCACATCAGCTGACGGCAAATTCTCTTAGTTTTTGTTTGCCTAAGTATTTATTTCTCCTACATTTTGCACAATAGTTTTTCTGGGTATAGAATTCTAAATTAATAATTTAAAAAAATTTTTAAAATATTTTGCTCCATTCTATTTTTGATTGCGTGCTTTATAATAAAGAGACCATTACAGTTGTTATCTTTGTTCTTCGATAGTTAAAGTGGTTTTATTCCCATTCTGTCTTCCATCAACATTTCCTCTTTGTGTTTTGCATTCTACAGTATGAATATGATATGCCTAAGCATGTCGGTATTTTGTTTGCTTTGGGTATTTTGGTACTTACCTTGAGTGGTGTTCTTTGAGCTTCCTGGATCTTTGGTTTACTGGGGATGATTAATTTTGAATAAACTTAGCCATTATTACTTCAAATATTCATTCTGCCCTGTTGTCTTTTTCTTTGTCTTCTGGTATTCCAATAACATATAGTTATACCTTTTGATGTTTTTCTACAGTTCTTGTATGTTCTGTTCTGATATTTCATCCTTTTAACTCTCATTTAAGATTAGAAAGTGTCTATTTACTTATTTTTCAGTTCAATGATTCTTTTCCCCTTCTTTTCTCAGTTGTGTTAAGCCTACTGATGAACATACAAAAAACATTCATTTCTGTTACTGTATTTTTGATTAGTATATATTTTTGATTCTTAAAATTTTATGTCTCTGCTTGCATTATGCAATGCAATGGTTTATTTTTGTATTATCACTCTTAACATATAGTTATTTTAAATTTCCTACCTGATAATTTCAACATATGTATCACATTTGAGTCTTCTTGTGATGATGACACTGTCTTAAAAGTGTTTTTTCTTGCCTTTTGGCATGCTTTGTAACTTTTTGTAGAAAGCCAAATGTTGTAATGAGTAAAAGGAACTGAGGTAAAAAAAGGCCTTTGGTGTGAGAATTTGTATTAATCTGGCTAAGGAGAGGGCTATCTTTAATGATTGTTGTAACTATAGGTACAGTTTCCAATTCCTCTACTACCCTTGTGTTTTTCTCAATGCTTGATATTTAGCCTTTTGGATCCATCAGGAAGTGTAGCTTTTCTAAATGTAATGTGTTGCTATTATACTGGAGCCCTGTTGATGGTGGTAGGGTGCAGGGTGAGGGAACATTCTATAGTCAAATGATAGAATCTCAGCCTTTTGATAGGTCTGTGTCTCTGGCTTGAGATGGTCACAGCTCTTTCTCCAGCGGCATGGCCTTCTCCTTTCCCCAGCAACGCCCCACTTTCCACCCATTCTCTCCTTTCCTCTTTTGCTGCAGAGTTTGCAATGTATTCATGGGAATTTCAGAATCTTGTTGACTATGTTATTTTCCCCCCTTAGAAGAGACAAGAATTGAACAACGGGAACACTAGGACACAGGAAGGGGAACATCACACACCGGGGCCTGTCGTGTGGTAGGGGGAGGAGGGAGGGATAGCATTAGGAGATATACCTAATGTAAATGATGAGTTAATGGGTGCTGCACACCAACATGGCACATGCATACATATGTAACAAACCTGCACGTTGTGCACATGTACCCTAGAACTTAAAGTATAATTAAAAAAAAAAAAAAGAAGAGACAAGAAAGCTGAAGAGGGCTTGAGTGGGAGGGAATTTCTTTTGCTAGAAAAAGGCTTGAGAATTGAACTTTGGCAAAGTACATTTCTCTGGAGGGTAGCCCTTTTTTTTTTTCTTTTTAAATGGAGAAGGGGGTCTGGGAGAGTTTGTCAGTAGTTACTTTCTTGTCCCCCTGTCAGAGCCAAGTGGGGTCCCTGAAAGGAAAACCCATGTAAGTAAGGGGTCTGTCTAAGATTGCATCCCCAAGGAGCTTCTCATTTTCATGCTAATCCACAGCCTCCAGCAATTCCTCCCAGTCTAAAGTGCCATATTAGTTCATTGAAGTGCCCTCATTAATTTATCATTCAGTGGCTTTTCCTCCAAGTTAGTAGATATCAATTATTACATTTCTGTAGATGCATCTGTCTCTCCAGATTTCAGGGTGTTATTTTGCCCTGCAATTTCATTTTTCTGGTAGGTCAAATAAAAGTTATTGGGTTTGAGTTCATGCAGCTTTTTCTTATTATAAGAGAATGTAAACTTCTAAGTTCTTCACATGTTGGAGTTAAATAAATATACATAGAAAAATTAATATAGCAATAACAGGTAATACTTGGATTATATTTGGCAACTCTGAAAGGGCACATTTAATCGTAAAATAATATATCGATTAAATCTAGTATTTAATAATTGAGCAAATCTTATTTTTATCTTCCAATTAAAAATAATGATAAGTACTTATTTCACAATATTGCTGTAAGACCTAAATGACACAATAGCTATAAAACGTCTCATGCAATATCTGGCAAACAGAGTCAGTTATTTCCCTTTGCCTCCTATATCTCGTAAGAAGTGGAGCTGGACTGATTTTACAATATAAAGCTTAGAAATTTCTGTGGATTAATATGCTTCCAATGTTAGTAATGTCTGTCCTGAGTATTCCAACAAAAATCAGTTGGTATTTATCATTATTATTATTATTTTAATTATAACGTTACTGTTAGGTGCTTTGTAGTATAAGTAGAAATATGATAACATCAAACACAAAGGAAATTATATCTGTGAAGGCACAAGAGATCACTCTGTCATGAGCAATCACAGGATGTTTATATTTTGTATTTATAAAAATTTTCAATATGTTGAACGTGAATAATTTACTTAAATAGTTTGTATAAATATAATTTCTTATCCAATTGAAATCTAATTACTTGAATAGTATACTGGTAGATTTAAAACATCAAGACATCCTTGAATTAGCAAATCTTATGTTCTTTTTTAATTTATGCTGCAACCTAACTTTGATATAAAGTCATAGATTCCAAAGAGATAATTTTGCAGGACTAGTCCAATTAAGTCAGAAATTTGGCAACCTGGAAAAAGACAATAAACTCATGATTTGATGCCAAGTTATGTAATAAATGTAGTTTGGGGAGTATGGGAAGTGTTTTCTCCTCATTGTCCCCCTAACCTTTGCCTACCCCCAACCCCAATAAAAACTTATTTTAACCCTGACCAGCTACAGTTTTGCTTAGTGTGCTTAGCAGCTCATGCCTGTAATCCCAGCACTTTGGGAGGCCAAAGCAGGAGGATGATTTGGACCTAGGAGTTTCAGACTATCTTGGACAACACAGGGAGACCCTGTCTTTAAAAACATTTTAAAAAAATTAGCCAGGCATGGTGACATGTGTCTGTAGTCCCAGATACTCAGGAGGTTGAGGTGGGAGGATCATTTGAGCCTAGGATGTCAAGGCTGCAGTGAGCAGTGATTGTGCTACTGCACTCCAGCCTGGGCAACAAAGCAAGACCCATTCTCAAAAAATGCAAATATTAAATAATAAAATTTCCTCATAAAAACATTAAAAGTAATTAGAAGAAATCAGAAAATATTGAATGTAAAAAGTGGAAAGTACCCTTATAAAATGAGTATGTATATACATGTATTTTTATTTATTTATTTGTCTATATATATATATACATGATGCATACATATATATAGACATACCTATGCATGTATATTTCCTGATATATTCACGTACACATGTGTACATTAATATACTAATATACATGTACATATATTTTATTTATGTCTTTAATATATACTATGAAATACATATAATAAAAAGGTAAGCATATTGCTTTTCACACTGTTCACTTCACTGACAAATATATGGATCTTTTTCTATGACTATGACTAAATGCCCTGAATCATTATTTCTAAGGGCTGAATAATATTTCACTAAGTGTACATACTTAACATTTTTAATATGTAGTCTCCTATGGTTGGGTATTTAGTTTTTACACTATTGTTTCCTACTAAAATGAACTCTTTGGTGGATATTTTAGTAATTGCATATTCTATAGCTGTAGAAATATTCCCTTAGGATAAACCTTTAATAGAATTCCTAGACTTCATGCTATCTTCATTTATAATGCTTAAAAATCATACCAATGTTACTCAAAGGTGGAGATTGTTCAACTTTAATTAGGATCTTCATTTTATGCAAACATATTTACTGAAATTTTTGAACTTTAAAATGTTTCAATTTGAATGTCATTGAACATAATTTGAACATAAATGCTAATTTTGTAAAAAGTAGTAAACTGTAGAATCTTGATATACATATACTTGATATACATATACTTTTATATATAAATTTCTGAAATCTTAAATTACATTTATAATATATTTTACCTTATATTAAGTATAAATAGCAATATCCTATAGGACTTCTCAAATACTCATTGCATATACAACAACAGTGGCACTTTAGGTTGTGGCTGCTGAGTAGTCAGCTAGGTTCACCCTCCAGCTCTGGGATTTTTCATCTCACAGTTTGAACAGTAAAGCATTTCTGTCCTGGGTATAAATAAAATTACAGATTGCTAATTCTCATGGATATTTGGGGTTACTCTAAAATCCATAAATATTAAGTCTAGGAATGCTACAATCCACAGAATTTGCAAATATTTTCTCCTTATGTAACTTATTATCAAAATAGAAAAATATATTATCTGGTCAAACTATCATTTAAATACCTTTAAAATGACTATTTTCATTTTTGAAGATTTTTGTGTAGAGATAAATATGGGGATTTTCAAATTACTAAACAAAAATGTTTGAGATGTAGACTCGAAGAATACTGCAATATCCAAAATTATAGAGTACTAAAAACATTTAATTATAATAAAAACTTTCCTGACTTCATAGACTTTTAATAAGAAACATCATGTTTTCTAATTTAATGCTGTTGTAAAAACCTCACCATCCTGAATCATAAAAAGAGAACTACATTTCATAAAGGTTACATTTGTTTTCACTTCTGGAAAAGAATTAAATCAATAAGTTATATTTGGAAGAACAAAACTTGGATCATATATTCCACTGGGTGAAGAAAAAGAAGATACCACAAGGTAAAACTAGATGTTAACAGACTAATGATCATTTTTTAATAACAGAAGGACCTTTCTGTGAAAAAATACCAACATATATTTTTTTCATTGCTGTCTTCTCTTCCAGCTAACCTTTGAATGAGAGAAACTTCTGCTGATGTCAAATGACCACAAGGATATTAACAACTGGACTTGGAGCCTGTCGGCCGCTGTTGGATACACCTCCTTTACCAAGGCGGCTTTCTTCACTACTGCCACTGACCTTGCAAACAGCTCCGACAAAGGTCGGAATGGATTCATTGATCAGCTAGACCGAGCATATGACAGTCTGTGCCTTAATTGAATCCCAAAAGGGGGCAGACTGGGTTTTTATTACAGAGGCCAGCCGATAGCACTCATTAAAAGCTCCACAGACTGTGTGGTTTACTAATTAGTTTATTATACAGACACCTTGACGATGGGCAAAGTTGTCATTTTGCCCTTTATCGCACAGGGGATGTTGTTAAAAGTTTAATCAGCTAACACTGACCAAGTTAGCTTGGCAGGCTGTGGATGGTCATTACTGAGGTCACCCCTGCTGTAGCAATTCTGACAGGGTCACAGCATGAACTTACAATAAAGAGAGTGTTACATAAGGTAAGAGCGCACCTGAAAGGGACCCCAGAAAAGAGTTGTGCTCTGCGGGGAGTATGAAACAGATGGGCTGTTAGGACAAGTGAATCCTTTTCAAGTTTACCTTCGCCTGCACTGTTTAACATATGCTTTCTTAAAAAGATGAGGCATACGACAGTCGTTTTGATATGTTCATCAGAAATAAGATTGGGAACACGTTTTTCATTTTGGCCAAATATAGGGTCACCTGATAAAAATGACTCTCCTGTGTTTTATTTAAACCTTACGTAGTTCCAGAGAAGCAGAGGAGATTATGTTGGCCTGTTTAAACTTGCTCTAGATAGAGCAAAGAAACAGTTACAGGCTATTCTTATTATTATTATTTCTACTCAGAAAATGATTTTGAGCACTAGCCAAACCAATAAAAAATTATCTAGTTTACCAACGTTGTCCCATTTATTCCGGGGATTCTTTTTTCCTAATGGGCTACTTTTTAGAATATATAGTATCTAAGAAAGATTTTCTTCGTGTGTCTAAGGTTATGCAGTGAGTGAAGTACAGGTAATTTCACTTTATGTATTTGAAAAAGAATCAGTAGATGAATGTAATATTATAGTTAAAATTTTTTGAGAAATTCAAAATATAATCTATACATAAATAAAATATTCATCTCTCTGTGTCAATGTTTTGACTGCCATGAAGATTCTAGTCTGTGATCTCAATAGATTTAGTCATACAGTCAATCAATTTAATTGTTAAGCTAGCCCAAATAACATTTTTCAATCCACGATTTCAATTTTCTGGACAGAAACTTAGTAGAATTGTACTTTACAATGTAGCCATTTATGCATTTTAATATTGAATTTTTGCTCTAATGGGTGATCTACTGAGGTCAGTTTACAAATTTAGAAAGAGGTATCTGCAATCTCTCTCTGTGTTGCCCTAGAATATTCAACTCTCTGTAAATCTGCTTAAATCTAAAGTTTAGACTGAGGTTATACAATATAGAAATTGTGCTAATCCAGACCTGATCATTTGAAATTGATGCTTTTACTAGTGTGTGTATATATATATATACACACACGCACACACATCTGTCTGTCTGTCAATCTATCTACCTACCTACCTGAGTTATCATATCTAAAATAGTACCTAAAGGCTTTTTGACAGTAAATACATACAGGGTAAATGAAATAAGAATGTGCTCAAACTATGTATTTATTTTTGAAACAACAAAGTTTTATTTTGACTATGTCATGAAAAAGAATATGCAACCCTGAACATCATCATTTACCCTGGAGATTAAAATATATTTTAATATATTTGAGATCATATTGAAGGTTTTATGAAAAGTGAAGAAATACTCTGCATTGCATTCAAACTGCAGCAGAAATTTTAGTAAGCATTGTGTATTTTCCAGGTTGGAACTGATCCAGGAATCTAAACCTAATATTGAGGCTAACTGTAGGGTTTGTAAAAAGGAGGCATCCTCAGGGGTTCACACTGGTGGTTCTGAGGAAGCTTCCTGTGAAGACAGATTGTGCCCTCAAGTCCACACAGGCAAATGCTTCATCATTAACTCACTTTGGAAAAATAAATAAACTATTTTAACAGTGAGATTTAAAAGGTACAGCTATTGCGTATATTTTCTCCCATATATCATCAAGAAAATTGTGGAAAAAAAATTTAGTAAGTTACCTAAATTCTCACTTTTTCAAAAGCATCTTGACAGTCAATGCTATTTCAAACACTTCACTGACTTTATGTGATACAAAGGACTGACAAATTTAACTATTAAACATAAAAGCTTTCGTACCTCATAAAACAATTTAAAAGAAGTGAAAAGTAAAATTATAGACTGTGAAAAGATGTTGGCAATACACAAATCTTACAAAGGCTCAATATCAAGAATGCAAAAGCAATGCCTATAAATTATTAAGACAAGAGAAAAATACTAATGAAATAATGCACAGAGGACAATTGAAATACATTTACTAGAAACAAAAATACATGGAACCAAAAATATAGTTATATTAAACATGTTCAAACTTATTTGTGATCAGGAAAATGCAAACCAAGACCATACATATTGATTGGCAAAAAATTTAAATTCTGAAAATCCCAAAGATAAAAGACAATGTGGACACAAACAAGCTCATATTTTAACAGTACTTTTGAAAAAGGTTTGGTATTACATGTAATTGAACATTTACATAGCCTTAACCCAGCAATCATTCTCTCAGGTACATAGCCCATAGAGCTTTTTAACATGTGTGCATCAGGAGACATGCACAAGGTTGACAGGGTGAATCCATGGTTGCTTCTTTTTTAGCCATAATAAAATAAGCCAACCAACAAATGGATACACAAATAAAAGCAGGCTGTATATATCCAATTATTTAAATATAAAAATAAATATTTTGCTTAATTTAATTTGTGTATGTTTTAAGAAAACAAGATAGAATAAAACAAAATGCACAAGCTACAATGAAGGAGATACTAAAAACCAGAGTACTAACTAACGCTAGAGCTTCCTGGGTCGGGATGAAGAATTTTGATTTTAGTAATCTGGGCATTTGGTTTTAATGTCCATGCAGAGACAGATGAGCCAAGAAATTAGAATGGATAAAGCTGCATAAATCTATTACCTTCAACGTGTTATGGCTTCAGTTAAAAAATGAACCAATATCTCAGGTAGATGTTAAAGAGAAATGTGAAAGTTCTGGATGAAGAAAAGATTTTCCTTCTTCTCCGGTGAGGCTTAACCACTATCCCGATTCTCAAGACAGTCTGAGGTCTTCATTATCTGTATTTGAATTAGGAATTCTGGAAATTTCTAAGCCAAAAATTAACATTATAAAAGGATTAGGTCAGCAGTAGTTCTGTTAGGTTGGTATAAAAGTAATTTTGGGTTTGCCATTAAAAGTAGTGATAAAAATATCAACTACTTTTGCACCAAGACAACAGAAGCAAATTCTATACTTATTTGGAGAATACTCCTCAAAAAACCTAAGAGTTTTTTTCTTCCCCAAATAAAAAGATCAAGCCTCATGAAAATAAATTTATTGTTGTGTAATTACAAACACACATACATAAACATACACATTTCACTAGGATTGAGGAACTTTTGACATGGAACAAAATAGAAAAAGATTAAAACCACAATTTGATGTTGTTATAAAATGAGGATAATTAAAAATATACCGTAGTCATTTTAATGATATAAAAGGTAGTCTTTTTTTATTTGAAAATAATTTTAATTAACGTATTCATAAGTGACAAAATGGGAAATTTAACAACTGGAAAATTTTAAAATTCACAATTATTAAACATACGAGTGAAATAACTGAAATTAAGATCTCAGTGGTTGAGGTCTTTTTTAAAAATTATTACTATACTTTAAGTTTTAGGGTACATGTGCACAATGTGCAGGTTTGTTACATATGTATACATGTGCCATGTTGGTGTTCTACACTCATTAACTCCTCATTTAGCATTAGGTATATCTCCTAATTCTATCCCTCCCCCCTCCCCCCACCCCACAACAGTCCCCAGTGTGTGATGTTCCCCTTCCTGTGTCCATGTGTTCTCATTGTTCAATTCCCACCTATGAGTGAGAACATGTGGTGTTTGGTTTTTTGTCTTTGCTATAGTTTGCTGAGAATGATGGTTTCCAGCTTCATTCATGTCCCTACAGAGGACATGAACTCATCATTTTTTATGGCTGCATAGTATTCCATGGTGTATATGTGCCACACTTTCTTAATCCAGTCTATCCTTGTTGGACATATGGGTTGTGGACAAATAGTCTTTGCTATTGTGAATAGTGCTGCAATAAACATACGTGTGCACATGTCTTTATAGCAGCATGATTTGTAATCCTTTGGGTATATACCCAGTAATGGGATGGCTGGGTCAAATAGTATTTCTAGTTCTAGATCCCTGAGGAATCGCCACACTGACTTCCACAATGGTTAAACCAGTTTACAGTCCCACCAACAGTGTAAAAGTGTTCCTATTTCTCCATATCCTCTCCAGCACCTGTTGTTTCCTGACTTTTTAATGATTGCCATTCTAACTGGTGTGAGATGGTATCTCATTGTGGATTTGATTTGCAATTCTCTGATGGCCAGTGATGATGAGCATTTTTTCATGTGTCTTTTGGCTGCATAAATGTCTTCTTTTGAGAAGTGTCTGTTCATATCCTTCGCCCACTTGTTGATGGGATTGTTTGTTTTTTTCTTGTAAATTTGTTTGAGTTCATTGTAGATTCTGGATATTAGCCCTTTGTCAGATGAGTAGATTGCAAAAATTTTCTCCCATTTTGTAGGTTGCCTGTTCACTCTGATGGTAGTTTCTTTTGCTGTGCAGAAGCTCTTTAGTTTAATGAGATCCCATTTGTCAATTTTGGCTTTTGTTGCCATTGCTTTTGGTGTTTTGGACATGAAGTCCTTGCCCATGCCTATGTCCTGAATGGTAATGCCTAGGTTTTCTTCTAGGGTTTTTATGGTTTTAGGTCTAACATTTAAGTCTTTAATCCATCTTGAATTAATTTTTGTCTAAGGTGTAAGGAAAGGATCCAGTTTCAGCTTTCTATATATGGCTAGCCAGTTTTCCCAGCACCATTTTATTAAATAGGGAATCCTTTCCCCTTTGCTTGTTTTTGTCAGGTTTGTCAAAGATCAGATAGTTGTAGATAAGAGGCATTATTTCTGAGGGCTCTGTTCTGTTCCATTGCACTATATCTCTGTTTTGGTACCAGTACCATGCTGTTTTGGTTACTGTAGCCTTGTAGTATAGTTTGAAGTCAGGTAGCATGATGCCTCCAGCTTTGTTCTTTTGGCTTAGGATTGACTTGGCAATGGGGCTCTTTTTTGATTCCATATAAACTTTAAAGTAGTTCTTTCCAATTCTGTGAAGAAAGTAATTGGTAGCTTGATGGGGATGGCATTGAATCTATAAATTACCTTGGGCAGGATGGCCATTTTCACGCTATTGATTCTTCTTACTGATGAGCATGGAATGTTCTTCCATTTGTTTGTGTCTTCTTTTATTTCATTGAGCAGTGGTTTGTAGTTCTCCTTAAAGAGGTCCTTCACGTCCCTTGTAAGTTGGATTCCTAGGTATTTTATTCTCTTTGAAGCAATTGTGAGTGGGAGTTCACTCATGATTTGGCTCTCTGTTTGTCTGTTATTCGTGTATAAGAATGCTTGTGATTTTTGCACATTGATTTTGTATCCTGAGACTTTGCTGAAGTTGTCTATCAGCTTAAGGAGATTTTGGGCTGAGACAATGGGGTTTTCTAGAAATACAATCATGTCATCTGCAAACAGGGACAATTTGACTTCCTCTTTTCCTAATTGAATACCCTTTATTTCCTCCTCCTGCCTGATTGCCCTGGCCAGAACTTCCAACACTATGTTGAATAAGAGTGGTGAGAGAGGGCATCCCTGTCTTGTGCCAGTTTTCAAAGGCAATGCTTTCAGTTTTTGTCCATTCGGTATGATATTGGCTGTGGGTTGGTCATAGAGAGCTCTGATTATTTTGAGATACATCCCATCAATACCTAATTTATTGAGAGTTTTTAGCATGAAGGGCTGTTGAATTTTGTCAAAGGCCTTTTGTGCATCTATTGAAATAATCATATGGTTTTTGTCTTTGATTCTGTTTATATGCTGGATTACGTCTATTGATTTGTGTATGTTGAACCAGCCTTGCATCCCAGGGATGAAGCCCACTTGATCATGGTGGATAAGCTTTTTAATGTGCTGCTGGATTCAGTTTGCCAGTATTTTATTGAGGATTTTTGCATCAATGTTCATCAAGGATATTGGTCTAAAATTCTCTTTTTTTGGTTGTGTCTCTGTCAGGCATTGGTATCAGGATGAGGCTGGCCTCATAAAATGAGTTAGGGAGGATTCCCTCTTTTTCTACTGATTGGAATAGTTTCAGAAGGAATCGTACCAGCTCCTCCTTGTACTTCTGGTAGAATTTGGCTGTGAATCCATCTGGTCATGGACTTTTTTTGGTTGGTAAGCTATTAATTTTTGCCTCAATTTCAGAGCCTGGTATTAGTCTATTCAGAGATTCAACTTCTTCCTGGTTTAGTCTTGGGAGGGTGTATGTGTCCAGGAATTTATCCATTTCTTCTAGATTTTCTAGTTTATTTGCATAGAGGTGTGTATAGTACACTCTGATGGTAGTTTGTATTTCTGTGGGAAGGGGTGGTGATACCCCTTCATCATTTTTTATTGCGTCTATTTGATTCTTCCCTCTTTTCTTCTTTGTTAGTTTTGTTAGCGGTCTATCAATTTCGTTGATCTTTTCAAAAAACCAGCTCCTGGATTCATTGATTTTTTGAAGGGTTTTTTATGTCTCTATCTCATTCAGTTCTGCTCTGATCTCAGTTACTTCTTGCCTTCTGCTAGCTTTTGAATGTGTTTGCTCTTTCTTCTCTAGTTCTTTTAATTGTGATGTTAGGGTGTCCATTTTAGATCTTTCCTGCTTTCTCTTGTGGGCATTTAGTGTTATAAATTTCCCTCTACACACTGCTTTGAATGTGTCCCAGAGATTCTGGTATGTTGTGTCTTTGTTCTCATTGTTTTCAAAGAACATCTTTATTTCTGCCTTCATTTCTTTATGTACCCAGTAGTCATTTAGGAGCAGGTTGTTCAGTTTCCATGTAGTTGAGCGGTTTTGAGTGAGATTCTTAATCCTGAGTTCTAGTTGATTGCACTGTGGTCTGAGAGACAGTTTGTTATAATTTCTGTTCTTTTACATTTGCTGAGGAGTGCTTTACTTCCAACTATGTGGTCAATTTTGGGATAGGTGTGGTGTGGTGCTGAAAAGAATGTATATTCTGTTGATTTAGGGTGGAGAGTTCTGTAGATGTCTATTAGGTATGCTTGGTGCAGAGCTGAGTTCAATTTCTGGATATTGTTGTTAACTTTCTGTCTCATTGATCTGTCTAATGTTGACAGTGGGTGTTAAAGTCTCCCATTATTATTGTGTGGGAGTCTAAGTCTCTTTGTAGGTCACTCAGGACTTGCTTTATGAATCTGGGTGCTCCTGTATTGGGTGCATATATATTTACGATAGTTAGCTCTTCTTGTTGAATTGATCCCTTTACCATTATGTAATGGTCTTCTTTGTCTCTTTTGATCTTTGTTGGTTTAAAGTCTGTTTTATCAGAGACTAGGATTGCAACCCCTGCCTTTTTTTGTTTTCCATTTGCTTGGTAGATCTTCCTCCATCCCTTTATTTTGAGCCTATGTGTGTCTCTGCACATGAGATGGGTTTCCTGAATACAGCACACTGATGTGTCTTGACTCTTTATCCAATTTGCCAGTCTGTGTCTTTTAATTGGAGCATTTAGTCCATTTACATTTAAGGTTAGTATTGTTATGTGTGAATTTGATCCTGTCATTATGATGTTAGCTGGTGATTTTGCTCGTTAGTTCATGCAGTTTCTTCCTAGTCTCGATGGTCTTTACAATTTGGCATGTTTTTGCAGTGGCTGGTAGCGATTGTTCCTTTCCATGTTTAGTGCTTCCTTCAGGAGCTCTTTTAGGGCAGGCCTGGTGGTGACAAAGTCTCTCAGCATTTGCTTGTCTGTAAAGTATTTTATTTCTCCTTCACTTATGAAGCTTAGTTTGGCTGGATATGAAACTCTGGGTTGAAAATTCTTTTAAGAATGTTGAATATTGGCCCCCACTCTCTTCTGGCTTGTAGAGTTTCTGCCGAGAGATCAGCTGTTAGTGTGATGGGCTTCCCTTTGTGGGTAACCCGACCTTTCTCTCTGACTGCCCTTAACATGTTTTCCTTCATTTCAACTTTGGTGAATCTGACAATTATGTGTCTTGGAGTTGCTCTTCTCGAGGAGTATCTTCGTGGCATTCTCTGTATTTCCTGAATTTGAATGTTGGCCTGCCTTGCTAGATTGGGGAAGTTCTCCTGGATAATATCCTGCAGAGTGTTTTCCAACTTGGTTCCATTCTCCCCGTCACTTTCAGGTACACCAATCAGATGTAGATTTGGTCTTTTCACATAGTCCCATATTTCTTGGAGGCTTTGTTCATTTCTTTTTGTTATTTTTTCTCTAAATTTCTCTTCTCACTTCATTTCATTCATTTCATCTTCCATCACTGATACCCTTTCTTCCAGTTGATCACATCGGCTACTGAGGCTTTTGCATTTGTCATGTAGTTCTCTTGCCTTGGTTTTCAGCTTGCCTTGGTTATCAGGTCCTTTAAGGACTTCTCTAAATTGGTTATTCTAGTTAGCCATTCATCTAATTTTTTTTCAAGGTTTTTAACTCCTTTGCCATTGGCTCGAACTTCCTCCTTTAGCTGAGAGTAGTTTGATCTTCTGAAGCCTTCTTCTCTCAACTTGTCAAAGTCATTTTCCATCCAGCTTTGTTCCGTTGCTCGTGAGGAGCTGCATTCCTTTGGAGGAGGAGAGGTGCTCTAATTTTTAGAGTTTCCAGTTTTTCTGCTCTGTTTTTTCCCCATCTTTGTGGTTTTATCTACCTTTGGTCTTTGATGATAGTGATGTACAGATGGGTTTTTTTTGTGTGGATATCCTTTCTGTTTGTTAGTTTTCCTTGTAACAGTCAGGACCCTCAGCTGCAGGTCTGTTGGAGTTTGCTGGAGGTCCACTCAAGACCCTGTTTGCCTGGTATCAGCAGCAGTGGCTGCAGAACAGTGGATATTGGTGAACTGCAAATGCTGCTGCCTGATTGTTCATCTGGAAGTTTTGTCTCAGAGGAGTACCTTTCTGTGTGAAGTGTCAGTCCACCCCTACTGGGGGGGTGCCTCCCAGTTAGGCTACTCAGGGGTCTGGGACCCCCGTGAGTAGGCAGTCTGCCCATTCTCAGATCTCAAGCTGCATGGTGGGAGAACCACTGCTCTCTTCAAAGCTCTCAGACAGGGACATTTAAGTCTGCAGAGGTTACTGCTGCCTTTTGTTTGTCTGTGCCCTGCCCCCAGAGATGGAGTCTACAGAGGCAGGCAGGCAGGCAGGCAGGCCTCCTTGAGCTGTGGTTGGCTCCACCCAGTTCGAGCTTCCCAGCTGCTTTGTTTACCTACTCAAGCCTTGGCAATGGTGGGTGCCCCACCCCCAGCCTTGCTGTTTCCTTACAATTTGATCTCAGACTGCTGTTCTAGCAATGAGTGAGGCTCTGTGGGCGTAGGACCCTCCGAGCCATGTGCAGGATATAATCTCCTGGTGTGCCGTTTGTTAAGTCCACTAGAAAAGCGCAGTATTAGGGTGGGAGTGACCTGATTTTCCAGCTGCTGTCTGTGACCCCTTTCTTTGACTAGGAAAGGGAATTCCCTGACCCCTTGCGCTTCCCAGGTGAGGCGATACCTTGCCCTGCTTTGGCTCACGCATGGTGCGCTGCACCCACTGTCCTGCACCCACTGTCCGGCACCCCCCAGTGAGATGAACCTGGTACCTCAGTTGGAAATGCAAAAATCACCCATCTTATGCATCGCTGATGCTGGGAGCTGTAGACTGGAGCTGTTCCTATTCGGCCATCTTGGCTCAACCCCCGCCAAAATGTAGTCATTTTAATTATAATTAAAATGAATGAAACTATTAAAGAAAAATACAATTTGAGTAAAGTACATAAAATGAAATTAATAATGGAGAGAGAATAGCAAAAACTATAGAAATAAAGAATATATTTAAGCTTTCAAATTATCAGCTTAAATTAAAATGCAATTATACAGGTGACCTTACACAGCTAAAGAAGGTTGGTGAACTAGAAGTACCTTAAATAGACTACAGCTCAGAAACTACATAAATAAAATAATAGAAAATATATCAAGGAATCTGAGCACCAGAAGAAAGAGGCCCAGCAGATACTTAATTGTAATTCAAATAAAAGAGAAAATAAGATAGTGAATTATTTGAAGTAATAATGGATGTCAAAGACATAACTATAAGACTGAATATAAAACGAGATTACCCAAAAGGAAAGAAGAGACAAAAAATTTTACTCAGATTGTTTTTAAAATTTTTAAATACTTATGCCAACAAAACACATTTTTGAATACAAAAGGTTTGATATTCCAGATGCAGTCAAGCAAACCCAATGTAATACAGTTTATTCCTTGTTTAATATTTATCTCCCACAAAGAATGCAAGCAGTGTAAGAGCAGAATTTTTTGTTTCTGTTCACTTCTGTCCATTGTTTACATAAAAGATTATAAAATAAAACAGAAAACAAATTTTTTAATAATTAAAAAACTCATTATTGAAGAAAAATATATTGAAGAAAATATAATAGCCAAATCTATATAATTCTATGCCTATTATCATATTAATGAAAGCAAAATAAATATATTCTGAGACAAGTAGACTGAATTTTACTCACATTATTATTTCTAGATAATTCTTATGTATATATTTTAGGAAGAAATAAATTATGTAATGGAAACAATATGAACAAGTCAGTTAATTTAGGAAATATTTGGGTAAATGTAAATTATAAATTTTACAAGCTAATATTAATACTTGGTTTATAACGCAAGGTAAATTGAAATAATAGCACAAATATATCAAGTAATTATGGGGGGGTCAAAAAAGTCTAAGTGTCTTGCCTCATTAAAGAAGATTTTAAAGGGATTGTTTCACTTTAGACTAAAATACATAACTTCCAAATCACTAGAGGGATGAAAGGAATGTGGTGGTGGTGGTAAGAAGAACTTAATCACTCCCATAAAAACAAAAGCGAATACACGCCTGTAATCCCTGCACTTTGGGAGGCTGAGGTGGGCGGATTACGAGGTCAGGAGATCGAGACCACGGTGAACCCCCATTTCTTTAAAACTACAAAAAATTAGCCAGGCGTGGTGGCAGGCGCCTGTAGTCCCAGCTACTTGGGAGGCTGAGGCAGGAGAATGGCGTGAACCCAGGAGGCAGAGCTTGCAGTGAGCCGAGATCGCATCACTGCACTCCAGCCTGGGAGATATAGAACGAGACTCCATCTCAAAAAAAAAAAAAAAAAAAAAAAAAAACCAAGAGCGAATAAAAGTTTTAAAAATTCAAAACAGCACCCAAAATATTAGAAATAAACTGACATAAACCAGTCACTACTCTAAATAAAAGTGAACTAAATTTATCATTTAAAAATGGAAGACGACACAAGCAAAATGGCAGATTAGGAAGATCCAAGCCTCAGTTTTCCCATGGAAATACCAAACACTACTACAAACTAGGAGAAAATAACCTTATAGGAATCTGAGAGGGAGCCAAAAGTCTGCAGCAGCTACGGGAATGCCCAATTAAGAAAAAGCCATATTCTAAGTGGGAGGAAATCTCATGGTGTTTTTTACCAGCCTTGTCTCACTCTCCAGAGGGGTTAAAGCTGTAGAGAAGTGGAGTTGTGTTTTGTTTTCGTTTTTTTTTTTTTTTTTTTTCTGTGTGTGTGTGTATGTAATTCAGCCCATCCATTTTACAGTAATTACTAAGAAAAGTTCTTCAGTTGTAGAACAAAAGATATTGGATGAAAATTTGAGCCCACACACACAAAAATTTAAAATGCCAATAATATTTAATATTGAATAAATATAAAATGTAATAAATAATTGCCTCTTAGAATCGGGTAGTGAAGGCTAAGAAGAGTGATGAAGTTGTCTGATTTCAAGAACTAATTATTGGTGAGGTTGTTACTGCCTGGTGGGTTTAGAGGGACATTCACACAGGTGGGTGACCTAGCATGGGCTCCAGAACATGATAAATGTGAGAATGTTGTCATTGGATGTGTGTCAATGTAGTTGTGTCAGTGAATCTTAGCACAGGATGCCAGAGTCTGAGTCAGGTGAGAATGGCATCCACACTTATGGGAAGCAGCCTGGCATGGGGTTTTGAAGCCCTAGTTGGGTGAAGGAGAGGAGGACAATTTCTCTGTGTGGAAAATCCAAGCCCAGGATGAGAAAGCACCTCCCTTGCATAGGGATGCTGTCTGTCGTGGGTTGTAAGAGCCTGATTAGGGTGAGAAGGGTGTCCACACTGGGAGGGGGCTGATATGATGTGGAGTGTCAGGTGGAATTTGGAGAGTGCCACTGTAGAGTCCAAGCCTGCAATAGGGTATTAGAGCTCAATCAAGGTGATGGCCTGGTGGAGAGCCTAAAAGGAAAGCCCAACCTGATTGAATTGGAGGGAGCATACACGAGGGACGACAGCCTAGCACAGGATGTTAGACCACCAGCAGGGTTAGTAGGGCCTCCACATGTGACTGTTGTACAGTGGAGAGTGTTGGACCAGACTGGGGTGAGGAGAGGACCACACAGGGTACCACGCTATGTGTAAGAGTCCACAGGGGAGAACAGGGTATCCACACTGGGACAGTGATGAGTTCATACGGGGAGTTGACTCACATACGTAAATATATTAAAGATGGTTAAAGTCAGGTTTCTCACCGGGAAGAGAGTTACAAATAAGAAAAGGGAGAAAATGAAAATAAACACTATAGAATTGGATTGGAATGGTAACGAAAATAAACACTATAGAATTGGATTGGAATGGTAATGTAAGTATGGTTTTCAGTATATATGAATAGATATAAAAATGATATAGATGTAAAGGTGTGTGTGTACAAATATGAATATGTATTTTCTAACTCTTTCCACAGAGAGTGACTAGAGCAGGAATACCTCTATAACAATGAGTGTAGGCAATACCAGATCTTGTTTTTCAAGTACAATTCTCCATTTTCCGCTTAAAGGAACCAGACCTCCTTGCATCAATTGCAAATTGCAGGCCTAGGAAACAGAAAGTTAAAGGTGAACCAGGAACACCTTACTGTGTCAGAAAATAAGAAAGTGGTAAAAAATTATGGGAAAATATTAAAAGGACACAGGGGCCAGACTGAAAGAGCTCTCCTTGCCAAAAATTAGGGCAATTTGAGGATTAGTATAAATAATGACAGCATGGAATTATAACCCATCAAATAACCATTAGTCTGTGCTGATATAATACATTGATGAAAAAGTGAGACTTTGAAGCATCAATCCAAGAGTCAAACAGAACCCTGTCACATATTAACAGATAATATTAATTTGGCCGTGGTTGCTGTATTCCAAATAGACAGGGGTAGTTCAAAATTTAAAATAGATTAATGCCATTTACCACATATATAGATCAATATAGAAAACAATATAAATGTTGTGGCTGTTAAAAGCAGATTTGATAAAATGCAAGGTTTACTTTTTTAATTAAAAATAACTCTCAATATAAAAGTGTAACTAGTTATCTCATATAAACCAAAGTGGGACGAGCCTCCTAACTGGTCTCTTCCATCTAGCCTTGAATGCCCAACCTGCCTCTGCTGGCAATTTCTATTTTTCACATAAGCTAATATTATTTATTTAAAATGTAAATCAAATCAGTTTTTCATTTTCTTAACCTCTTGTAGCTGTCCACGAACTATATGTGAAAACGAAACTATAAAACACAAAACTGTCAAACATTTGGCAGAAAACAAGAGGTTATCTTCAACGACATTTGAGTAAGGAAGGATTTCATGAACATGACCAACAACTCACTAAGCCATGTTTGATTGATCACAAGGATTCAGCCTCTGAAACTAGGCAAGGGAGCCTCCTGATGGTCCTGGACACTGTTCACAGTGGTCTCCACAATCACCAAGTGGA